>NC_000001.11:188809587-189434587 GCF_000001405.40 Homo sapiens | reverse complement strand
CACTGATTAGGTACTGTTTATCAAGGTCCATTCTAGCATTCTACATGGATTTCCTACATTAGCATAGACATACTTTTATAGTATATGCTATTCAGAGTTAAACTAAAGCAAACAAGACAAGGGTTTATTCTTATTTCATGTCAAATAACTAATAATATTTTATAACAGCACAGGTCTGAATCATTTTGGAAATCTAGCCCAGTTTTCTCCAGTAGAAGTACAAGGTAGTTTGTGAATTCACTACATGCATAGCATAGTTTTTGAAATTTTACTTCATATTTTTCTTGCTCTTTTAAAATTTGCATTTGTAAGATTTATGTCACTGAGAAAAAAATATTTAAAATGTCTTTTTGCAAATGCCAGGTTTCTCAAAGGACAGAGGAAATAGCATCTCTATGGCAATAATTTCAGTCTTCTAAAGAATGTAATTTATACTCTTTAATTGTAATATTAATACTGATATTTTTCTATGAAATTGTTGCATGGCAAATATGCCTGTATAGTCCTGGCCAAGCTCAGAAATATTGAAGATGTTAGAGGAAACAAAAATCAATAGTAGAGCAGAAGTTCCATGACAACAGTGTGACTTCACTAGCAAAATTACACATAAAGTTCATTCTCTATAGTTTCTTATACATTAAGTAGCATAAACACATTGCATGGTTCATTTAGTCCTTAATTTTTCTCTTGGATAAATTGTCTAGCTGTTCCGGTTCACATGCATTAGTCTTGGGGAGAAATAACACAGTTTATTTTAGAAAAAAAGACACTTTCAGTTTCTGTACCAAAGTGATTCATTAATTTACAGTTTGTCAAAATATTCCAATTATGAATGGAATCAAAAGCCCAAAACAGGCAAATTGATAATGTTAAGAAGAAGAAAACCCTAGATCTGAATTATTTCACACCGTTTTCAAAATTAACAATAAAGTCCTTTTTTCATTGTGCCCAACTTCTTCCTCTTTCTACTCTGTCCCCAAATTCCCTGCTCCCTGCTTTATATTTATCTTGTCAAAGCACAATAGGCATTTATAGCATCATCTGTGAACATGTAGCTATTTTGCAAGATTTAGTTAAAGTTCCTTTTTTAACCCTGTAGGTTATATAGGCTTTATTTTTCCTGTGTGTCCTCTTTGGTAGATATCTCTCATATAGTACAAGCCTATAATTATTTACTCATGGATATATATTACACAATGAAGTACAAAAATATGATATTCATTCCAATAGACATAATATTTAAAGGAGCTAGAAATTTTTGCAAGTGTGGAATATTTTAGAGGAGATTCATTGAACAAATATATTTAATAAGTTGAAGAAGCTCGTATAAAATATATTGTAAGAAAATTTATCTTTTTATTTTCTGAATATGTGTATAGATACTTTTGAATTGTATAAACTATATAGTTGTTGGTACTAGAAGATATTGATGTGTTATTAGGTGGTAAGTAAATGTGGTATAAATTTCCTTATGTTCATATGTGTGTGTGTGTATATATATACACATGTATTCGTATAGACTCATAAGCATCTTACAAACATTTCTGTATTGTATTGAGTGAGGAGGAGACAGTAGGGTGTTTTAGAGTGATTTCCCACTAATCCGTCCTACAACACTGAGTCATATACTTCCCTGGAACAAAGACATTTCAGAGGCAGCAGGAAGGCTGACCCTGGCATAGATGTGCAAGGCTTTCTCCACCCTGAGCTATATTTCTCTATATGGAAGATCACAGGAAAAAATTATTCAGTAGAGGTTTTCATATTCTTATAGAAAGGTTAAACACATCAGGCTTGGAGGCCATAGAAGAATGGGTAGTAAATAAATTGGCTCCTGTTGCCTCAAATTGATAATCCACAGATTTATAAACAATGCATAGAAACAGAGATCACTGAATCTTTCATACATCTTGGAATAGCTGAAACTTAAGGTAACCTAGCAGCAGAAAACTGTTGCAAATAAACATAAATAATAATAATACATCAAAAGTGGAGAAGATGCCAGAGACAGAACACAAATAAAATAATTAGAAGAGGCACAAAACACTACATATATGCTGAAACTGATGAAAATATTCTGGCACCCAAACCTCATCTGAGAAAAACACTCAGGAAAAAACAAACAACAAATTAAGGAGCAGAAACTTAGCTTGATGAAGAGATGAAACAGTGGTGGGTACTATATGCTGTGGATAACACAGTAAGCAATACAAGAATATATAGTATAAATTCTAAATTAGAGAAACAGAAGGGACATATTTTAAATGAAATACTACTAATTATATGGAGATAAAAGTCATGTGTTAGTCTGCATCCAATAAAAAGAGGGAAACCATATAATAAACAAGGGAAATTTAACATAAATATTAATATGTACCGTAACAGGGGATAGAAATAATAAGGGATTGGCTAGTGAAAAACTAAGAGAAATTAAAAAAAAAAAAAAACACTATAGCAAGAAAAGATGGAAAGAACAGCACATTCTCCCAGGGCAGAGATAGAATGCATAAAGAGGAGCCCCTTGCCCAGGGCTGAGATCATCTTGCTGGGAGGACACAGCCATAGCTCACTGAGTACAGAGGAGCCATCGTGGCGCCATGCTGAGGAAACTTGGAAATGTGCCCTCTGGAACTTGTGGGAAATCCTAATTCCGAGGTGTTAGGAAAGGCTGTTCATGGGATAGTACCTCTTCTGAGGCATTTCACTACAAAACTGCCCAAAACAAAGTGGTATGGAAAACTGTTTATTGCTATGTGTTGATTGTATACTTCAGGGACTGGTTTTGAGGAAACTATGAGCGCTGAAGAAACCAAAGGCAATGGGCTACAAATAGTATCCAAGGTGGCGAGAGGCCAAGAACAGCTACAGCTGCTTAGTTCTTCTGGCTTCCATGTATTACAGGAGCTGGGCACTGAAGACTGTGAGAATTTTGGGAGCCTGGTCTTGAGGAAAGCTTTATACACTGCAAGGACTCCCACACAGTGACCACACAAGCACCAGGAATCAGAACATTTCCTCTTGCACAACACTTCAGTACCCTCTACTGACAAACCTGTGGCAGCTGGTAATGAAAGCAATGTTTAGAGGGCCCAGGTTCATATTCACAGAGCAGGCAAAAAGATGAATTGGGGGCAAAGAGGCAGTAATTGATAAGTGGCCAATCTACCCCTTGGACCTTCCAGCTTCCGTATGCACCATTCTACATATATTTGAACTTCTGGTTCAACAAGAAAATAACTATATTTCTGTTGAACACACAGTTATCATTCTTACAAGTGAAAAAGAATTCTCCCACTTCTCCCCAAATGAGGAGACATACAATCACTAAGAGTCATTATATTCATCACTAGATATGTTCATTGCCCCTCAAAATTCAGTCACCATCCCACTAAATATTGTCACTTAAAGACCAAATTGTAAAGTTAACTTTCAACAACTTGTATACAAAATATGAAAAATAGCTATCATTTTCAAATAAACACAAACATCTAATATGCAAATAGAAACATGCAAAGATTAATTGTTATATTTAATTAGTTGATGCTGTAAGGGATGTCTACATTTCCTTCTTTAGATGCCCATTCCATTTATCTCCTGACCTCAGGCAGAAGCTGCATGCAGCATTTGAACGTGACACAGACACTTCAAATTTCATTCATCATTGGATCTGCTGGATTGCAAGGCCCAAGTCATACAGCAACTTGTACTGTAACCTTACCTTGCTGTAGAGATTTTTCTTGTTCTAATCTCACTAAAAGCTAAATCTTTAGGGAGACTCTGTAGTATATGTTGCCTCTTCTATCCAAAAAAGACACCCACCAAATATTTTGCCTTTCTTTATCCTGTAGCTGATATAAGATGTAGAAACTTATCTCCCACTTTCCAGAGCATACTTCAACTTGCCTCCAGCCACTAAATCCCTAGATACTTCATTAAGGTGGCTGGCTTCTAAATTTTTGTAAGGTTGATCACCCATCGTCTTATTCACATATTTCTTAGTAAGACATTTCAAGTACTTGTTACTTCCTGGTCATTAGATACAATTAGCATAATGTAGTTAGTATAGTAGACCAGCGTAATGTTCTATGGAATGTCAAAATGATCAGAATCTCTCAGGACTATATTTGAGTGGAGAGTGATACAATTGACATAGCTTTGAGGCAACATTGTAAAATTTTACTGTTGGACGGAACTTTTCAGTTAAAGCAAAATGTTTCTGGTGGCCTTTGGAAATTAGTATAGAGAAAACAGCATTAGCTAAGTCAATAGTTGCACAAGTACCGGATCTGTCTTGATTTGTTCCTGAAAAAATACTACATGTGGTCAAAACAACCCCAAAGCTATGAACACAAAACAAAACAAAAAATACTACACTTGAAAAGGTAGCTGTGATTGCAGTCACCAATAGATTAAATGTATTATATAGTTCATAGTGATTTTCCAAGTCCCATCTGACTCCTTCACTGGCCAACTGGTGAGTTAAATGGGAGTATGACAGATACCCTGAGGCCTGCTTATTTCAAGTCTTTTATTATGGAATTAATTTCTTCAATTTCTACACAGAGTGTGTTATTTCTTCTGATTTATTATCTTGGAAAGGCATGGAAGTTCCAGGGGCTTCCACTTAGTGCTGCCTACCATAACGCTCCCTGCCATGAGTCAGTCAGTTGATATGGGGATTTTATCGTTTGCTCAGTTTGTCTATGCCAATTCAAAAGTGTGTCTGCTAAATGACACAGGTGCCAAAGACACTGTCCATGCTGTAGGAGCTGGGCACTAGAGAAGCCATGTGCAGTGATTCCTGACAATGCCTAGTGGGCACACCAGAACTAAGAAACGAATATCCTTTCCTCTTGCATGTCTCTTTACTGCCCCCTACTGACAAAGGTTCAGTGACAGGTGGGAAAAGAAAAAAAAAATATTTTAAGGGCCAAGATCCATTTTCACCGGGCAGAAACAAGGGTTAATTTCAAGTTGAATGACCATGCATCAGTAACTGGAACAAGTCCTAAATTTGGTCAACAACAACAAAAATATATCTTGAAAGGGAACACAGTGATGAAGAAAATGGTGTTTCACATATATTACTTGGGTTATAATTCACAAATCAAAGTTTTAAAAATATTACGACATAGGGAGATTAAATCAGCAGTGGAAAAATAGAACACTTTTGTAAGACTACACAGGAAAATATATGTTTGAATGTAATTTCTTTAATAGGAAATAAAAACATTTTCAGAATTAAAACTGAGGTGGGTATTTTACATAAATTACATAAAAATTAAGAATTGATACAAAATTCTAACAAAACATTAAAAATTAAGGGTAAGAAAAAATATTAAACAAAAAAGTAAAACAAGAAACAAGATCTTAGATGAACATACTCCAATATACCAGCTATGACACTGCATATGACTTTGACTGAATTATCTCCTTTAAAAAATTAAACCTTGATGAGGCCAGGCATGGTTACACACCTGTAATCCCAGCACTGTGGGAAGCCAAGGCGGGCAGATCATCTGAGGTCAGGAGTTCGAGACCAGCATGGCCAACATAGTGAAACCCCATCTCTACAAAAAATACAAAAATTAGCCAGGCATGGTGGTGGGTGCCTGTGATCCCAGCTACTTGGGAGGCTGAGGCAAGAGAATCGCTTGAACCCGGGAGGCTGTGGTTGCAGTGAGCCAAGATTGTGACACTACACTCCAGCCTGGGAAACAGAGCAAGACTCTATCTCAAAAAAATATATATATATATAAAATATAAAATAATATATAATACAAATAAAATGTAATATATATTATTTTATATTTTGTATTATATATTATATATTATATTATATATCATATATTATATATAATATATATATATGTGTGTGTGTGTATATAAAACCGTGAGGAATTGGTTGAAAAAAATAGCTAAATATTCCTTGAAAAAATACATTGAAAGCAAAGGGGTGTCTATAAATATACAGGAAATTATGTTTTATGCAAGTAAAAACACAATAATGCAGTGCTGGTAGCCTGTCCAAGAAGACAAAATTAAAACAAAAGGGCACTAAACAGGATAAAAAATGGCATGTAATTTTGAAAGCTAAAGTAAATGGAAAGATAGAAACAACATATACCTTTCTGATCTGAGTAACTTGGCAGCTAAATATAAATGCTAAAAACATTAATAGGCAAAACAAAAACGATATAAATTGTTACGCCCGTTCAGAGAATGAGTCAACGAATATTACGGAGAAGGAAAAAGTGGACTACATCAGGGATCGCTAACCCCCTAGGCCAAAAGGACCAACACTGGTCCATGGCCTGTTGGGAACTGAGGAGCACAGCAGGAGGACATTGGCATCCAAGCAAGCATTACTGCCTGAGCTCCATTACCTGGCGTATGAGTGGCAGCATTAGATTTTCATAGGAGTGAGTGTGAACCATTTGTGAGGGATATAAGTTTCGTGCTCCTTATGAGAATCTAATGGCTGGTGATCTGAGGTGGAACTGTATCATCCTGAAACCACTCTCTCCAACTCCCTACACAACCCCCACCCCCCACACTGGTGGAAAAATTCTCTTTCTTGAAACCAGTTCCTGGTGCCAAAAAGGTTGGGGACCACTGTACTGCAGCTAAACAATAAGTTGGATGAATCTCACAAAATACTGAAAGAAAGAAATAATGTAATATCTACACATTTTAAAAACAGAAAAAAAATATATCTCAGAAACGTAAGCGTAGAATGTAAACATAAAATAAAAACAAAATGATCAGCATAGATGTTTGGATTGTAGTCTTCTCTAGAAAGAAAGGAGGTAGTATGAATAGGAAAAGACACATGGAGGGCTTTGGGAATGCTGACATTGATCTGTTAGTTGTAGTTATTTATTAAGCTGGTTTGTATGTTTACATGGGTGTTCAACTTATATTCATTAAACTTTACAATTATAATGAATATGTTTTCTACGTGTATCTAACATTAACATAAAAAATGCATTGGACAGAAATACAACAAAATCTTGAAAAACACAAATCTTGAAAAACACAAATATAATGCAGATTTCAAGACACTGTACATTTGTCTATTTTTCCCTTGTGATTGGATAAGGGAATAATTATATTTTGAACATTCTTTATATATTTCAGTCATTATTAAATATATGCTTTGCAAATATTTTACCCCAAGTTTGTGTGTTATCTTCTTATGCTATCAACAGTGTATTTAATTAACAGGTTATTTTATTATGATCATGTTTTATGTATTTTTTTATTTTATGGATCATGTCATTTGTGTCATAGAGAAATCAATTGCATTTAACCTAAGGTCACAAATAATTTTTTTTTTCTTTTGATTTCTTGGAGAAGTTGTCCATTTAGGTATATGACTATCTTGGCTTAATTTGTGTATACATGCAAAGTGTGGATTTAAGTTCATTATTTTTTCATATATGTGTGTGTATGTGTGCATATTATATGCATATATATGTATGTATGCATGTGTATATGTGTTTGTGTATAATTATATATATATACACACACACATACATATACCTGTGCATAAAGTCGTTTCTATCAGCTATGGGAGAGATGACTGTTTTAATGTATTTATCAGTAGGAGAGTGATTTCTGTGTTTTCTCACTTTATAAAGAGTTTGAAGTGGTAAATTTTATGTGGATTTGAGGCAGATAGACTTGAAACTATAAGAAATACTTGCAGTGGTGTAGCCAAGTGATTATGAAGTCCTTAAATAAGGTGAGATATACAAGAGTAATAGATTGAGTTACTTGGAAAGTCACTGATACATCAACTTATATTTCTGTGTTAAAGCTAGTTGTTTTTGTAAAATATGCTTTCCAGGCTTGGGCACAAAAATCGCAGACAGCCAAGATAAATGTTCATATATATTACAAAACTAAATCATGCTTCCAAAACTTTTGAACTGACACTGAGTTACTCAATGATATATCAAATATCAATATTAAGGGTAGACAAACTATTTAGCTTTGTGACATCATTAAAGTTACTTAATCATTCCAGTCTTAATGTGTTACCTATAAAATGGTAGAGTTTGTAAGGGAATGTTAGGCTATCAATTTCCCATAAAACTGACATTTTTGGCTCTCAATGTAGAGTTCAGACAAAATTAAAAATTTCTTATTTATTTCTGATTGAAAATATAAATATTTAACAACCTCTCTGATGGGGCCACAACAAATTGGAATAATTGACTAAACTATCAGATTATATGCCTCCTACAAATATTTAGTGAGTCTGCAGGGCTGTATACATGCTATTTGTCTACTCTGGTTATATTCCATTTATTTAAATTTTTTTTTCTAGATAATTAAAATAATAAAGTCAAGCTAGACTATATAATGGCTATGCCTTTGTGACAAGATGCTTTGCAGATCCAGGGATCTCTAAAATGGCAAATGATTTTGACAGCTTATATATTTATCATGTAAAGTTTTGTAAATCTGTGCATTATTTTTAGAAAAATGTTTCTTACTTTACTAGGACATGAGCACTTTGTTGGGTGTTTGCATTAAAAAGTCCAAAAGAAGTAAAAATACATTGTAGCAATATTAGTAAGAAGGCAATGCTTTCTAATTACATAGGATAGTTGCAGTAGTACCAGTAGTAGGAATAGTAACAATATAGTGCTTTTAATTTTAAGTACATAAAAAATCAATTTAATGACTCAAGGCATGTACAAGAAAAACAGAGATTGTCTTTTGATTCTAGAAGCAGCAGGATACCAAGAAAGTATAAAAATTAAGATAATGCCACCATGAGCTTTACTATTATACTTAGGGAAATTAGTCAGCCAGAGTAACTTGATATAGAACACATGATAAAGATAATTGAAAATGTGGCTGCTCTGCCTATGGAGTAGTCATTCTTTTATTTATTTACTTTCTTAATAAACTTGCTTTCATTTAAAAGAAAAAGTGAAAATGTGATAAATTTTTACGTGGCTTGTGTTCTAAAAATAGGCCAAATTTCTAATAATTCAACCTACAAAAGTATAATTAATATTTAATAATGGTTATGCCGATAAGACCAAGAAGCATCCCATAAATACTTAATATTAAGACTGGGAATGGTGGCTCACACCTGTAATCCCAGTGCTTTGGAAGGCCAAGGCAGGAGGATCACTTCAGGCCAGGAATTTGAAAACAGTCTGGGCAGCATAGCAGAACCCCCATCTCTACAAAAAAAATAAATAAATTAGATTAAAAAAATAGCCAGGAATAGTACACAGTTGTAGTCCCAAGTACTCGGGAGGCTGAAGCTGGAGGATCACTTGAGTTGAGTCCAGGAGTTAGAGGTTGCAGTGATCACACCACTGCAGTCCAGCCTAGGAGCTACAGAGAGAGAGCCTGTCTGGAAAGGAAAGGAAAAAGGAAAGAAAAGGAAAAAGGGAAGGGAAGGAAAAAGGGAAGGGAAAAGAGAAGAGAAAAAAAGAAAAAGAAGAAGAAAAAAGAAAGAAGAAAAGAAGAAGAAAGAAGAAAGAAAAAAGAAAAGAAAAAAAGAAAAAACAAACAGAAGAAGGGAAGGGAAGGGAACGGAAGGGGAGGGGAGGGGAGGGGAAGAGAGGGGCCTGCAGGGCAGGATCTTGAAGAGGAGAAGGTTTATTGAGTCATAGGCCTTGTGTGGCAGCATTCTTCTCTTTAGAGACACTGAGATTAGCTTATGGAGCAGTTCTGCATTAATCTGTGCAGCTGTTTTAGTGGAGGTTGAGTCACAAAGACAGATGAGTTACACATTTAGATGAAGAATTTTATATACTCCTTGTTTTCCAAAGTCAAACACTTTGTTGTCTTAATTCTTGTGAACAGCTATTTTTATTTGATGTTGTCCATGAAATATTTGACTTGCCTATACTATCCTTAGAGGATTATTTCTAAAAGGAACTTGTGATTTATTCTTTTTCATAAGGTAAATTTTGCTTCCTATCAAGCTTTAGAAAATTAGCATTCTGTTTATAACATTAAAAAGATAGGAAAATCCTGATGCAACGGTGCTCGCTATTTAAAAAAAAAATCACTGTCTCTTGGTATTAAAGAATGAATGAAAATCTGCCTGGGAAATCAGAGAACCTGAAATGTATTCTCTGCATGAACAAATTAAGAGCATTCCCCTAGGCTCATACATGTCTTCATACATTTGAGTCTTTAAAAATGAACTAAAAACATCAATATGGTATGATTTAAACCTGTACAGTTTGCTTAGGTTAACTTTTAGACAGTTCATGCATTATGAACCATGCAGGACAGCATAATCTTAGTTATTCCATATGTTAAAAAGTTTTCTCTTTATATTAAAATATCTTCCTTTGATGTGGTTTTCCTGAATTACAAACTATAAATTAAGCTCTAGCCATAACTATATACTAATACTGCAAATGTCTTTATGTTTTTTAAATATCTTGGCTGTATTTTTGTGTTCCTTGGTAATCAATGGTTTCTACTATTTCCAATTTCTTGAAAATGTAACAATAATTACAATAAATATGTTGCCCATGGTGCTTTAATACCTAAAATAGTAGAGTAATAGGATAAAATCACATTAAAAATATTTAATTAGCCTGTCAAGCTGGATATTTGTTGGCTTCTCCAAAGCTATAATACATTTGAAAAGTGAATATTGTATTTTTACGATATATGACAAAATATTAGTTACTTTGACAAAAATTTCCCCTCCAAAAAGATTAAATCAGCTTACTTTTAAGTTCTTATGCATACTGTCTTTCTGGAGAGTGTAGATTTATTTTGAACAACAAATGACAGCCAGGATTCAGCAAATTTTTCAGAGTGTAAACATTTTAGGTTGTGTGGATCATAAGGTCTCTGTCACAATTACTTTCTTCTGTCATTGTAACAGAAAAAGAGGCCACAGACACTATATAAGTGAATGGTCATGGCTATGTTCAAATACATATGATTTTAAGAATGAGTGGCAGGTCAGATTTGGCCCAAGGATGGTTTGCCTATCGTGGATTAAGGGCGTACCCCTTAACCTAAAACAAATACAAATGAATCTAGTTTAAACATGTTTGTGAATAAATTTGTCCTAAAAATATTGCAATAATGTGCAATATTTATATACATTTTTCCTAATTTATCTATATCCAAAAATGTATGTCATTAAAATTTGACTTTCATTTTCTCACTGGAAAACTTGACCAGCAAATACCAGGGGTCAGCAATGGGTATTCAGCTACAGAAAGTAATAGAAATATGTTATTATTATTAATTTATTTACTTATGTTTTGAGAAAGAATTTCATTCTGTGACCCTGATCATTGTTCAGTGCAGCTTCAAATTCCTGGGGCCAAACAATCCTTCTGCCTCAGCCTCCCAAATAGCTGGGACTACCTGGCCAGCTTCGTGCCGCAATGCCCAGCTTATTTTTTAAATTTTTTTGTAGAGACAGGGTCTTGTTCCCAGGCTGGTCCTGAACTCCCGGCCTCAAGTGATTCCCTGCTTTGGCCTCCCAAAGACATGGAATTGCAGGCATAGGCCACCACACCAAGCCAGAAATGTTTTATTATTGATGGCGTGATTTTAATCTATACAGCTATTAATTACTTTAACCGTCATAATAAATATCTATTGTAACTCATTTGAGTTACTATGACAACTTGTTACAATTAAGTTTATTTCATCATATATTTCTGCCTTTGTTATTTCATCTATTCAAATGTAACACCTAACATTTCTGCTGAGTGGTTTAAGGCCAGTCACATATGTCATATCATATGGCTCATAAGTCAATATGTTAGTCTGTTTTCATACTGCTATAAAGAACTTCCCAAGGCTGGGTAATTTATAAAGGAAAGAGGTTTAATTGACTCACAGTTCAGCATGGCTGTGGAGGCCTCAGGAGACTTACAATCATGGAGTAAGTGAAAAGGAAGCAAGACACCTTCTTCACAAGGCAGCAGAAAGGAGAAGTGCCGAGCAAAGGGGGAAGAACCCCTTATAAAACCATCAGCTATAATGAGACTCACTCAGCATAATGAGAACAGCATGCGGGAAACCGCGCCCATGATTCAATTACCTCCACCTGATCTCTTCCTTAACAGGTGGGGATCATAGGAATTACGGGACTTACAATTCAAGATGAGATTCAGGTGAGGACAGGAAGCCTAACCATATCAGTCACTTAGTAAGTATCTCTAAGTGTTAAGAATTTAAAATATAAAAATAATACAACCCAACAAAATAAGCATAAAAATAAAGCAGTATTATCTAATACCCTGTTTTGACTTTCTTTGTTTTCTCAAAAATATATTTTTGTCTTTGATTTGTACAATCCAGGAAAACAACAAGGTCCATACATTTTATCCTTCTCCATTTGTAAATCCTATGATTGCTACCACTGTCCCATTTGGCCTCAACAGTACTGACTATCTTCTTAAAAGAGAGAATGAGTAAAGAATGTGGTAAGTCTTCCTGGCCTCCAACTTCAAGGGTTATCACTCAATAATAGGCAAGCAGAATGAAGAAGGCATGCACTTGCCATCTAGCAAAGTGGAAATTTTGAATGTAGTATAAGATAATGATCAGAAAAAAAGCATCAATTTTGAGAGCACTGAATGAAGTCCAAATTTCTTTATTTGATAAACTTTTATCACAAAAACATAGGATGTTAAATTTCCATATTTAGAGTGGCACTGAATCAGTACTAAAGAATTCTTCATCACTTTTCACAATAATTGAGACATGGAAGCAAATGAAACTGAAGGGGACAATATGAATTTTTATAATAGTTCTCAGAGTTAAACAGATATACTTCAAAAAATTGTGATGGTTCAGTTGGCTTTAAGTATTTTGTAAGTATGAATGCAAGCAATGGGAGAAGATGATGACTGATTTTATTATATTAAGTAAAAGCTACAGGTGTCAACTTTCAGAAAGCAATGAAAGACAAGTGAAATGAAAAATCAAGAAGTGTTTTTCACTAATTTGCAGTAGCAGATTTCTGCTTTTAGTGATGCTGGTAGAAAATTGTTCAGAAATTAGTGATACTACTTTTCCTTCTAGCCAAGATGGAGCAACAAAGACCAGATATACTACAATATTGGGTTCAACCCTTCAAAAAATAAAATATATAGAACAATGGTTTTGATATATTGGAGAGCAGGGTGACCTTGCGGTGTTCTATGAGAGATGGAAGATAAATAAGATGAGCCCTACATTTGCCTCAGCTTGCGGCCTTAAGAGAAGCCCTATGACTTCTATCTAGGAAAGTAGACACAAACAGAGCCAGAAAACTCCCTGAGTAGAGTTTAGATTAAACTGGTGCTGGGAAACCAAAGCTGCTAGAGCTTGCAAGACAGAGTACTGCAGAAAGAACCGAACAGAAAAAGAGCTCCAAGAGCTTTAGAGCTTTTCCCTGGAGTATTTGGTTGAGTTCTGATCACTACATGTTAAAAAGCTTGCACTGTTCTTTTTCTTTTTGTGTCATTATGTGTGGACAATGATAACTCGCTGAGCTTTAATTTGTGTTTTCCTGGATATTAAGGAGGTTGAATAGTTTTTCTTATGTTTATTAGCCATTTGGAAAGCCCCTTTTTAAAATTAGTTACCAAATCTTTCGGCAGCTTTCATATTAGTTTTGTTTATTTTTCTGAGGGGAGTGATAGTGTGTGTGTGTGTGTGTGTGTGCACACGCATACAGTTATACATGTTGTCACTTTTCACATTGTAGTTTTTCATTGTGTTCATTTTTGGTGTCTTGCTGAGATGTCCTTAATTTTAATATATGCAAAAATGTGTGTTTATTTCTTCAATGTAAGTAAATATATTCTGCATTTTCCAATCATGAAGTCATGGAGGTCTCATTTTTTTCTTCTAATTTTTAATATTTTATCTAAATTCAAATTTACAATTCATCTAGAATTTACTTTTGCATATAGTGTAAGGTCGGTTCACGTTTTAATTTTTCTATGTACATATCCAATTAACCCATTTCTTTAAAGATCTTTATTTTCTCATCTCTTCAGTGACTTTTTTTTTTTTATCATACCTCTAGTGTTCACATAGTAATGGACCTGGTTCTGGAATTTGTAGTGCTGCTGGCCTAGCACTTCAGGGTCAATTTAATCCAATTTCAGGGGTTATTTGATTTAAAGTTGAGCTTCAGTCTCTGGCAGAGCCTATGCACTTCCAATTTACCTTTCTTTTTCTAGGTGACTACTTTTCAGATTCTCAAATAATACTGAGCACAATTCAGCAGTTTTCATATTTCAACTTGGATTGTTATTGTTTAGGTGTTATAATGCAATATTTTAATCCGTATAGCCTTCCAAGCATCTAAAGATGTCACCACTCTTAAAGGTAATAGATTCAGCCCCAACGGTTTGATAAGTTGTTTTAATTGGTTGCTACTTCTGTGGCTTCTATGGATGCGAATGTGTCAAATATTTTTTTTTCTTTGATCAAAATATATGGATCAGCATGCAGTTGAGGCAATGAAAAATACACACCCATACACCTAAATTGAAATAATAACTGAAACTCCTACTAAGATGCCCCATAGTATCACAGGATATATGATCAATGTGTGATTCTTACCAGATTCAAAATTAAATCACACCCAGATACAAAGTAATATTTCAGGCAACAAATAGGATTCATCTTCCTAATGACCCTAATTCATTCCCAGGCGAGAGTGACTTTCAGTTCAGAAAAGACAAGGTGTGAATCCTGAAAGCTTCATTAAAGTTTTCTCACTTTTCTATGCTTCAAGCAATTTCACTTTAGCTTTTATGCTTCTAAAAAGCAGAGGTAACTGATTTTATACAGTACTAAGTTAAAAGAAAATGTGGGTTATGTGTCAAAACCCCCTCACATTTCTACGTATATGATTGATGTAAGACTTTGAATAATACAAATAATTTTTAAGCTAGTTTCTTAATTTTGTGAGAAAATGTAATATATATATATATGGCCAGGGCTGGTGGCTCACACCTGTAATCCCAGCACTTTGGGAGGCTGAGGTGGGTGGATAATTTGAGGTCAGGAGTTCGAGACTAGCCTGGCTAACATGGTGACACCCCGTTCTACTAAAAATCAAAATTTAGCCGGATGTACTGGTGCACGCCTGTAATACCAGCTACTCAGGAGGCTGAGGCAGGAGAATCACTTCAACCCAGAAGACCGAGGCTGCAGTTAGCTGAGATCCCACTATATATACATATATATATATACACACACATATATACATGCATATATACATGTATATACATCCATATATATCCATATCCATTCTTATCATCCATATATATTATATAATCATATATATGGATAATAATATATTACAGTGTGTATCTATGTATACACACACACACATATATATACACACACACACGTTTTAGTATCATATTACTTTCAAAAATTGCATTAACCTGACCTTGGTTCAGACTAAATGCCTATTCATGTTTTTTTGCTATTAAACAATTATGCCGTACTAAAATACCCCTACAAGCCATACACACATAATTAGATATTAGTTATATGAAATCAGTGAGGATAGTCTTTTATTTTAAGCATCAAGTTAATAATTTTAACACAATGAAAAACTTGGGTGCCTATTTCATACAAGGTTCTCCATGTAAATACTTGGGGAAACTTTTTTTTAAATTTAAGATGATCACCTCAGAGCACCCTTTAAAATACCCAAGTTCATAGCTTCGAAATTTTTTCATATTCCAGTTGCTCTCTTTCCTTCCTTGATTACTAAGGAGACTTAATATGTTAGCTATATCTTTTTTCAGGCAGGGCTGACAAGTGACTATGGAGCAGAACTTCTTCTGATGATACATGGTATATTACATGAACAAGAAATCACTTGTTCCTAGGCAAAAGTGATATTAGAAAGGCTGGAAATACATTGATCTATGTTATGTAACAACTAACCAATAACTGAAACTTGCTTGCATATCATGCATCATATATGAATTTAGAGGAGGAGGTTGGATAGTAGGAATTTGGTAGTATATATGTATTAGTATCTTTGGAAGCAAGATTGGAAGAGGGAATATTTACATTCTGAAACAAATTGAGAAAGACTTTAAGTAAATTAATCTGAATTAAATGTTTCTACTGTTTACACTGCATTAGATAAATATATACTAAGAGTGCCACTAAGAAAATTATTTCATTTGAATAAAATTACTCAGTATGAAGATCAGGTAAGTGATATTTTTTAACTTAAAAGCCAAGGTCCTCAGTGTAATTTTCTTTAAGCACAAAAGAGAGGTATAAGGGTGAGAAAGCAAACTAACTAAAGCTGAAATGAAGAATATATCTGTAATAAATGGTGGGAGTGATTACTGGAATGTGGAACAGATTAGAAACCCTTAGAAATACAGACAATGTAGGAGAGTGTTGTCCTACTAAAACACAAAAACAAAAAGCTTTGAACTTGCACAAAAAGTTATTTGATTATTTAAGGAAATGTTTCACATTACCCTTAGAGTCACAACACAGATTCCCGAATAGCTAAAATGAAACAGACTGGCAACAACAAAGGAAATGGTACAACCATAAATCTCTTATAATATTAATTAGAATGTAGAGACACTGACTGTGATGGTCAATATTATGTATCAGTTTGACTGGGTTAAAGGTTGCCCAGATAGCTGGTAAGACATTATTTCTGAGTGTCTTTGGAAGGGTATTTTCAGAAGAGATTAGCATATTAATCAGTATGCTGGGTAACAAAGACCCACCAATGTGGGTGCAGAATCATCTCACTCACTGAGGGCCTAGAAAAAAAAAAAAGGGGTAGTGAAGGGCTAAATTCACTCTCTGCTTCCTGAACTTGGACATCCATCGTCTTAGAGCTCTGCTACTTATACCAGCAGCACTCCTACCAACAAGCCCTTCTTAGGTTTTTGGCAGATGGCATATTGTAACTTCTCATAATCATGTGAGTCAATGCCTATAAAATTTTCCCCTTATCATCCATATGTATAATATATATAATCATATATGGATAATATATATTTATCATATATTCCATTACAGCAGAAAAACAATAGATAACACTAATATCTAAGGTAAGTAATATATTACAGAAAATGATGTTGAACCCTGACATCTATATCTTAATAACTTATTAAGCATGCAAAAACCAAAAAAAGATGCTTACAGATTTGCTTACAGATTGACCAGAACTTACAAGATTTGCCCCTACATATATGTACATGCACATAAGTGGGTACAAACATATATTTGTGTGTGTGTGTGTGTGTGTGTATCCCCAGTAAGATATGCATATATTTATTGGTTCTGTTTCACTGGAGAACCCTGACTAATACATTGGCTTCATATTGAATATGAAAACATATTCAAAATAGTGAGGAATTATAATTTTTTGGACTTAATTATGAAATGTAGGTATAGATAAATAGTAAATTCTAAACTTTGGATTCTGTATGACACAGATTCTTGCATTTATGTATAAAAAACAATAATAAGGGTTTACATGTTAATTTTTTAAAATATGGTTATCTAATACTCAAAATATTCAGTATGTGTGGAGAAATATGGGACCGTATTACATAATAGTTAGTTGAAAAGCCTTTGAAGGACAACTAGGCAATATAAACAGATATTTAAATAAGGCATAACATTTATTCCAGCAATTCATTTTTAAGTATATATTATAAAAACATTTCAAATAATTTTTCAAAAGTAAGAGAATTTGGATGATTATAGCAGCATTATTTGTGATGAAACACTAGCAATAAAAATGGACCCCTAAATTTTCATCCTTACCTGCAAATTGAAATTATTTGAACGCCTTTTAAATTATAATAATTTTTTAGTTTGCCTTCCCCCAAACAGAGATATTGATTTAATTGGTCTTCATAGGAGACTAGAAATTGTAATTTTAAAAATTCCCTAAGTAGGTCTCTGTTCCAAGATGGCTGAATAGGAACAGCTCTGGTCTGCAGCTCACAGAGTGATCAACACAGAAGACAGGTGATTTCTGTATTTCCAACTGAGGTGCCTGGTTCATCTCACTGGGACTGGTTAGACAGTGGGTGCAGCCCACAGAGGGCCAGCCAAAGCAGGGTGGGGCATCGCCTCACCCAGGAAGTGCAAGAGGTCCAGGGTTTTCCCTTTCCTAGCCAAGGGAAGCAGTGACAGACTGTACCGGGAAAATCGGGACACTGCCACCTAAATACTGCACTTTTCCAATGGTCTTAGCAAACGGCACACCAGGAGATTATATCCTGCACTGCCATTGCTGAGGCTTGAGTAGGTAAACAAATGGCCAGGAAGTTTGAACTGGGTGGAGCCCACCACAGCTCAAGGAGCCCCACCTGCCTCTGTAGATTCCACCTCTGGGGGCAGGGCATAGCTGAACAAAAGGCAGCAGAAACTCCTGCAGACTTAAACATCCCTGCCTGACAGCTCTGAAGAGAGCATTGGTTCTCCCAGCATGGTGTTTGAGCTCTGAGAATGGACAGACTGCCTCCTCAAGTGAGTTCCTGACACCCATGTAGCCTAACTGGGAGACACCTCCAAGTAGGGGCCAACTGACACCTCATACAGCCGGGTGCCCCTCTGAGACGAAGCTTCCAGGGGAATGATCAGACAGCAATATTTGCTGTTCTGCAATATTTGCTGCTCTGCAGCCTCTGTGGGTGATACCCAAGGAAACGGGTCTGGAGAGGACCTCCAGCAAACTCCAACAGACCTGCAGCTGAGGGACCTGACTGTTAGAAGGAAAACTAACAAACAGAAAGGAATAGCATCAACATCAACAAAAAGGACATCCACACCAAAACCCCATCTCTAGGTCACCATCATCAAAGACCAAAGGTAGATAAAACCACAAAGATGGGGAGAAAACAGAGAAGATAAGCTGAAAATTCTCAAAACCCGAGCATGTCTTCTCCTCCAAAGGATCGCAGCTCCTCACCACCAATGGAACAAAGATGGATGGAGAATGACTTTCAAGAGTTGGCAGAAGTAGGCTTCAGAAGGACGGTAATAACAAACTTCTCCTAGCTAAAGGAGGATGTTCGAACCCATCGCTAAAAACCTTGGAAAAAGATTGGACGAATGAGTAACTGGAATAAACAGCATAGAGAAGATCTTAAATAACCTGATGGAGCTGAAAACCATGGCACAAGAACTACGTGATGCATGCACAAGCTTCAGTAGCTGATTCAATCAAGTGAAAGAAAGAGTATCAGTGATTGAAGATCAAATTAATGAAATGGAGTCAGAAGAGAAGTTTAGAGAAAGAAGAGTACAAAGAAATGAACAAATCCTCCAAGAAATATAGGACTATGTGAAAAGACCAAATCTGCTTTTGATTGCTGTACCTGAAAGTGACAGGGAGAATGGAACCAAGCTGAAAAACACTCTTCAGGATATTATCCAGGAGAACTTCCCCAACCTAGCAAGGTAGGCCAACATTCAAATCCAGAAAATACAGAGAACACCACAAAGATACTCCTTGGGAAGAGCAACCAAAAGACACATAATTGTCAGATTCATGAAGGTTGAAATGAAGGAAAAAATGTTAAGGGCAGTCAGAGAGAAAGGTCAGGTTACCCACAAAGGGAAGCCCATCAGACTAGCAGCAGATCTCTCGGCAGAAACTCTACAAGCCAGAAGAGAGCGGGGGCCAATATTCAACATTTTTAAAGAAAGAATTTTCAACCCAGAATTTCATATCCAGCCAAACTAAGCTTCATAAGTGAAGGAGAAATAAAATCCTTTACAGACAAGCAAATGCTGAGCGATTTTGTCACCTCCAGACCTGCCCTACAAGAGCTCCTGAAGGAAGCACTAAACACGGAAAGGAACAACCAGTACCAGCCACTGCAAAAACATGCCAAATTTTAAAGACCACTGATGCTAGGAAGAAACTGCATCAACTAACGGGCAAAATAACCAGCTAACATCATAATGACAGGATCAAATTCACACATAACAATATTAACCTTAAATGTAAATGGGATAAATGTCCCAGTTAAAAGACACAAGCTGGCAAATTGGATAGAGTCAAGACCCATCTCACATACAGAGACACACATAGGCTCAAAATAAAGGGATGGAGGAAGATCTACCAAGCAAATGGAAAGCAAAAAAAAGCAGGGTTTGCTATCCAAGTCTCTGATAAAACAGACTTTAAACCAACAAAGATCAAAAGAGACAAAGAAGGCCATTACATAATGGTAAAGGGATCAATTCAACAAGAAGAGCTAACTATCCTAAATATATATGCACCCAATACAGAAACACCCAGATTCATAAAGTAAGTCCTTATAGACTAAAAAAGAGACTTAGACTCCCACACAACAATAGTGGGAGACTTTAACAACCCACTGTCAATATTAGATCAATGAGACAGAAGTTTAACAAGGAGATCTAGGATGAAAACTCAGCTCCGCACCAAGCAGACCTAATAGACATCTACAGAACTCTGCACACCAAAGCAACAGAATATACATTCTCCTCAGCACCACATCACACTTATTACAAAATTGACCACATAGTTGGAAGTAAAGCACTCCTCAGCAAATGAAAAAGAACAGAAATCACAACAAACTGTCTCTCAGACCACAGCGCAATCAAATTAGAACTCAGGATTAAGAAACTCAATCAAAACTGCACAACTAAATGGAAACAGAACACCCTGCTCCTGAATGACTACTGGGTACATAACGAAATGAAGGCAGCAATAAAGATGCTCTTTGAAACCAATGAGAACAAAGACACAATGTACCAGAATCTCTAGGACACATTTAAAGCAGTGTCTAGAGGGAAATTTATAGTGCTAAATGCCCACAAGAGAAAGCAGGAAAGATCTAAAACTGATAACCCTAATATAACAATTAAAAGAACTAGAAAAGCAAGAGCAAACAAATTCAAAAGCTAGCAGAAGGCAAGAAATAACTAAGATCAGAGCAGAACTAAAGGAGATAGAGACACAAAAACCCTTCAAAAAATTAATGAATTCAGGAGCTGGTTTTTTGTAAAGATCAATGACATTGATAGGCCACTAGCAAGACTAATAAAGATGAAAAGAGAGAAGAATCAAATAGATGCAATAAAAAATGATAAAGGGATTATCACCACCGATCCCACAGAAATACAAGCTACCATCAGAGAATACTATAAACACCTCTACACAAATAAACTAGAATATCTAGAAGAAAGCAATAAATTCCTGAACACATACACCGTCCCAAGACTAAACCAGGAAGAAGTTGAATCCTTGAATAGACCAATAACAGGCTCTGAAATTGAGGCAATAATTAATAGCCTACCAACCAAAAAAAGTCCAGAACCAGATGGATTCGCAGCCAAATTCTACCAGAGGTACAAGGTGGAGCTGGTACCATTCCTTCTGAAACTATTCCAATCAATAGATAAAGAGGGAATCCACCCTAACTCATTTTATGAGGCCAGCATCATCCTGATACCAAAGCCTGGCAGAGACACAACAAAAAAAGAGAATTTTAGACCAATGTCTCTGATGAACATCAATGCAAAAATCCTCAATAAAATACTGGCAAACTGAACCCAGCAGCACATTAAAAAGCTAATCCACCATAATCAAGTTGGCTTCATCCCTGGGATGCAAGGCTAGTTCAACATACACAAATCAATAAATGTTATCCATCATATAAACAGGACCAAAGACAAAAGCCACATGATTATCTCAATAGATGCAGAAAAGGCCTTCAACAAAATTCAACAGCCCTTCATGCTAAAAACTCTCAATAAACTAGGTATTGCTGGAACATATCTCAAAATAATAAGAGCTATTTATGCCAAAACTACAGTCAGTATCACACTGAATGGGTAAAAAACTGGATGCATTCCCTTTGAAAACTGGCACAAGACAGGGATGCCCTCTCTCACCACTCCTATTCAACATAGTGTTGGAAGTTCTGGCCAGGGCAATCAGGTAGGAGAAAGAAATAAAGGGTATTCAATAGGGAAAAGAAGAAGTCAAAATTTCCCTGTTTGCAGATGACATGATTGTATATTGAGAAAACACCATCATCTCAGCCCAAAATCTCCTTAAGCTGATAAGCAACTTCAGCAAAGTCTCAGGATACAAAATCAATGTGCAAAAATCACAAGCATTCTTATACACCAATAACAAACAGAGAGCCAAATCATGAGTGAACTCCCATTCACAATTGCTTCAAAGAAACTAAAATTCCTAGGAATCCAACTTCCAAGGGATGTGAAGGACCTCTTCAAGAAGAACTACAAACCACTGCTCAATGAAATAAAAGAGGACACAAACAAATGGAAGAATATTCCATGCTCATGGATAGGAAGAATCAATATCATGCAAATGACCATATTGACCAAGGTAATTTATAGATTCAATGCAATCCCCATCAAGCTACCAATGACTTTTTTCATATAATTGGAAAAAACTACTTTAAAGTTCATATGGAACCAAAAAAGAGCCCGCATGGCCAAGACAATCCTAAGCCAAAAGAACAAAGCTGGAGGCATCACGCTACCTGACTTCAAACTATACTACAAGGCTACAGCAACCAAAACAGCATGGTACTGGTACCAAAACAGAGATATAGACCAATGGAACAGAACAGAGCTCTCAGAAATAATACCACACATCTACAACCATCTGCTCTTTGACAAACTTGAGAAAAACAAGCAATGGGGAAAGGATTCCCTATTTAATAAATGGTGCTGGGAAAACTGGCTAGCCATTTGTAGAAAGCTGAAACTGGATCCCTTCCTTACACCTTATACAAAAATTAATTCAAGGTGGATTAAAGACTTAAATGTTAGACCTAAAACCATAAAAACCCTAGAAGAACACCTAGGCAATACCATTCAGGGCATAGGCATGTTTAAGGACTTCATGACTAAAACACCAAAAGCAATGGCAACAAAAGCCAAAATTGACAAATGGTATCTAATTAAACTAAAGAGCTTCTGCACAGCAAAAGAAACTACCATCAGAATGAACAGGCAACCTACAGAATGGGAGAAAATTTTTGCAATCTACCCATCTGACAAACGGCCAATATCCAGAATCTACAAAGAACTTAAGGAAATTTACAAGATGAAAATCAAACAACCCCATCAAAAAGTCAGCAAAGGATATGAACAAACACTTTTCAAAAGAAGAGATTTATGCAGCCAACAGACACATGAAAAAATGCTCATCATCACTAATCATCAGAGAAATGCAAATCAAAACCACAGTGAGATACCATCTCACACCAGCTGGAATGGCGATCATTAAAAAGTCAGGAAACAACAGGTGCTAGTGAGGATGTGGAGAAATAGGAACACTTTTACACTCTTGGTGGGACTGTAAACTAGTTCAACCATTGTGGAAGACAGTGTGGCGACTCCTCAAGGATTTAGAACTAGAAATACCATTTGACCCAGCCATCCCCTTACTGGGTATATACCCAAAGGATTATAAATCATGCTATTATAAAGACACATGAACACATGTGTTTATTGCAGCACTATTCACAATAGCAAAGACTTGGAACCAACCCAAATGTTCATCAATGATAGACTGGATTAAAAAAATGGGGCATATATACACCATGGAATACTATTCAGCCATAAAAAAGGACAAATTCATGTTCTTTGTAGGGACATGGATAAAACTGGAAACCGTCATTCTGAGCAAACTATTGCAAGGACAGAAAACCAAATACCAAATGTTCTTACTCATAGGTGGGAATTGGACAATGAGAACACTTGGACACAGGAAGGGGAACATCACACACCAGAGCCTGTCATCGGGTGGGGGGATGGGGAAGGGACAGCATTAGGAGAAATATCTAATGTAAATGACAAGTTAATGGGTACAGCAAACCAATATGGCCCATGTATACATATGTAACAAACCTGCACGTTGTGCACATGGACCCTAGAACTTAAAGTATAATAAAAAATAAATACATAAATACAAAGGTGCAAAAAAAAAGTTCCCTAAGTAATTTTAGTTTGCAGCAAAAGTTCAAAAGCACTGACATAAATGTCCATAATTAAATCAAGAAACAGCTTGTGATTTTTAAATTTAATATAAGGTAAATTTATATGTAATTTATTGCTAAGCTATATTTGCAAATAAAAAAAATCCAACCACACGTAAGTTGCTCATTTTATAAGAATACTGTGCATATGTATGAGTATGTGTATGTACACTAAGATTTCCACTTAGTTAGACTGTCACAGACTAAGTCTGTAGTTAAAGAAGACAGAAGGATAAAGCTAGGGCCAAAACAAAATGGGAATTGCAAAGTCTGTGCAATAAAGTTGCAAAAGCAGGACTTATCTGTTCCATCACAAGCTTCATATAACCATTAAATTACTTTTTGTCTCCAAAAGTGTGCCTCCTCAGAATTTTATTTGAAGAGAACAGTACAGTTGTGGTCTTTGCTTCTGCATTTCAATATTTTGCTTGAAACAACTGCAAACACACAACTATACACACACACACACACACACACACACACATATATATACATATCTGAATTTTTTAAAACAAGTTTTACTTTAATTTCAACAGCTTTAATTTATTCATTAAAAGTAAAAAATGTTGCTGAGTCATAGTGAATGAACGTTTACATAAGCTTGGGAAGATAAATTGCAATTCATATGTTGGGCACAATAAATCAAATTTGCACACTGGTTTTTCTCAAGGAAATGAGGATAAACTTTACTCTTGTCAATTCGAAATTCTTTCTATGTCAACATTATGAACATGCCTGTATTTATGTTTGTACGTGTGTGTTTGTGCTATAGGCATGAATTTAATGGTATATTCTTCAAGCCTCCTGGAAATTCCCTGAGTAAATTAAACCAAAACCCAATATATTTTTAATATATTTGCTTTAAATATTTTAGTAGTATGTATTTATATAAAGCAATTGTCATATTTAATGTAAGTATTATAATACAGTAAAACAAATATATCCTTTAACTGGAGCAATGCACTATGTGATACACATTTTCATTTGTTGTTTATATGTTTTTATCCTCTTTTAAAAAATTTCACTGCGAATTGACCATTTTCAGTGCAGTCTTTGTGTTGTTCCTCCATCATTCAGCCTTTATTCAGGAAAATAACAGGGTCACTGCAAAAACTTGCCATAGTGCAGTCTAATCTAATAGCATGGATAGGCAAAATGTAGTCACTGAATATGGAACCCTGAAAAGTTCTTCCCCCTAGTAAAGCTAAAAAAACATACCTGGATAACTGGCTCTCAAGAGAGGACATGCAATTTAAATGTGATGGGTACACTCAATTTTCATGTTTATTTTCTGCATCTTATCATTAAACTTTAAACTTTATACTCTTTTAAATTTTTGCAAAACATTTATTTTATTTTTTTAGGATTAAGTATTATGTTTATTGGGATGTCTTTTATTATTAAAAATTTATTTGGCCAGGCTTAGGTGGCTCACACTAGTAATCCCAGAACTTTGGGAGGCCAAGGCAGGAGGATTGTTTGAGGCCAAGAGTTCAAGAACAGCCAGGACAAGAAAGTGAGATATTGTCTCCTCAAAAAAAAAAAAAAATTGTTTTAATTAGCTGTGCATGGTAGCATGTGTCGACTAGCTGGGTGTGGTGGCACATGTCCAGCTACAAAGGAGATTGATGTAGGAGGGTCTCTTTAGCCCAGGAGTACCAGGCTACAGTAAGCTATGATCATCCCCTGCACTCCAGCCTGGGCAACAGAGTAAGACCCTGCCTTTAAAAAGAAAATAAAAAAGGCCGAGCGCGGTGGCTCACGCCTGTAATCCCAGCACTTTGGGAGGCTGAGATGAGCGGATCAGGAGGTCAGGAGATCGAGACCATCCTGGCTGACACGGTGAAACCCTGTCTCTACTAAAGGTACAAAAAATTAATCTAGGGAGGTGGCAGGCGCCTGTAGTCCCAGCTACTAGGGAGGCTGAGGCAGGAGAATGGTGTGAACCCAGGAGGCAGAGCTTGCAGTGAGCCGAGATCGCACCACTGCACTCCAGCCTGGGTGACAAAGAGAGACTCTGTCTCAAAAAAAAAAAAAAAAAAAAAATATATGTATATTCGTAGGTGACAATAATTGTATATATTTATGTGTGCATGTGATGCTTTGATCTATGTATATGTTGTAAGAAGATTCAATCATGCTAATCAACAAATTCCTCACCTCACTAAATTATCATTTAATAATGTATATTATTATATATTTCAAAACTGCTAAAATAATAAATTTTTAGCATTCTGACCATAAGATTAATATTCTTAAGTTGTAGAATAAATTATAATACTCAATAAAATTTGTATTACTCATTCTTAGTGTATAAATCGAAAATTAGTAAGGGCTTTGCATAATCTGTACCATTTATATAAAGCCTAAAAGTAAAACTATTTACTGTGTCTAAGCAATGTTTACATTTTATTCAAGTGTGTTTGCCAGCCTCATAATTAATGCCACTATTCTCAGAAGGAGGGCATCATCTCTTCATCTTTCCCTTCCAAAGTGCTTAACACAGTGCCAGACACTTAATAGATGTTCAAAAATGCACAAATAAATGAATGGATAAATTAATGGATCATGAATGAATGAATGGCTTTCCTGAGATAAAATGAATTCATTTTTGTATTGCACAAGCATTTCAGCATATTAGAAACATTACCTGAGCAGTATTTCTCATTCCAATGAGAGCAATGGGTACATAACTCTCGAAAGACAGGTAACTTTCATAGGCTTTCCTGTCAATATACCAGTATTAATTATTTAAGAATTCTTTTGAAAGGCTTTCAGCCACAGAAGCATTTGATTTATTTCTCAAGTTGAATATGCTGTTCTTTTGAAATACGTAATTTGTTCCATTTCGTAATATTCTGCTTTGTTTCCACACACCCAATTTCATTTTTTCAACAAAGGCTGAACTGAATTGTTTCCCCAAGGATCAATGTCTGCTGTTATAAATACTGTTTAACAGTGATATACTTACATGTACTTAGAAATGTATTTCTAGATTTTTCCTTTTGTTCTTTTTCCTGATATCTTTGTTTCCCATTAAATCAGGGTACATTTATATCATTCTATTTGATCTAAATACAGTCACATTTGTATATCAAATGTGTTTAATTATATTTTATTTCTAATTTCTAATAGATTCAAGTGTCACAATATTTTTACTGAACTACTCCCATCAAATCTTTCCATGCTGATTATTCACCTGAATATACCTTTAATGTGACATATATATTCTTGTTTTCTATCAACTTCTCTCTTTTTGAATCTTTAAACACAACATAGGAACTTTGTTTGCTTAGTTGACTTCAATATGACTATAGTTTCAACTTAAAATTTTCATGGCAAACTTCCAGTAGTACTGATTTTAAGTTAAATGCATGTGCTATTATATTAATATATTGTATATGATAAAACACTTGGAAATAGAAAATATTAAAGCATTAGTTAAAAATGAAATATTAGGCATTTAAAATATTTATTTACAGTGCAAAACCCTTCTTGCTTTGGCTGATATTTTAGTGAGAGCAATGTGAATACTTTTAATTAAAAAAAATATATATATATATATACATATTTATATATATTGGATTCAGCTATCCAAATTCTGAGTCAGAGATTCAGGTTACTTCATTTAATGGCCACGATAACTGAGGAAGATAATCAAGAAGATATGGAGGCTGGGCACGGTGGCTCACACCTTTCATCCCAGCACTTTGGGAGGCCAAGATAGGCAGATTACTTGAGCCCAAGAGTTTAAGACTAGCCTGGGAAACATGGCAAAACCCCTTCTCTACAAAAAATACAAAAAGTAGCCAGGCATCATGGTGCAAACCTGTAGTCCCAGCTACTCAGGAAAGCTGAGGTGGGAGGACTCCTTGAGCCTGGGAGGCCAAGGCTGCAGTGAGCTGTGATCCCGCCAGTCTGGATGACAGAGAAAGACCCGGTCTTAAAAATAAATCAATCAATAAATAAGAAAGAAAGAAAAAGATATGGTGGTATCGTTTGGCTATGTCCCTACCCAAATCTCATCTTCAATTGTAACTTGCACAATTTCACATATCACAGGAGGAATCTGGTGATGGGTGATTGAATTATGGTGATGGGTCTTTCCTGTGCTGTTCTCGTAATAGTGAATGAGTCTCATGAGATCTGATAGTTTAAAAAATGGGAGTTTCCTTGCACAAGCTCTTTTTTTTTCCCTGCTGCCTTCCACGTAAGACGTAACTTGATCCTCCTTGCCTTATGTCATGATTGTGAGGCCTCCCCAGCCATGCGGAGCTTTAGTTCATTAAACCTCTTTTTCTTCCCAGTCTCAGGTACATTTTCATCAGCAGCATGAAAACGAACTAATACAGTAAATTGGTACCTAAAGAGTGGGGTGTTGCTGAAAAGATACCTGGAACTGGGTAACAGGCAGAGGCTGAAAGTTTGGAGGGGTCAGAAGACGACAGGAAAATGTGGGAAAGTTTGAAACTTCCTAGAGACTTGTTGAATAGCTTTGCCCAAAATGCTGATAGTAATATGAACAATAAAGTCCAGGCTGAGGTGGTCCCAGATGGAAATAAGGAGCTTTTTGGGAACTGGAGCAAATGTGACACTTGTTATGTTTTAGCAAAGAGATTGGCAGCATTTTGCCCCTGCCCTAGAGATATGTGGAACTTTGAAATTGAGAGAGATGATTTAGCATATCTGGTGGGAGAAATTTCTATGCAGCAAAATATTCAAAAGTTGACTTGAGTGCTGTTAAAGGCATTCAGTTTTAAAAGGGAAAGAGAGCAAAAATGTTTGAAAAATTTGCAGCCTGATAATGTGAAAGAACAGAAAAACCCATTTTCTGAGGAGAAATTCACGCTGGCTGCAGAAATTTGCATAAGTAAACAAGAACTGAATGTTAATCCCCAAGAGAATGGGGAAAATTTTTCCAGAGCATGTCAGAGTCTTTTGCAGCAGCCCCTCCCATCACAGGCCCTGAGGCCTAGGAGAAAAAAAAAAGTTTCATGTGCCAGGCCCAGGGTCCCTCCTCAGCTGTGTGCATTGTAGGGACTTGGTGCCTTGCATCCCAGCTGCTCCAGTTGTGGATTAAAGAGGCCAATGTAGAGCTCAGGTACTGGCTTCAGAGGGTGCAAGCCCCAAACCTTGGCAGCTTTCATGTGGTGTTGAGCCTGTGAGCACACAGAAGTCAATAATTGGGGTTTGGGAACTTCCTCCTAGATTACAGAATATGTATGGAAACGCCTGGATGCCTGGGCAGAAGTTTGGTGTAGGGGTGGGGCCCTCATGGAGAATCTCTGCTAGACCAATGCAGAAGGAAAATGTGGGGTTGGAGCCCCCACACAGAGTCCCTACTGGTGCACTGCCTAGTGGAGTAGTGAGAAGGGGGCCATCATTCTCCAGACCCCAGAATTGTAGGTCCACCTACAAGCTGCACTGTGCACCTGGAAAAGCTGCAGACACTCAACACCATCCCATGAAAGCAGCCAGGAGGAGGCTGTACTCATGCAAAGCCACAGGAACAGAGCTGCTCAAGACCATGGAAACCCACCTCTTGTGTCAGCATGACCTGGATAAGAAACATGGAGTCAAAGGAGATCATTTTGGAGCTTTAAGATTTGACCGTTCTGCTGGATTTTGGGCTTTCATGGGGCCTGTAACCCCTTTGTTTTGGCCAATTTCTCCCATTTGGAACAGCTGGATTTACTCAATGCCTGTACCCCCATTGTATCTAGGAAGTGATTAACTTGCTTTTGATTTTACAGATTCATAGGTGATAGGGGCTTGCCTAGTCTCAGATGAGACATTGGACTGTGGAAATTTGAGTTAATGCTAAAATGAGTTAAGACTTGGGAGACTGTTGGGAAGGCATATTTGGTTTTGGAATGTGAGGACATGAGATTTGGAGGGGCCAGGGGCTGAATGATAGGCTGTGTCCCCACCCAAATCTCATCTTGAATTGTAACTCCCACAATTCCCATGTGTTGTGCAAGGAACCTGGTGGGAGGTGATTAAATTATAGGGACAGGGCTTTCCCACACTTTTCTTCTGATAGTGAATGAGTCTCATGAGATCTGATGGTTTTAAAAATGGGAGTTTCCCTGCACAAGCTGTTTGTTTGTCTGCTGCCATCTATGTAAGATGTGACTTGCTCCTCCTTGTCCTCCATCATGATTGTGAGGCCTCCCCTGCCATGTGGAACTGTAAGTCCATTAAACCTCTTCTTCTTCCCAGTCTTGGGTATGTCTTTTTCAGCAGCATGAAAATGGACTAATACATATGGAGATCCAAATGGAATAAGCTAATCTTAGGCTGTGCTTACTAAATTATTATACTATCAGTTTCATTCATCAACTCTCTAAAACATTATGTTTCTTTCTAAAAAAAGTATTTTAAATTATAAATTGACGATTTATAGTCATATATCATTGCATATCCTTAGAAGGTACCAAATGACATTATGATTTATGATGATTAAGTTTGGCACCACCTTATATTATAATTTCATTTTAATTTCTGAATTTTTTATTCTCTTCATTTCTCTAAAGTTATGAACTCTAAGAAGTCACAAGATAAGTTCCCTTCTACCAAAGAGATGTTCTTACTTAGCCAGGCATTTTACTTAACTACGTTTTCTGCCTCTGTGTTCTTTAATCTGTCCCTCTTCCCCAACCCCCGTTTCCTCCTGTCATTACCATAACATTGCTGATCTCCTTTTACCTGTTCTTCCACCTAGAGTTAATCTTCCTTCAACCAACAGAAATTTCTCTAAAAGCTTTTTTTCCCCCAGAAATCTGGATCTTATGGATACATTCTTCTCCCGTACATTTCACTACAGACTTTTTTTATAATAAATTAAAGCACAGATTTTTTTGCACAGCATAAAAGATGTTTGCTATTGTACCCTGATGAGTAAAGAATAATATAAAATACTTTGATTCATTTTGAAGGAAACAATGGAACTTCAATATCTTAGAAGTTAGACATGGAAGGAATTGAAGATTAGCCACTCATAGGAAATCTATCATAGACTGTCAAATAAAATGTTATTGAAAGTGATAATCATCTTAATGGGATCATCTCTTTCAACATCAAATAGGAATGATTTGTGCATAGTATTGAATGTTTTTTTTTTTAATTGCTGTGGTTTGAAAAAAAAAAAGATGGGGACAAAAACACCCAGAAAACCTTTTCTTAATAATCTTTGCAGCAACTTACAAGAAAATATGGATTATTTTAACCCTTGAAGGAAGTTCAGACATCACCAGACTCTTACTATTTAATGTTAGCTCACCAAAACAGTAACATTAGCTTTGTCAAATTAAAGATAACAGTGTAAGAATTAGTAAACTATATTAGATATGCAATCTATTTTTAAAAGCAACTTCAAGAGAAATGTTATGAAAATGATGTGTCTTCTCTTTTATATGAACCTCAAATCATATATTCCTAATTTTTTCTAATTAATTTAGCAATGTCTTCAGGTTATTTACATTATTAAACCTATATTTTTAAGTGTTTTGATTTAAGACAGTCAAGTTCTTCTTCATCAAAAACTTACTGAACCACTATTGGGAAGTGATTAGAAACAAATAAATTATGCACATACATTTTTTTACTTAAATATAAGGATTTGATATTGTAAAATAAAGCGAACAAGTTTTAACCTAATTCTATTCAACTTTGCTTTGAATGTATATGATTAGAATGAAACTAAACTATATTCAGTATTGTGATATGTAAAGTAGTGGAATAGGTGCTTTCAAGTAATCCCTTACTTAATCCTCCTGATAATCTTATGAATCAAGATCATCACACCCACTTGGAATAGAAAACAGAAGTTTAGAGAGTTTCAGTGGCTTATCCAAAGTTGATATATAAAAATATATGATCTAAGGGTTAAAGCCAAGAGCATCTAACTCCAAAGTCATATTCTTTCCTTGCAGAAGCACGAATCATTGTTATTTTGTCTCATAAAGAAGTTGTTATGCTTTCATATATATTTCTTATCTATATTTTTTGAGTAAATAAGAAATTAAGTAAAACTGTGTAAGCATTTCGCAGAGTGTGCGTGTTTTGATACTATGTAAAGTCTAGAATATGCTCTACATTAGGCTTTATTCTTTTTTTAATTACAGATTAACAGGGTACATGTGTATTTTTTTTTTACATAGATAAATTGCTTAATAGTGAGGTTTGGGATTCTAGTGTACCAGTAACTCAGATAGTGAATATTGTACCCAGGAGTTAATTTTTCAATACTCACCACGCTCCCAGTCCTCTCCTTTTGGAGTCACACATGTCTATTGTTGTCATCTTTATGTCCATATACACTCATTGTTTAGCTCCCACTTATAAGTGAGAACACAGTATTTGATTTTCAATTTCTGATTTATTTTGCTTAGCATAATAGCCCCCAGCTCCATCTATGTTGCTGCAGAAGACATGATTTTATTAATTTTTATGGTTGCAGAGTATTCCATGGTATATATATACCACATATTCTTTATCCAATTATTTGTCGATAGTCACTTAGGTTGATTCCATGACTTTGATACTCTGAATAGTGCTGCAATAAACATACAAATGCAGATGTATTTTTCATATAATGATTTATTTCCTTTGGATAGATATCCAGTAGTCAGATTGCTGGGTCAAATGGTAGTTTTATTTTTAGTTCTTTGAAAAAATTTCATACTGTCTTCCATAGAGGCTGCGCCAACAGTGTATAAGCTTTCCGCTTTTTCCATTTCCTCAACAACATTTGTTATTTATTATTTTTGTTTACTTTTTAATAATGGCCATTCTGCTCCGTCCATCTTTGGGATCTACAAAACAGCAAATTTGTTCATCTAACTATTAAATGAAGTGTATTAAAATTTTGTTAATTACTCATGGGATTTCATCTCCAAAGAGATTAAGAGAGTAGCGTCTATTCTTGCATCTATTAACCGGCTCAGACAACTTTGGCAGATGGACTACACTCTCCTGATGTTAATTTCTTTATTTTTACTTGAAAATAGCAATACTGACTTACCTATCTCACTGTAATGTTTTTAAGATCAAATAAATTAATATGTGTTAGAGTTGGAGTGGCATTTAATTATATGTCTCTTCTTCCTAGCTTCTGAATAAATTAATAAAATAGACATAAAAGTTAACGCATTGCATATAGTTATCTTTTTATCGTTAGACTGGAACGAGGAACACAGCTTAAAATTGAAATAAGCAAAATTAACTGCTCCCAAATCTAAATGTTAACACCAATCAGTAAACTAAGTAGAGTTGGTAGTGTAACAGACTGTAAGTAAAGCATCATAACCTTGCCTCACACACTGTTAGGTAAAAAAAAGAGCAACAGTTGGATGGGAAGAGATGTGTTTCTTGACCATCCATCAGAAGGAATGGCAATAGCTCTGAACCAGTTTCCATATCACCTACAGAATGGGTACAAAAAAAAATGTGGCCCTTTACACTCTAAGACAGGTGTAGCCAGCAATCCAGGCTAGGCTTTACAGTACAAATTGCTATCTCCTGCACAGTAGCCATCATCTACTTATACAATTAATAATAATGATAATAATAAGCTGAAGAAATGACAGTCCTGGTAATATCTCTTCCAGAAATGTGACCATGTGATTAGGTTTGGATGAATGAGATAGGAGCAAAGATGGGACTAACTTTTGGTTTTGTCTTTATTGTTGAAAGGTTCGTACTCTTCCTTCTCTTTCTTCTCCTGTTTGACAACTCCATACACAAGCTGAGATTCAGAAGTGAGACATATTTGATCATATATTAAGACAAAACACTAAGTAGAGAAGGGATGAACACTGGGAACTACATGCTTTGAGTTTCAGACATTAATCATCTGCTCGATCTCTTATATTGGAAGTGAAATAAATTATCTTGTGTTAAAAGTGGTATATTTTAGAGGTTCTCCTTATAGCCACCTAGCATGTAGTATTACTAATATGTAAGAACAATCAATATTGTCCTAAAATTTCAATCAATTAAGTTACCTATTATCCAATAAAAGGAGCTATTGAGATGGTATCTTCCCTAGAGAAATAATATTCTATCATTTAGCATTAATTTTATCTTTATGTAACAACAAACTCAACATCTGGGGTGTAATAACATTAATAAATAGGACATTAGCCCTTTCTCAGATGAGTAGATTGCAAAAATTTTCTCCCATTCTGTAGGTTGCCTGTTCACTCTGATGGTAGTTTCTTTTGCTGCACGGAAGCTCTTTAGTTTAATTAGATCCCATTTGTCAATTTTGGCTTTTGTTGCCATTGCTTTTTGTGTTTTAGTCATGAAGTCCTTACCCATGCCTATGCCCTGAATGGTATTGCCTAGATGTTCTTCTAGGGTTTTTATGGTTTTAGGTCTAACATTTAAGTCTTTAATCCATCTTGAATTAATTTTTGTATAAGGTGTAAGGCAGGGATCCAGTTTCAGCTTTCTACAAATGGCTAGCCAGTTTTCCCAGCACCATTTATTAAATAGGGAATCCTTTCCCCATTGCTTGTTTTTCTCAGGTTTGTCAAAGATCAGATGGTTATAGATGTGTGGTATTATTTCTGAGAGCTCTGTTCTGTTCCATTGGTCTATATCTCTGCTTTGGTACCAGTACCACGCTGTTTTGGTTGCTGTAGCCTTGTAGTATAGTTTGAAGTCAGGTAGTGTGATGCCTCCAGCTTTGTTCTTTTGGCTTAGGATTGACTTGGCCATGCGGGCTCTTTTTTGGTTCCATATGAACTTTAAAGTAGTTTTTTCCAATTCTATGAAGAAAGTCATTGGTAGCTTGATGGGGATTGCATTGAATCTATAAATTACCTTGGGCAGTATGGCCATTTTCATGATATTGATTCCTCCTACCCATGAGCATGGAATATTCTTCCATTTGTTTGTGTCCTCTTTTATTTCATTGAGCAGTGGTTTGTAGTTCTCCTTGAAGAGGCCCTTCACATCCCTTGGAGGTTGGATTCCTAGGTATTTTATCTTCTTTGAAGCAATTGTGAATGGGAGTTCACTCATGATTTGGCTCTCTGTTTTTCTGTTATGGGTGTATAAGAATGCTTGTGATTTTTGCACATTGATTTTGTATCCTGAGACTTTGCTGAAGTTGCTTATCAGCTTAAGGAGATTTTGGGCTGAGACGATGGGGTTTTCTAAATATACAATCATGTCATCTGCAAACAGGGAAATTTTGACTTCCTCTTTTCCTAATTGAATACCCTTTCTTTCTCCTGCCTGATTGCCCTGGCCAGAACTTCCAACACTATGTTGAATAGGAGTGGTGAGAGAGGGCATCCCTGTCTTCTGTCAGTTTTCAAAGGGAATGCTTCCAGTTTTTGCCCATTCAGTATGATACTGGCTGTGGATTTGTCCTAAATAGTTCTTATTATTTTGAGACACATCGCATCAATACCTAGTTTATTGAGAGTTTTTAGCATGAAGCACTGCTGAAATTTGTCGAAGGCCTTTTCTGCATCTACTGAGAAAATCATGTGGTTTTTGTCTTTGGTTCTGTTTATACACTGGATTATGTTTATTGATTTGCATTTGTTGAACCAGCCTTGCATCCCAGGGATGAAGCCCACTTGATCATACTGGACAAGCTTTTTGATGTGCTGCTGGATTCGGTTTGCCAGTATTTTGACTGTGTCAACTTGGCTAAGATGACATAATTACTTTTCTCCTGTGATTTTCTTTCCTTCTATAATTTCAAGTTAGAATTGTCCAAAAGAGAAATATGTATAAGATTTGGAAAGTGAAAGTGAAGCATCTGTATCCTCTGGGGGTTCTGGTGATTAAAAGCAAGGACAGACAGATGCAGATGCAGCCATTGAGTTGGCACCTGCCCTCTACTCCAGCGTTAAAGAAAGACTCGGCCGGGCGCGGTAGCTCACGCCTGTAATCCCAGCACTTTGGTAGGCCAAGGCGAACGGATCACCTGAGGTCAGGAGTTCAAGACCAGCCTGGCCAACATGGTGAAACCCTGTCTCTACTAAAAATACAAAAAAAAAAAATTAACCGGGTATGGTGGTGAGTGCCTGTAATCCCAGCTACTCAGGAGGCTGAGGCAGGAGAATGAAGAGTGAAACTTTGTCTCAAAAAAAAAAAAAAAAAAAAAAAAGAAAAAGAAAAAGAAAGACTCAGCAATGCTGTCAGGTTCATGCTTGTCCTTATTCCTATTCACCTCATTTATAACTCTTATTCCCAGTGACCAAGATCCCCAGATGCACCAACAGACACAGAGATATCAGCCTTCCACAGACTTCTTCAGCACCTCTCTTCTGTGATTCCACTCTGGCAGGTGGACATGTCTAGCTTCTCAGATTTCTCTGCAAGCTCTGATTTGTCCACCTACTCCAGTGTTTGTCCACCTATTCTGATTTGTCCACCTACTAAGAGTTGGTTAGTGACTTTTTTTCTGATACTCTAACTCTCCATTCCAGACCACATGTCCTCTCTTCTTTCTTTGTTAAGTTCTAATTACTAGAACAAATCAGTTACTCTGTAGTTCTCACAGTGGTTCTGCTTCTCTGATTAAACACTGAGTGATCCAGCAACTCTACAGAGGAGTCCCAAATTTGAATATAAATTCCTTATCAGTGTTGAACTGCTAGGGAGAAATTAAATTGAGGGACTGAATCCCTTTGAAATTTAATTTTAAAAGACATAAACATCTAAAATAGTTAATGTCTTAAATCAAATTACCTTGTTCTGTAAGGTAAGTTCAAGGAAATTAAAGACCTGCATTCAAAGCATAGGTAGAATTAGGTTTCTGGGAGCAAATGCAGTCTGTACTCCCCCCCAGAATAATTGTGGTACTTTCGGGGCCTCTGATATTCTTCTATAGGTTAATACTAAGCTTCTCAGATGTCTTGCTGAAAAAGAGTAAAGACTAATAGAAAACAGAAATCATGTTGAAGTGGATGAGTCAATGTCACATAGTGAGTGCATAAGTGAATTTTTTTTTTTTAAAGAATTGGTGTTAATTTTTTTCTATACTTTGGGTAGAATTTTCCAGTGAAACTATCTATGCCTGAAGATTTCTTTTTCAGGAAGTCTATAATTATAAATTAAATTATCTCAATTTTAATAGGTGTGTCAATACTATCTATTTCATATTGGGTAAACTGTGGTAGTTTGTCCATTACAAACATCTGATCAATTTCATTTAATTAGACACATTTATTTGTGTAGAGTTGTGTGTAATATTCCACGATTATCCTTTTGTTGTCTGAAGAGTTTATAATGATATTTTCTAAGTCATTCCTGATACTTGCAAGTTGCGTCTTCTCTCTTTTTTTCTTTATAAGTTTTGGTAGAAGTTTGACAATTTTATTAATCTTTAAAAAGAATCAGTTTTTTTTTTGTTTTATTGGACTTCTTTATTATTTTACTGTTTTCAATGCCATTGATATCTGCTCTGATCTTTATTATTTCCTTCTCTATGCTCACTTTGGATTTATTTTGTTCTTCTTTTACTAGTTGGAGATGGAAGCTTAGGTAATTAGTTTGACGCTTTTCCTGACATAAGCATTTAAGAAAAGTCTCATTTCCCTTCTATCACTGCTGTAGTTGAGTCCTATAAATTTTGATATGTTGAATTTTTATTCACATTAATCTCAATGTATTTTTATTTTCCTTGAGACTTCCTCTTTGATCTATTGAATACTTAGAAGTGTGTTTTCAGTTTCTTAATGTCTGGACATTCTCCTGATTACATCTCTGTTACTGATTCCTAATTTAAGTATATTGTGGTCAAGGAACACACTCTGCATAATTTTTATTCTTTTAAATGTATTGAGATTTGTTTTTTGGAACAGTATTTGGTCTAACAAAATGTATTGCATAGTCCCTTAAAAAGACTATATATTCTGCTGTTGTTGGGTTAGAATGTTCAATAAATATTAACTATATATTTGGTTAATGGTATCTTAATTTTTGTTGTATCCTTACTGATTTTCTGTTTACTTTTTCCACCACTTGTTAAGAATGGGTTTGAGATTTCCCATTACATTTGTGTATTTTTTTTTTCATAGCTTCTGCAGCTCTGTTGTTTGGTGCATACATATCTAGCACCATAGAGAAATTCGGCAAACTGAATTCAGCTAACTGTCATTATATAATGCCATTCTCTACCCCAGTAATATTTTTGCTCTGAAATTTACTTATTCTGATACAAAGATAGTCAATCTCTCTTTATTTCAAGAATATTTGTATGGAATGTCTTTTACTATTATTTTAATTTCACCTTCCTCTACAATTACATTTGAACTGAAATTCTTATCAATAATATTTGGTTCAGCCATGTTGTTTATTTGTTATCCATCTTTAATTGTTTTACTTAGTTCTGTTGCCTTTCTTTTAATTACTGTATTGATATGTTATATCTGAAATTTTCTTTTTTATTTTCTGTTTCTTCTCTGTTATTTTTGTTTCCTCTTTCCTGCATTCATATGAGTTGCTAAAGCATTTCTGAAACTTCCATTTGGATTTATCTATACTGTTTTAGTTATATTATTTGTAGAATTTTCCTTTAATGTTTGCTTTAAATTTTACATTATTTACACATAGCTGTTTTAAGTCAACTGGTGTTCACATGTTTCTTGTTTTTTAAATTTATTTATTTTTTATTAAGTTCCGGGGAACATGTGCAGGTTGTGCAGCTGTGTTACATAGGTAAACGTGTGCCATGGTGGTTTGCTGCACCTATCAACCCATCACCTAGGTATTAAGCCCAGCATACATTGGCTCTTTTCCCTAATGCTGTTCCTAGCCCCGCCCTCCCCCAACAGGCCCCAGTGTCTGTTGTTACCCTCCCTGTGTCCTTGTGTTCTCATTACTCAGCTCATACTTATAAATGAGAACATGCAGTGTTTGGTTTTCTGTTCCTGCATTAGTTCCTGAGGATAAAGGCTTCCATCTTCATCCAGGTTCCTGCAAAATACATGATCTCATTCCTTTTTATGGCTGCATAATATTCCTTGGTGTATATGTACCGCATTTTCTTTATCCAATCTATCATTAATGGTCATTTGGGTTGATTCCATGTCTTTGCTATTGTGAATAGTGCTGCAATGAACATATGCATGCATGTATCTTTATAATAGAATGATTTATATTCCTTTGTGTATATACCCAGTAATGGGATTACTGGGTCAAATGGTATTCTGCTTCTAAATCTTTGAGGATTACCACCCTGTCTTCCACAATCCTTGAACTAATTTACATTCTCAACAACAGTGTAAAAGTGTTCCTATTCCTCCACAGACTCGCCAGCATCTATTGTTTCCTGACTTTTTAATAATCGCTATTCTGACTGGTATGAGATGGTATCTCATTGTGGTTTTGATTTGCATTTCTCTGATGATCAGTGATGTTGAGCTTTGTTTCATATATGTTTGCTGGTGGCATAAATGTGTTCTTTTGAGAAGCATCTGTTCATATCCTTTGCCCACTGTTTGATGGGGTTTTGTTTTTTGCTTGTAAATGTGTTTAAGTTCCTTGTAGATTCTGGATATTAGACCACTGTCAGATGGAGAGATTGCAAAAATTCTGTCCCATTCCATAAGATGTCTATTCACTCTGATGATAGGCTCTTTCGCTGTGCAGAAGCTCTTTAGTTTAGATCGCATTTGTCAGTTGTTGCTTTTGTTCCAATTGCTTTTGGTGATTTCATCATAAAGTCTTTGTCCATGCTTATGTCTGTATGGCATTGTCTAGATTTTCTTCTAGGGTTTTTATAATTTTGGGTTTTGCAGTCAAGTCTTTAATCCATCTTGACTTAATTTTTTGCATATGGTGTAAAGAAGGGATCCAATTTCAGTTTTCGGCATGTGGGTAACCAGTTTTCCCAGCACCATTTATTAAATATAGAATCCTTTCCCCATTGCTTGTCTTTGTCAGGTTTGTTGAAGATCAGATGGTTGTAGATGTGCGGATTAATTTCTGAGTTCTCTATTCTCTTCCATTGGTCTATGTGCCTGTTTTTGTATGAGTACCATGCTATTTTGGTTACTGTGGTCTTGCATAGTTTGAAGTCTGAAGTTAGAGATAAACATAAAAACTTGGGTGGGCACAGGGGCTCACGTCTGTAATCCCTGCTACTCGGGAGGCTGAGGCGCCAGAATCGCTTAAGCTCAGGAGGCGGAGGTTGCAGGGAGCCAAGACTGTGCCACTGCACTCCAGCTTGGGTGACAGAGTGAGACTCCATCTCAAAAAATAAAATAAAATAAACATAAAAAACTTTACTTATTTATGTCTTTTGATCTTCCAAATTTATTATATAATTGGCACAAATATTTCTTCTACACATATGAAAAAACATGTTAGATTTTGTGGCATAAATATTGTGCCATATGCAATTTCTTTTTACAGATGCTTGAACCCTGTACCTTAATTTTCGGGTGCATTTCAGACCAGATTGTTCTCTAATAAAAGTGTTTATCTTCTCACTGAGTGGTAGAATTACTGTAGCTACTGGTCTATGCTTTTAAAATTTTACATATTTACAGAATACTCTGTAAAAAATCATTTTCCACATTACAAATGATACAATAGTCCTAAAGAGTTAAATGTATAGCTAGTGAGATATTTAAGATAATAATGTAGATATTTGATATCATGTACCTCTGTTAATTTCTTTCTACCATATACTGCCCCTTTCAATGTTGGTGATCTGTAAAAATAGATACATAGGGCTAATGAAAAGAAGACTGCTATAGAATTGCCATTTACTTCATGTATTCAGAGAACTTTCAGTGGAGTGTTCTGGTACTACTTAAATATATGTTAAAAGTGAGACACATTAATAATCTGTAAATACTGAAGTCCTCTTCAGAATCAGTATATTTGTCAAATCACTCCCTTTCCTGGCTTAATAAAGGCATGATATGAATACATGTATGAGGCTTATGTGACAGTATATTTGCATATAAAATAAAAATAATTTTATTATGTATATCTTCCTTCTTGATATGGAAGAGGTCTGGACAGTGAAAAATAATATGTAAATGTTCAGGAAATGCTAAATGACTGTTTATAGGAAAGTCTTAATGAAGCCATAGTAAATCAAATATGATTTACTATAGCATTATTTCTCCATAATAATATTCACTTATTTTTCACAAATAATTTTTTAAAAATGAATAACATAGGCAGAGTTTTATCTGACTTGTAGAGTCCTTAAAAGTCATCACTCCCATCCTCAACAAAGAAATCTCTAAACCAACTGAAAATTAATGACTTTTTGTAGATCTGTTAAAAAATTGAGGTCATGTAGTAAAATGCATGACACAAAAACAACACATTTTTTAAAGGCAGGGAAAAATACCTTCTCTATAATGGAACAATGAAAAGGATTAACACTGATCTCCGCATCAGAAACCATGCAAAGTGAACAAAATAGAGGGAAATATTTGAAGTGTTGAAAGAAAAATACCCCAAACTCAAATTCTGTGATTAAAAAAAATATTCTTCAAAAGTCAAAGAGAAATCGAAACTTTCTCAAACAAACCAAAAGAGCAACAAATTATATTTTACTTTATTTTTAACTGTGGACTTTTTTCAATTTCAACTTTTATTTTAGATATAATGGTTGCATGGCAGATTTGATACATGGAATATTACATGATGCAGAGGTTTGGAATATAAATCTCTTGGTAGTGAGCATAGTACCTGATAGGTAGGTTTTTTAACCCACCCCCTCCCTCCACCTTCTGGTAGTTCACAGTGCCTATTGTTCCCAAATTTATGTCAATGAGTGCTCAATGCTTAGCTCTGACTTATAGGTAAGAATATATGGTATTTGGTTTTCTGTTTCTGATTAATTTGCTTAGGATTATGGCCTCCAGCTCCATCCATATTGCTGCAAAGAACATAATTTCATTCTTTTTTATTGCTGTGTAGTATTCCATTGCATATATGTCGAACATTTTCTTTATTCATTATATAATTGATAGGCACCTGGGTTGGTTCTGTGCCTTTGTTGTTGTGAATAGTGCAAATATAAACATACAAATGCATGTGTCTTTTGGGTGGAATAATTTATTTTCTTTTAGGTGTATAACTAGTAATGGGATTACTGAGTCCAATGGTAGCTCTGTTTTAAGTAATCTGAGAAAACTCCAGACTGTTTTCCACAGTGACAGGACTAATTTACACCCCACCAACAGTATGTAAACATTCCTTTTTCTCTGGAACCTTGCCAACATCTGTGGTTTTTGACTTTTTAATAATAGCCATTCTGATTGGTGTGAGATTATATCACATTGTAGTTTGATTTACATTTTTCTAATGATTAGTGATGATGGGATTTTTTTCATATGTTTGTTGGCCATTTGTATGTCATCTTTGGAGAAGTGTCTGTTCACATCCTTTGCTCATTTTTTAATGAGGTGATTTGGTTTTTGCTTATTGAGGTTTTAAAATTCCCTATAGATTCTGGATATTATGCCCTTGTCAAATCCATAGTTTGTGAATATATTCTCCCATTCTGTAGGTCGTCTGGTTGCTCTGTTGATAGATTTTCTGCTGTGCAGAAGCTCCTTAGTTTAGTTAGGTCCCACTTGTCTATTTTTGTTTCTGTTGTAATTGCTTTGGGGGACTTAGCCACAAATTTCTTGCCAAGGCTGATGTTGAGAAGAGTATTTCCTAGGTTGATTTCCAGTACTTTTAGAGTTTGAGGTCTTACATTTAAATTTTTAATCCATTTTGAGTTAATTTTTGCCTATGTTAAAAAGTAGGTGTCCAGCTTCAATCTTCTGCATATGACAGCTAGTTATTCCAGCACCATTTATTGAATTGGGAGTTCTTTCCTCATTGTTTATTCTTATTGACTTTGTCACAGATTAGATGGTTGTAGGTGTGGAGCTTTATTTCTGATTTTTCTATTCTATTCTAATTGGTCTGTGCATCTGTTTTTGTGCCAGAATCAAACGATTTTTGTTTGTATGGGTTTATAGTATAGTTTTAAGTAAGGTAGTGTGATACCTGCAGCTTTGCTCATTTTGCTTACGATTGCTTTGGCTGTTCAGGCTCTTTTTTGGTTCCATATAAATTTTGAAATAGCTTTTTATAATTCGGTGTAGAGTGACACTGTTGATTTCACAGGAATAGCACTGATCTGTAAATTGCTTTGGGTGGTATGGCCATTTATTCCATATTGATTCTTCCAATACATGAGGATGGAATTTTTTTTCGTGCATTTTTTGTCATCTCTAATTTCTTTCAGCAGTATTTTTTAGTTTAGTTTTTTTTTTCCTCTTTTACCTCTTTGGTTAGCTGTATTTGTAGGTATTTCATTTTGACTTGACATTTGATCAAAATAATAATAGCAACATGGTATTAGGCAATTATACTATATGAATAAAGAAAATGAATTACAATACTATAAGAATTAGAAGGCAAAAATTGAGAATAATCTGTTATAAAATACCTACAATATCCAGGGAGTGATATAACAATTAATTTAAAAAGAAGTGTAACATATGTCAAGAAAGGATAGAAAATTGAGTCATAAGGTACTAAATTAAACCACAGGAAAAAAAAAAGAAAAAGAGGGGAAGAAAATGTCACCAAAGGTTCTTTGGGGAATTAAATCAAATATGAAATACATACCTCACTATTAAATAGTCATCTACCTTGAGATTCTAGTTGAACAAATGATTATTTTAATTAAGTCAATAATTGTTTTCTTACATGAGGCAAAATATATTAAAAATTCATGAAGCAGTGAAAGACTTATGCTGAACAATTGTCAATGACAATGAATGTTATGTTTCTGAAGTACTTGTATTGATCTGCAAAGCTTTGAAATGCCTGATTTTTGACACAAAGCATACAAATTAAATTGCATGTATCTGAAAAAAAGGAAAGAAAATGATTTGAAGTAAAAATTTAAAAAAAAATAGGTAGCAGAAATTTAAGGAGGTCTTTATTAAAAGTGAGAAAACCATTTTGCTAAAATTACATCAAAGTGTGCTGGGTCTTTTAAGATGTGCTTTGCTATGCTAAGGAATCTCAGCTTCTTTGGGTAGTGAATTATAAAATATTGATTTTGTGGAAAGAGAGAACATGTTAACAGCACTTTGGAGTACACATTGAAATCAATATTTTGTAATAATGATAGTGATGCTCCTGTCTACTGAAAAAGGGAAAAAGAGTTGTCAACAAATTTAAGTTTGAATAACTGGAGATGAGAAGTTCAGAGTGATAAATCTGAGTGAATAGACCAGGAAGCAGGACATAATTTAAGACCATAAATGAAAGCTTATAGGCAGGGATGTGTGGTAGAGTGTGATTTTGGGAGAAGCATTGGCAGGGGACAACAGAAGCTAAAAGCCAAAACAAATATTAAGAATGAATTGAAGACATAGCGACAAAAAAAATGGCAAGTTTAGTTTTAGTAGAAGATAGAAAATGAAAATTTGGGAGTATTTCAAGAAGCAACTTATGACCAACATTAGGGAACGGGAGAATTAGTCAGGAGTTTACTTCTAACTTTGAAGAAACTTCACGCAGTAATAAGCAAGATAGTTGCTTCAAGGCTTTGCTACTGCTCACAACAATTCAATGATCATATTCGTTAATAAAATAACATGGCACCCCTTGAATAATATTTACATTACTCTGTTTAAGTGTTCTTTGAAACCATTTCATTGCACTTGCTCTTACCGTGTTATGTTTGGCTAAGGTCAATCTTTTTAATTTGGGAGTGGGGTGTACTTGCCTGTAAGAAAAGAAAGTTACCCAAGAATTAGGGTATTACGTGATTGTCATTCAGAGTTGTCAAAACAACATGAATAATAAACACATATATTTACTTTAGCTGAAATTAAAATATATTATGGAGTTCACATTCACAGTAATACCATGTCAACAACAAAGAAATTGTACGTTAAGTCCCCAAATTTATAATTTTCAAGTAATTATTTGTTGAATATATTTATAACATACAAATATTCTATGGAATAGTACAAGGCTAAAGATTTACCAGCATTTTGGAATAACTATTGTCCAAGTTTTGTCTGTTACAAAAGTTTTGCAAATTACTTTAAAATCAATGAGATTCCTAGGACATAGTAGAGATAAATGCAACTAAATAATAATTGACTTAATGCTGTTATTCCTAAATTTATTATTTCTATAACCATACAAACTCTCTTCATTTAAAAGCTTTTCAAATAAAACTTATTTATACTATAACACATTTTTTCCAAATTCAAGCAATAAAGTAAAAATACTAAATATGGGGATTACATGAGACTAATGGCATTTATTAAATCCAATATATAATGTTCCAGCAAACAATATGATTTATTCAAAATAAAAGAAAGGGCAGGCTTAAAAGCAAAGCATCTGACTTTAACTACAGTGTACTTCCCAGTGCATTCTATTATGAGGATTAGTCTTATAAAAAAAAAGACAAAAATGTTTCATCTTGAGACAAAAAAGAAAGAGAACTTTTTCTTCTTTGTTTCAAGATGAAATGGATTAAGTTACAGAGAAATGCTGAAACTGAGAAGAAGCAATTTGAGATAACATAGTTTTGTAGGTCTAAATCATTTCAGCAAAATAGAAGCTAAGATCACCTGAAACAGAGCTTGTAAAAAGTGAAAATGTTTTGTAACAACTGCTACAATTTTAACAGGGAGAAAACTGGAAGTGAATAATAGCTATGTCAGCATTGAATCCCCAAGCAATGTAACCAAACTACATAACCTAGATTTAAACAGAAAACAAATGGAAATTGATTAGTTTGCTTCTACAATATTTGATCACACGAGGAAAAAAGAATTCTAGGATGGCAAAGATGATCAAGTGGAGCTCCAAAAAGTATAATAATAATTAAAAATAAAATAAAATTAAAAAATTAAAAAAGCTAATGGACTGAGAGTAGGTTGAGGCTATGTGACTTGATCATTCTATGAAAATGGAATACAGTGACTATAAAAAAATAAAAAGAAGGATATGTGAAAGATGGACTTTAGTAGCCAAAAAGCAATTTTAGGTTTGTAGTATTAATACAGATAATTTTCAGTTAATGGCAATATATAATGGATTCATCCTACAAAATGACAAACTCTGGATGTAGAACAAATTATTGCTGTTGATAAGGCACAGAGCAGTGAGGAAAAATAGTGAACAGATTTTGAATGTCTATATTGAAGCTATCAATAATGGTAAGTATTTTACAAGGAAGATTAGAGTAAATACTGAATTCCTCAAGAAAGTTAGAAATTCCATAAGTTTGTTTTATGTTTGAAAGATGTGACAGACAAATGTGATCACTTCCAATGGAAGAGGACTAGATGATCAGTAGTAGCTGAATGATTGCTTGGCATCAACAATAGACAGAAGATAGCAATAGAAGGCAATAATAAGCAGAGAGAATACTGCCTCTGCTCCAAGATCTTAAGAAAGAGTAGACTCCAAATTTCTTAAGATACAGAAATTAAAATAACATTTCAGTAAAAAAAAATTAATCTATATTAGGATGCTTCAGACAGAATATAGTTGCCACAGATCATAAGGAAAGGACACAAGATCAGATATATGTAACAGAAAAGAGTTCAAAGAGTAAGGCTGGGTGTGGTGGATCACACCTGTAATCCCAGTACTTTGGGAGGCCAATGTACTTTGGGAGGCCAAGATCAGATATATGTAACAGAAAAGAGTTCAAAGAGTAAGGCTGGGTGTGGTGGATCACACCTGTAATCCCAGTACTTTGGGAGGCCAATGAGGGTAGATCACCTGAGGTCAAGAGCAGCCTTGCCAACATGGCGAAACCCCTCTCTACAAAAAATACAAAAATTAAACAGGCATGGTGGTGTGTGCCTGTAGTTCCAGCTATTCCAGAGAATCGCTTGAACCAGGCAGATGGAGGTTGCAGTAAACCGAGATCACGCCATTGCACTCCAGCCTAGGCAACAGAGCAAAACTTCAAATCAAAGAAAAAAAAAAAAGGAATGGCATGGCATGGCTAAGTTAAGGTCATGTCAAACACAAGAAAAACTAACAGAAAAACATGTTTTCTAGGTGCTCAAAAAAGACAGTGGAAGAATGATGACAAAAATTATCATTTTGTCCATTTTTAAACCCTGGCACAATACCTGTTAGATTGCAATTCAATACATGATACTTGTACGTTGAGTAGATTGAAAATGGAATGAGGGTGCAACCATGTGAAAAAAAAAGATTTTTTTTTTAGAATTTGTTTTTGATGTAATTAGACCGTTCATAACAAAAAAAAAGATCTAGAAAAAGTGGACGATTCCAATTTAAACTTGTCAACAGTTGAAAAAGACTTTAACAGTTAACAAAACATGTTGCATAAAATATTAATTGAAAACAAGAGAGTATGTAAATATTATATTACTGTTTTCATGATCAGGTTTAATTTGGGCTATTGAATTCAGTTCTGAGCAACAAATTTAAAATCAGTTTCATGTGTTCATGTTGAGAAGTATCTGCAAAATTGATGTTAAAGTGATATTTAAAGTATTAGGACATTTGCTCTAGAAAAATTAAGGTTTTAGGAGAGAATATTGCTTTTCTTCAGTTATTTCTGAGACTGGAAAGATTATAGGCTTTTTCCACATTACTCCATTGAACCACAGGACAGATTTAAGATATAGTTAAAAGTATAAGGGGAAAATTTTAGGTTCATTTATACAAGTATTATTTTCAAAACAATAAGGTGTGGAAAAACTATATAAAAATGAACAATGTGTCCTGAGTAGGGAGAAAACAGAATTATTCTGATTTCTGATGACATTTTGGAACAGAAATCATTACCTAAATCACTACAATCATTAAATTTATTGTTCACTTATTTTGAGATAGAATCTTGCTCTCACACCCAGGCTGGAGTGCAGTGGCCAGTCTTGGCTTACTGTAACCTCCGCCTCTGGGTTCAAGCAATTCTCCTGCCTCAGCCTCCTGAGTAGCTGGGATTACAGAAGTGAATCACCATACTCGGCTAATTTTTGTGTTTTCTTTAAGTAGAGGCAGGTTTTCATTATGTTGGCCAGGCTGCTCTCAAACTCCTGATCTGAAGTGATCCACCTGCCTCGGTCTCACAAAGTGCTGGCATTATAGGCATGAGTCAACACGCCTGGCCACTAAATGTAATTCTTAATTTTGAAAAGTATATTATTTCATATTTGTGCAGACAGTGATTTTTTTGGTACAATTCTTTTTAACTGGGACACATACTATTATACTTAGATGCCCACTTTTCATTAAAATGGAACACCCGATGTTGAATTGTTTCGACACAGTCAAATCACGTTGTGGTTACACACACACACACGCACACACACACACAAGAAAAGAATTTCAAAATGCCATCAATTTTCTTCCTATACATCTAAAATTAGGCTAGGTGTGGTGGCTCACACCTGTAATCCCAGCACTTTGGGAGGCCGAGGCAGGTGGATCACCTGAGGGCAGGAGTTTGAGACCAGTCTGACCAATACGGTGAAACCCCATCTCTACTAAAAATACAAAAATTAGCCGGGCATGGTGGTGGGCGCCTGTAGTCCCAGCTACTGGGGAGGCTGAGACAGGAGAATTGCTTGAACCTGGGAGCAGAGGTTTCAGTGAGCTGAGATTGCACCACTGTGCTCCAGCGTGGGCGACAGAGCTAGAATCCGTCTCAAAAAAAAAAAATCTAAAATTAAAAATAGTTTATCTAAAATTGTATAAAATGAGAAATCACTGCATATACTTGTTAGCATTACTTTATTTTCCATTATATCAAAATAGTGTATCAAAATGTAGAATTTCTAAAACCTTGAAGTTATATTATCACTGAAAATGTTTAATTTTATAATGACTATGTTTTTAATTCCTTTGTTTGCTTTAACTTATCTACTTTATATTAATTATCAAGGGCCCATGCAAACTTCCTTGCTAGACAAACCTGCTTCTGAATTGCTTTTCTAAGGATCTATCCTGGTGAACAGTGTTGCATATTCTTAAAGAAAATAAAGCGGTAGCAAGTAGAGACCATTTTTTCTTTTGGTAAAGTTCTGCTTTAGCGCTTGGCCCCCTTCTATTGTATTCAGCTGTGGTAGGATTCAGGATCAAATACTCCTACCTTACTCTCCACAGGAACAAAACAAGACCCAGTTTGAAAAATTAGATTGCTACATTCACTTGGGGGGTCAGGAAAAAAATTCTATAAAGAGTCTATTGGTATCACACCAGCCAGACTCACCCCATTCTCACTCTATATGTAGAGTTCCTCACTGAGAGAAGGGTGTAAGTCTGAAGTTGGTAGAAATCTGTTTTTGATACCATATGGGGAGAGTCTGTTTAGGAATGAAACAAACATGAAACGAAGTAGAAATGAGAGAGAGAGAGAGAGAGAGAGAGAGAGAGAGAGAGAGAGAGAGAGAAAACATTGTCCCAAAGATACTGTTGAACTCATAGATGCCTGTGGGTATAAACTCAGGATTAGCTCTCGGATTAGCCAATAATTCAAGTCAACAAGGAACTTCTTTTGCTTAATCCATTTGGGTTGGATTATTGTTCCTTGTAATTAAAAAAGTCCTAACTAATATAGCACCTTTACTTCTTTTTCTACTTAAACCTACACCCCAGAGCAAGTCCTCTGATATCTGTGACTTCTTTGTCTTCCTATGAGTTCCATTCTAATTAATCCCCACCTTTCCTAGCCCTGTAGAACCCAAAATACATCCCATTAAAATGTGTAATTCAAAATGTTAAGATCATGTTACTTTCTACTGACATACACATTTTTCATGTCAAGGCCCACAAGGAAGCATGGTGAGAGAATTATTCTTCCGTTCTTTCTGCAGTATAGAACAAGATCTACTTTTGGACTCTACATTGATTGGTTATAAAACTAGATTTTTAAACTTAGAGTATCATTGCTTAATTTTATGTGTCATTAGAGGATTATTTTTTCCTTTATTACACTTCTGTGTGGGCTTGATAATCTCTGAAAGCTCTCCAGTGAACCCAACTTAGGATATGGATATAGAAGAGGGTAGCATATTAGACAGACAGCACCTGACAATTCAAATATTTTTTTTCTCACTTCCAACTAAGTGAACTAATTATTTCTCAAGGGAAGCAAGTCTAACTAATTTCTGCATTTCAAACAGAACCTCAATTCTGCAGCATCTGGTTGTGTTCTGTGGTTTATTTTGTCACCATTCCTCATTTTTTGACTTAACTACTCAGTGATGTGTTGTGTTGTCTGCTTTGCTACTCTCAAGAGAATAACGGTGATATGAAAAGAGAGTCAACAATAAGCACCTCAAATCCACCACTATCTGCATTACTTTCCCTATTACTCATTAAAACAGTAACTAATAGCAGTGCCCGCAGGGGTCATAGACCCCAGTGGAGACAAAATGTTGCTTCAAGATGAATCATTTTCATGATGGTAATAACATCAAATTTTAACTTTTCTACGTTGTCTACTTTGGGTTGTTTGGTATAAAATTTCAGTGCTATCAGTTCATGATTGGATTGATTGTGCAGATCACAGGTAACATCTCTCTTACTTCCACAATGCCTAGTCCTTAGCTATTATGTTCAGGAATTGATATCAAACTGTTCAGTTTCATGTTATGAGGGACACACATATATGAGGACAAAGAGGGAATGATAATGTTTCATATAGAACGGCCAGGTATTCTTCATTTAAATCTCTAAAGATGATTTCTATCATTGAGAAAATTACATTTTAATAAATAAGCATCTTCTGCTTACCTTATTATCTCACTTAGATATGATATATTTGCTCAATATGTGATCACAGATTTGAAATCTCTTTTCTTACTATTCTCAATTCATAAGATAATGCATTCCTTATTTGAACAATTTCCATCTGTAAAAACTTTGTTCATTATCCAAATCCAGCTCAAAAATATACATCTTCTGAGAAGCATTAATTAATTCATAGAGTTTAAACTAATATATTCTTCCATTTGGCTTCTATAATCATTCGTTTACATCTTTGGATGCTAATATTATATTTTATATTACATTTGATCCAATAAGAAATTTCTTAAAGAAAGGTACTCTTGTGTATTTTTCACCTTTTTTTTGAATTTTAAGTATTAAGTATGAAACCTGGCTACAGAAAACATTGATTCGATGTTTGTAAATGTTGTGCCATATTTTGTCTTTGAAACAGTTGAACGTTTTAGATACATTTAGCAAATAATTTTATACTTCCAAATTAAATTAATGTTGTTTATGGGGCAGGGAGGATTAAGGTAGACATTTACAAAAGTCAAAGCCACATTCTGCCATACTCACCAACACATAAAAACTAAAAATCACAATTGTTCCTCAATCTAAAGGAGCCATGCTTCTGCCTTCCTTTTTAAAACAGATTAAACAAAAGAGTAAAAGATGTCTAAAGACAATGGAAAGGCAGTTCTAAATAACTGAAAGAAAAAAAAAATAAATATAATATTAAAAAAAGAAATTTCTGAGAAATCTAAGAATTTCTTGTTGCTGAGCTTTTATGGATGGAAAAATAGTAACAGATGAAGTTAAATATACTAGGAAAATTAGAACTTTCTAATGTCATTCATAATCAATTTCTTCAAATAAAATATAATGATGATAATAATACCTCCTAGGATTAAGAGGTATACACATATGTCCATGCTCATATTTATTAACATGTACAAGTAGGATTATATAGTGATTGAAATTATCAAATAATTAATAGTTCACAAAAATAATATTAACTTAATTTAACTTCCAAGGGAAAGCATTTTCTGGGTGGGAGTGAAAACTGTATACTCATCTGACTCTGATTTTCTTATCTTCACTGAAAACACTTTCCTTATGCCCGGATAGATGTTAAGCTTTCAGGGGACCTAAAATATTAGTAATGCTCTTGGACTCTTCCTTGAATGGCTTTATTGTGCACAAGATGTCATAACATCAGCAAAAGTTTTATTGAGATTACCTGAGGTATGCTGACCTTTGTCTTCTATATTGCCTTGGTTGTCTAAGGAGTTCTTGGTAAATAAGGTGTGTTCTTGAATAACATAACAATATCACAATATTTAAGTATCATGCTTATAAGGTGTAATACAATAAATCTAGTCTCTCTCTCAAGAGTCTTTCCTATATTGTTCTTATTTATTTATTTATTTATTTTATTTGAGACAAGGTCTCACTCTGTTACACAGGCTAGAGTGAAGTGGTGCCATCGTAGTTCACGGTAGCCTCAATTGCCTAGGCTTCAGAGATCCTCCTGCCTCAGTTTCCCAAGTAACCAAGAAAACAGGCACACATCACCATGCTTTGTCAATTTTTTTGTAGAGACAAAGACCTACTATGTTGTCCAGGCTGGTCTCAAACTCCTGAGTTCAAGCAATCCTCCTGTCTCAACCTCCCAAAGTGTTGGCATTATAGGCGTAAGCCACCACGACTGGCCCCTTTATTGTCCATAGTTTTAAAATGACATTGGCAATCATGCCTATGCTATTTGTGATTATGTCAAATCATATTACTATCATTTATAGAGATTAATGTTTAATTTAAATCTTGAGACACTTGAAATAATAAATATTCCTCTTTGTATGAAATCAATTTTAATACTTACTGGTTAAGGAGGCTGCTTTGGAAGATAATATATATTATTTCTTAAGACTTACCTGACCATGCATTCAACATGGCATTACATAAAATTTGATTTACATAGATACTTAAATTGATTTCCTAAATCTAATTAAGAATGATTTTTATGATGATCTTTCAAGAGGTCATTGCATTTAAAAATTTTCCTTAGGGTATTACCAGACAGACATTTAATGTTCAAGTACTTGGAAAAAATGTCATCAACAGCTTCAAGACATTAAGCTAGCCTATTTACTTTACAATAATAGCAGTGAGTAGAAAAACCCGTTATCATCTGTTCTGCTTTTCATGTCTTGCATTTTCCCTTCAGCTCAGCATGCCAAAATGATACTCCTTTTATTATGAAAGATTACAATGGGGTACTTCAAGGAATTAGTTTCTAACACTTAAATGACCCAACTTGCACTGATGCAAAGAATTTTATTATGAGTGAAGAAGAGTAATTTTGGTTCCTGCATGTCCATTTAGTCTATTCCTCACAATAAGATTATTGTAAAATATAATTACTTGTTTATAGTAAAACACCGACAAAAAAGCCTACATATTCTTAAATAAAGCAAGTTATTTAAAATAATGTTTTGTTATAATTTCTGGATTTTCTAATGTTTTCACATTTAAGTATACAAAAAGAAGATACCTACAAGACAGTGGAAAATAAATTGTGAAAATTCTGAACATGTTCCATTTATCTAGGACAATTGACGAAAATATAAGATTCACTGTAATGCTGAACGAATATTTTAAGATAAAAACAACAAAAATTGTGGCTAAGATATGAACCAGGCCCTAGATTTTTATTGCACATAGTCACTCACAGTTTAATGAATTGATAGTATTTTATTTTTATTTTTCTCCCCTCTCTCTATCTATGGTGTATATATACAGCTCTATGTAACCCAGTGTTTCTAGCAATGTGGCTCATGGGAATTTTATATCAGAATTATTGGTGCTTAAATGAACAGGGTTTGGGTAATCAGATCTCATTCTTACCTCTATGGGTAGAGCATCTTGCACCAGACTTCCACTATTTAAAGTAGCCAACGAGTTTGGACTGGACCACAGTGAATTCAGATGAAAATAAGTACATCACTAAATAGAGTCAAAAGCTAAATGGGAGAAGAAAAAAATATATGCTTCTAAAATGTAGTTGATGAATGATAAAAATAATAAAACAAACTGCAAATTCCCCCATGGAAATGCATTAAATGTATCTAAATGACATTCTGAAATGTTTATATAAAAATTTCTTTAGGTTAATTGAGAGAACAGACACTACTAAGATGCCAAATAAAGACCTAGACCATTGCTGGAAGAAATATCCAAAGATACGTTAGTTAGACGCCAGGGGTTCAGTCTAGGTCCTGCTACTCTCACCACATAGAAAGCCAATCATTGAGACAATGAGTGTTACCAGAGAAGAAGGCTTTAACTGGGTGCTGCAGCCAAGGAGATAGGAGATTAGTCTCAATCTATCTCCCTGACTTTCTAAAATTAGGGGTTTATTTAGCATGGAAAAAATATAATTACATACAGAAAAGTAGGATTTAAGGAGGGGTAAGAGGAGTTGTTCAACAGGATTCAGGTGATCACTTAGGCAATCATGATGGCTGAGAGGTCTGATATCTCATTGTTCAGGTGTGATGATCTGGTAAGTTTCAGTTCCTTGATACTATCTGAGGGCCTTGATGGTCGATTTATTGAGAAAGGAACTCAGATAAGACAAACATAACTTTCTCCAGTTTCAAGACAGGGAGGGTCAATTTCTATGTTTATTCAAAAGAAACTCCAAACATCAGTTCCATGAGTCAGTTTCAAATACAAAATAACAAAAAAGTAAGGAAAAAATAATTATGAATAAGTAAAAGGACTTGACAGGTGCCTACAAAAGTTGTAATATGTAAATAAAAGAATTTCAAAAACAAAATAAATTATTTTTGTTTCTTTTCTATATTCTGTATAGAAACTGTATACGTATATATGTATAGAATCCTGTAAGCCTAAAGAGAGAAAGAACAGGTTATTTACATAGGAGAAAAACTGATTGCCACACCAGCTAGAAAATCTACAGAAATATTCTTCTGGAAATGCAAAAATGATAAGCTAAACTTTCATCCAGGGTGATCATCTTGAGATACAAGTACTCAGAGAATATATAATCCACACATCTTATTTGAGAAGAAATATTAAGGAAACAAATCTAACCTACCAACTAAAGTCAAAACTGGAAATCTCAAAATAGGAGAAGAAACTAGGTGAAAACCCTGTGAAAAATGAATCTTGAAATATATTTTGAAATAACACATATTTTAACTCTATATTTACAATGTACAATTGAACCAAAACCATAATAAAAAACTCTTCTGGGGATGTGTATTATAAGTTTTAAATTAGGACCTTTTAATAAGTGTCATCTCAATGATTAATTTAATATTGATATTCCCTAGCAGAAAAACCTCAGAATTGTGGTGGCCGAGAGAGTGATTTGAGAGTTGAAAAAAGACTAGGAAAATGAAATATTCCAAAAGTATTATTGTACTGAAGAGAGAAAGTAGTAAAGAAAAACAACATCCAGGTTGGGGAAAATTTTAAATTGCTTTTTTGTATAATTATAAGTTTGATTTTGAGTCAAGGAAAAGTTAAAGTATAAGTAAGGAATGGAAAATCTGTAATAGAAATCACAAAAAAACTCCATTAAAAGTGTGCAAAAGATGTGAACAGACAATTCTGAAAAGAGGACATACTATTAGCCAACAAACATAAAAAATGCTCAACATCACTAGTTATCAGAGAAATGCAAATGAAAATTACAATTAGATATTGTCTCACACCAGTCAGAATGTCTCTTATTAAAAAGTCAAAAAATAACAGACACTGGTGAGGCTGCAGAGAAAAGGGATTGCTTATACACTGTTGGTGGAAATGCAAATTAGCTCAGCCACTATGGAAAGTAGTTTGAAGATTTCTCAAATAACTCAAAATAGAGCTAACATTTGACCCAACAATGTCATTACTGGGTATATACCCAAAGGGAAATAAATCATTTTACCAAAAAGACACACTTTTATGTTCATTGCTGCACTATTCCCAATAGGTGACTTGGAGACAACCTAGTTTCCCATCAATAGTAGATTGGATAAAGGAAATGTGGTACATACACATCATGGAATACTACACAGCCATAAAAAATAATGAGTTTGCAGCAACATGGATGCAGCTGGAGGCCATTATCCTAAGCGAATTAACGTTGGAACAGAAAAACAAACACCATATATTCTCACTTATAAGTGGGAGCTAATTATTGGGTACACATGGACATAAACATGGGAACAATGGATATTTAGGACTACTAGGGGGGAGAAGGGAGGCAGTGTGGGCCAAAAAATTACCTATTCGGTACTGTTCACTACCTGGGTGATGTGATCATCTGTACCCCAAACCTCAGCATCATACAATATACCCTTTTAACAAGCCTGCACATGTACCAACTGAAGCTAATATAAAATTTGAACTTACAAAAGAAAATAAATTGCTGTGGAAAATTTTAATATACCTTCTTATTAGAAGGATTATCCACTGATGGTCATGAGCCAAATATGAGAAGAAAACCTGATCTTATGAACGTAACTAGAATGTGAACTAGTCGAAAAATATGAAATGAATGCAGAAGTCATATAAGTACTACAGCAACTTGGAACAACATTCTAATGAGATGCGGATTCCAAATATATCCGAATTACAAAAGAAAACTGGCTGAATGTCAAATAAAAAATGTGGTGTTAAAGTAGAATTCCATGTATAGATAGAGCTCTACAGTCCCCCATAATGGTCTCAAATCTCTGATAAATAAGTGGCAATATTATCATCCTGAAAGTTTGGTTCACTGACTTCAGCTCTGACATAAGTGACAATCTCTCCCTTTCATTTGATAAATATCTTTAAATTTTAAATGAAAAAAATCCCTTATTTTTGATAAATTTATGGTAATTTAAGGTTAATATCTCTATGTGTTACACAAAATTCAATAATTAAAAGAAGTCACATATTGAACTTACGGTTTTAAGTGGAAAGGTGAAAGATAATTTTACTGTGTTAAATATTTTCATATTAACAACTTCATTATGAATTAATTACTTCATTATGAATGTGAGATACAGTATTTGAATTATGCTATATTTAAGCAGAAAATGTTTTAGCTGCCTAAGATTGTAAGGCTTGGCAATTAAGAAATTGCAGTGTTAAAATATGTGACATTGATATCACTATTTAAACTATACAAATATAGCACAAATACTGCATGCACATATTAGTACGTAATATGGTTACATTTTACATATATATACATGTGAATACATAATATGTAGTAAGTGATTGTATATTATGTACATATACTCAAATATAAAAAAGTAATGTATTCCCTATTATTTATAATAGATATTTTAAAATAATTTTCTGTTATCTACATATTTATATATATCATATTATAGAAATGCATTTTATTTACCTATAATTTATTGTGCTTTATATCTACAAATATATTTGGTACATGGTAAATAAGTCTAATAATTAGGTTATCAATTAAACTAAAATTTAATTGTACTTTAGTCCATTAAATTAATAACATAGTTATCACATTAAATGGACATTATCGTTTTTAAAAAATACGATTTGGTTTATATCAATAGAAAAAAGTTTTCTAAGTTAATGTTAAATATGAGAAAGCTTTTATTTATAATATTAAAAACTAAAAAAGAACATTACATCTTAAAACTATACATATTTATTTCCCCTAGCCATAAAAGGTATAAAAGCAGTACATATTGATGTACCTGTTTTATAATTAGTCATATCGAGCATATAAAAAAAGTAAGGAAACACAGCAAGGGAAAGTTAACTTTAAAAATACCTAGTTATTTGTTGTGTGTTTTTGTGTTTCACTTTGTGTGTGTGTGTTTGTGTTGTGTGTGTCCAGAAATAAGTGAGGTTGTGTAATCCTAGCATTTTGGAAGGCCGAGGCGGGAGGATCACTTGAGGTCAGGAGTTTGAGACCAGCCTGACCAACATGGTGAAATCCTGTCTCTACTAAAAATACAAAAAAAAAAAAAAAAAAAGAAAAGAAAAGAAAAAAATAGCTGGGCAAGGTAGCAGGCGCCTGTGATACCAGCTACTCAGGGGGCTGAGGCATGAGAATTGCTTGAACCTGGGAGGCAGAGGTTGCAGTGAGCCGAGACCACACCACTTCACTCTATGCTGGGTGACAGAGCAAGAATCCATCTCAGGAAAAAAAAAAAAAGAAAGAAAGAAAGAAAGAAATGAGGTTGAATTAAGTCTTTTATTGGAAAAATTTTGATAATTTACATAAAACATTATTATAACATTTCTTTTGTAGTTGGCAAAAAGTAATTCCTTATAGTGTTTATTATCATATAAAATATATTTAATATGAAGGAGCTTACTATATGTTAAAAGTAAAAAAAGCATAATTTAATATAGTGTAAATGAATAAATTAATAAATATAAAGGTAGACATTAATAAAATGGAAGATACACGAAGAATAGAAAGAATAGATAAATATTGAAGAAGATTATTATTTTGAAAACATACAGAAGCTAATCTCTTATGAGATTTTAAAAACAAAAACATATATAAAATAAATTTTAAAGGGCAAAGACAGCCATAGTAAATTAAAAATAAATTATTATATAATTCTACATATGGCTAATTTTAAGTGCTACAGGAAATATATGATTCCCCATAAAATTATAATTTTTAAAAGGTAACCAGAAGATAGATTATTTGAATATCCAATTTCCTCAGAAAGGACTGAAAGCATTTTTAAAAGTTATCGGAATTAATGATTTCACGCCTAATTCTAGCACCTAATGATATATTAAAGTATTCTAGGTAAAAGAATTATTAAAGCTCCATAACGTATTTATGGTGCTTAGTTACCAAAATCTGATAAATATAATTTTTAAAATGAATATAGACCAATATCTCAAGAATATATGCAAAAATTATAAACCTGTGTAGCAAAAAGCTTACATTATCAAAAACCAAACCACAAAAAAGATTGCAAATGATAATTTATAATTTTGACTTTGAATTAATACTACTGTAATAATACTACTAATAATACTTATGCTTAATACTTTGAGCCTAAGACAGAATATAACAAATGCTTCCCATGGCAGATTATATGGAAGAAATGGCTCTCAAGCCACTAGCGTAAGAGCAATTCCATAGACTATATATTTCCCTGACACATTTGTACATTCTACCTGATTTTGTCTTTGTGTATGTTTGTGTGTGTGTGTGTGTGTGTGTGTGTGTGTGTGTGTGTGTACTTCCAATAAATTTCTAGAAAATAAATAGACTTCAATGAAATGTCTCTCTGGAAATAGGCCCTTAACTTACTCCTTTTATTTCCTTATTAACTTTATTATCTCAATATTGATAAGCTAGGACATAAAATAACTGTATCCTCCAGAGGGTTTAACAAAAAATAAATTACATGGCATAGATGCAGACTAATCATGTTTCAGTTGGCAAAATTTCAACTTTTAATGTTCTGAATCTCATTTTAGAATAGTACACTGGAAAGGAAAGTATTAGTGTAACTGAATATCAAAATTTGGGAATACTCTAAAGTAACCTCCCAACTTTAGAACTCCCTATAGAGACAGTAAAGGTGTCTATTGAATCTGCTTTGGAGCTCAGCTTCTGCCAAATAATTTTTCCCTTCATTCCACAGATGTTATTCTCATGACATTACATAATAAATCATCTAATATATAAAAACCAAATCTGCAGACATTTCCAGGCGTGAGCTGAATAAGCAGACTCTGGAACGAGATTTTGTAGCTGGATGACATGCTACTGACAATAAAGACCCTATGTCTGGCTAGTAGCTGGAGCACAAGGCAGCTTTGTATTCTTTTCTGTCTTTATAATTAATAAGCTAGGATGACAGAAAGAAATATATTAGCAGGAATTATATGTCAGACATTTGAGAAGGAAGGGGAGCATGTTACCTAGAAATACAATAGAACTTCGAAGCTACTGTATATTTTGATTAAACTCTGAAAAAGTTCACTAAAAGTTAAAACTAATTAATTGAAAAGTAAAGGCTAAATGTGAGAGCCAGAGGACTTTCTTGGTGACACATATTTCCTGCCACAGTAAGCCAGTGAGCCTTAAGGCCAAGAGAATCACACTTAAGGCTGAGACCAAAGATTATCTGAGCATCCAACTGAGGCAAATCTCTTTAGAACAAGGGCCTTGATTGAGAATAAATGGGCTACTTATATATTGAATAGGTTCATCAGAATCTTAGGTTTTCAGAATTCTGTTGACTTGCTGAGCCTGCAAAAACTGCCTACTCTTGTATATTCACCTTTGCATCATAAAGAGAAATGAACACAAAATGGTTAGTAAACATTAATGTAAAACCTAAAATCTATAACCCATCTAAAAGTAAATATAAGAGGATTTTTATTGTTCTCCAGTAAGCAAAAGATACCCTCGAGATAATACCTAAAACAGGATCCACAGAGACAAAATGTATACATTGCATAAAACATCAAAATTAAGACCTCTGTTCTTAAAGCTGGAGGGATCACACTACCCAACTTCAAACTACACTACAAGGCTACAGAAACCAAAACAACATGATACTGGCACAAAAACAGACACATAGACCAACGGAACAGAATAGAGAACTCAAAAATATGACCACACATCTACAACCATCTGATCTTTGATCTTCGACAAACCTGACAAAAGCAAGCATTGGGGAAAGGATTCTCTTCTTGATAAATGGTGCTGGGAGAACTGGCTAGCCATATGCAGAAAATTGAAATTGGACCCCTTTCTTACACCATATGCAAAAATTAACTCAAGATGGATTAAAGACTTAATCCCAAAACTATAAAAACCCTAGAAGAAAATCTAGGTGATGCCATTCAAGACATAGGCCTGGGCAAAGATTTCATGACAAAAACACCAAAAGCAATTGCAAGAAAAGCAAAAACTGACAAATGGGATTTAATTAAACTAAAAAGGTTTTGCACAGCAAAAGAACCTATCATCAGAGTGAACAGACAACCTACATAATGGGAGAAAATTTTTGTGACCTATCCATCTGACAAAGGTCTAATATCCAGAGTCTACAAAAGCTTAAACAACTTTACAAGAAAAAAGCAAAAAACTCATTAAAAGGTGGGCAAAGGACATGAGCAGACACTTCTCAAAATACAACATTTATGCAGCCAACAAACATATGAAAAAAAAAAAAATCATCACTGGTCATTAAAGAAATGCAAATCAAAGCGACATTGAGATACCATCTCACCCCAGTCAGAATGGCGATTTTTAAAAATCAAGAAACAAGAGATGCTGATGAGGCTGCAGATAAATAGGAATACTTTTACGCTGTTGGTGAAAATATAAATTAGTTCAAACATTGTTGAAGACAGTGTGGTGATTCCAGAAAGACCTAGAATCAGAAATACCATTTGACCCAGCAATCCCATTACTGGGTATATACCCAAAGGAATATAAATCATTCTATTGTAAAGATACGCAGACGTGTATGTTCATTGCAGCACTATTCACAATAACAAAGACACGGAGTCAAGCCAAATGTTCATCAATGATAGACTGCATAAAGAAAATGTGGTACATATACACCATGGAATAATATGCAGTCATAAAAAGGAACAAGATCACGTCCTTTTCAGGTACATGGATGAAGATGGAATCCATTATGCTCAGAAAACTAAGGCAGGAACAGAAAACCAAACACCACATGTTTTCACTTGTAAGTAGGAGCTGAACAATGAGAACACACAGACACAGGGAGGGGAACAACACACACTGGGACCTGTTGGGGAGGGGCAGAGAGAGGGAAAGCATCGGAAAAAATAGCTAATGTATGCTGGGCTTAATGCCTAGGTGATAGTTTGTAGGTGTAGCAAACCACCATGGCACACGTTTACCTATGTAACAAATCTGCACATCCTGCACATGTACCCTAGAACTTAAAAAAAAAAAGACACAAATTTAGAGAAAGTATTTGCAAATTAAATATTCTATAAAAGACTTGTATCCAGAATATATAAAGCACTATAAAAACATAAAATAAGAGGTGTTGCACACAAAAAATGAGCAGATTTATGAAAACAAAAGATAATTCATCAAATAATCTTTATAAGCCACAAATATAAATAGTCTTAGAGTAATGCAAATTAAATCATAATGAGATATCAACATATAATATCAGAATGCCTGCTAAATGCCTCCAACACCATACCAAGTGTTGGAGAAGATGGGAATGACTAGAACTAAATTTTGCAAACTCTTTAGAAAATAGTTTAGCAGTTTCTCAAAAATTTAAACATACTCCTGCCTTATGATCCAGTCATTGCAATCCTAGGTATTTTCCAAAGATAAATGAAAGCCTATGTCTCAATAAAAACTTATACACAAAAGTTCAGAACAGCTTTATTTATAGTTTACTCAAAAAGAAAACTGTTCCAAATTTCATCAATAGTTGAATGAATAAACAACTGTGGTAAATCAGCAATAAAAAGAAATGAACTATTGATCTTCAGAACAGCATGAATCATTCTCAAAATAATTTTGCCGAGTGAAGGAAACCAGACAGAAAAGAGTTCAGTACTTATAAACCCATTCATATAAAATTCTATAAAATACAAATTTTTCTATGCTTTATTGTCACAGAAAGCAGTTCACGGCTTGCCTTGGGTGAGGACGAAAATAGGAAAGGACAATAAAACTAAAGTCAAGAGGAAGTTTTGTTCTGGTGATAGTTTTATAGGCATATACAAATATCAAAACATCAAATTGCACTGCTTATATAAGTACAGTTTATTTTATGTTAACTCTGCTTCAATAGATCTGAAAAAAAAAATCAGTCTTCTTTGTCTTTGATTGCAATTTAGAATCCATGATGAAATCAGGCCTGAAATCAGGGTTCATTTACTTGATTTCTGATGATACTGGATGAGGAGCATAATATTAATATATGTAATTTTGGGGAATACTAAAAATTTGTCGTCCTGAAAACAAAATTGAATGAATTTCCTTTCTTGTGTACTTTGTTCTAAAAATCAATGTTTTCATCCATATTATAAGTATAGAGCACATAGGTATGTGAGAAACATGGAGATACATACACACACTTGTATAGACATGTTGTTTGACTTACAATGGGTTTATATCCTGATATACCTATTATAAGTTTAAAACATCAAAGTCAAAAATGAATTTAATCGACCTAACATACCAACCATCATAGCTTAGCCTAGCCTAACTTAAATATACTCAGAACACTTACATTAGCCTACAATTAAACAAAATCATATAGCACAAATCTTATTGTATAATAAATTATTTACTATCTCATGTAATTAATTGCATACTGTACTGAAAGTCAAAAACAGAATGGTTTTATGGGTACTTGAAGTACGATTTCTACTTTACATGTGACTTTTGCACCTTAACTTTTGAAAAATCTTTAAGTCAAACCATTGTACCTCAGAGATCATCTGGGGCGAAAAAGAGAGCATGAGATTGACTGATCAATTGATTGATTTGAAATGGAGATAATTATGTTAATATTAATAATTATATTGATATGCAAATTATCATGAGTGCATAATGATATAGCCAGTGAGTTTTACTAAAGATGTATTTCTAATCATCAAAAATTATAATTATATTTATGCCTAGAAATGGGCATGCCTCATCTATCAGGTCATTACATTGGGGTGTTGAATCAGTCTAGTTTGTAGTAAAGCCGGGCATAGGGTTTTCTGCTAATTGAGCACACCAAAGGCTTCATTACCTAGTAGTCAACTGCTCCAGTTTCATACATTTAGGAGGCGTGGTACACCAGAGGGTTTCCTCAGTGCTCTCACATTTCAGCTGACTCCGTCTGTCTGCTACTAAGGGCCTCTTTCAGTCCTCCTTTCACTCCTCCATTGGTAGACTGCACTTGTTTAGTAATGCATATGAGCAAGGGTCCAAGGCCTGAAGTAGGGGTGTTGGTGGAGGATCCTTAATTCTTCTACCCTGTCTTTTCCTCAGATCCTGGGTGTACAGTTCCAGGCTGTAATGCAAGTACTTCTGCCTCTTGGGCTATGTTAATAAGGGATATTGGTAGTGAAAAATAAAAGTATCATATGGAGTTTACGGCCAGCCTCAGCAGAGGAAAGAAAACGCAGGCTTTTGGTGTTCTGGAGTAAATCCAGGTGATCTGCAGTAGAAAATTATACAGTTTCTGAAAAACATTTTCTGATATGCTACTGGGTCCTAACAGAGATGGAATTTCTGACTGTCAGACAATAAAGAGGCCAAGAGGCCAAAAGGGACTATCATGAGCAAGATTATAGTAGACTAACTACACAAGAAGGACAAGACCAACATCAATCCATTGAAATTCAAAAGTGGACTGTCTGAGAAGGAAAATGTAACTATGTAACTTGAGCAAGGAGAAAACAATTACACTTCTTGAGATATCATTTTATGTTTTTTGTATACATAAATTTATGTAATTCTATATTAAAACAATGAAAGTTATATTTTGGTAACCACTTTATAAATGAAGAAAGAGAGACTCAGAAAGTGTTCTGAAGCTTCATGAAAGCATTCCCAAATTATGCTGAGTTTTTACTAAAACAAGCATTGCCTACGTTCATGTGTCCTGAAAGGACATGGATTGAGGCTGCTATTTTTTTTTCTTGTTACTGTTATAAAAACATTTTCAGTTTAAATACATTTATCAATGTTCTTCTTATAGAACACATAATGTATTAAATTGAAACAAGAAATACATATAAGGGCAATGAGGTGAAAAATAACTTAAGCATGAACAAATTTTAATAAAGTCACTTTTAAGAATAATGTAGCCTTTTAAATTATATTTAATTTCAACAGAGGTCAGTCAATCTATGCCCTCCCAAGATTAATATGAAGTGCATCCTTGAGCATTTTTAATCATTGAAACCTAAGTGACCTTACAGCAAAAACAAAGTTTAGCTAGAAATTTTGCTACCTGTAAGCATTTTCATTGAAGTTCAGAAATGCTGAGTATACAAATGCCAGTCATGAACCATGCTTATACATTATGGAGAAAATTAAAACACTCTTAAGAAAAGATCTATTCTATATAGAAAGATAAAATAAATTTTAAGTATTTTCAATTAATTAATTTGCTATTAATTGCATAAAATGTATAATTTCAAAATATAATATGGACATGTTTACTTATACTTCCAATTAAAAAATTATCAAGCTGTAGTGTTTGAAGAGCAGGGCATCAACTTCAAAATTTGAACAATCAGAGTACAAGACAGAAATAAATACTCTTCCAAAAGATTAGCCCAAAAGCCTATTTAACTTCAACTCAATTCCAAATTCTGATTACAGACCAGTGGAAGAGAGCCAGACTGAGCAGAAACACAAGCAGAAATGGAAAACATAAATAAAAGTGCAAGAGTGGGAGTTGGGCTTCCCTCAGGCTATTATCATACCTCTTTTTACTCAGCTAGACTGTGAACTCCTAGATGGAAAAGATCTAGCCACTGAACTCTCTTTATGTATGTCAATGCAGAGCTCAGAAACTGATAAAATGGGCAAACAATAAGTAGTTGTTACATACGTGAGTCAATAAATTGGATTTGTTAGGCTTACAGACATTGACTTATTTGGGACCCTCCTGCTTTTGAGTCTATTGGGAATTGTAACTGACACACCTTGAAACAGACCCACAGATCTCAGGACACCCACAGGATCCTTTTGTCTAGATGGAACAGTCTCAGTGTAGTAATAGATACGTGCTTTGAGAACTCAAAAAGTTACTGAGTTCAAAGTATGTATTAATAACTCAGTTAAAGATTGGGAAGTAGTTTGGTTAGAGTGACTACACATAGACTGAAATTTTATCAGTGTCTGTCAAAAGCAAACAGTGTGTTTCTATTAAAAAACTTTATGGGCTGATAAAAGTCATCTGAACACTCTTAGACAGATTTGCATAGAATACCATTACTTAAGTCAAAGATGTATGTTATATCTTGGAATAAAATATATGATAAAAAAGACTAAAATCACCTCTAAGTGGGTTTTGCATTATTTCAAATTCTGAAATTAAAGCCTATAATGTCTAAATTATAATCTAACAAATGTAAATGATAAGTATTAAAGATGTGATTGCACAAAATATACCTTCTGGTAAAATGAAACGTTTAGAATTTTATTTTATTTTATTTTATTAAAGTTTTATGTGAGATGAGTGAATGACCAGTTTGGACATGTATGAAATAAACTTATTTATGCATATGTATCTTTAACCTTAATGTGGGCTTTTAATTCAGTGGCCAAAATTAGGTTTAAAGATACATATGCATAATGATCAAAATATCTATACACATATCACCCCATGTAATTAATAAGCTTTAACTTCATCAAGGAGAAAGGAACTTGGTATCATATTTTGACAACATTTTTCTAAACTGGCATATTACTTGAATATTAAATTTGACACTTTCATAAAAGTTTGCATTTTTATGTATAACATGTCACATTTTAATTGCTTTTTCAATACTATGCTTCCATAATAATTTCTTTTTCTGACAGTTTTACAGACTAAATATGATTATATTTCAAGATTGTTTTCTAACAAGTGAGGTATTATAGTTGGATTACCTATGTGCAAAGTCTTGAACCACAAAAAATGTTTTATCCACTGGAATACACAAGAAAAAGATAAAGATCTTTTAAAAATTCATTATGTTAGATTCATCATCATACAGATCATTGAGTAAATGTTTTTATATTGCTTTCTCACTTTATATGAAGATAAAGAAGTAAGAAATTCAGAAATCATCTATCAAAATCATTCACAAGCTCTAAGTATTTCAAGGTAGTTCATTTTACCTTTTCTCCTTGATTTCATGAGACTTGAAACTTAAGCATTACTAGTGTTTATTTTAGCACTTTTTTTTTTTTTTTTTGCTGCAGCTATAGTTATTAGCGAGTTCTTATATTGTACCTTTAGGATTTTCTAATTTAAATTCACTGTCTTTTGTTGTTTCCTTTGTGGTAATACTGAGAAATATTTTTGTTCCATGTTTATACTTCAGTGTATTTGAAGAGAGCACACATGCTTTCTTGTGTATGCGTATGTTCATGTATTTTACAGGGTTAAAGAAAAATGACAGCTTTTTTTTTTTTTGAGACGGTGTCTTGCTCTGTGGCCCAGGCTGGAGTGTAATGGCACGATCTCAGCTCACAGCAAGCTCTGCCTCCCGGGTTCACGCCATTCTCCTGCCTCAGCCTCTGGAGTAGCTGGAACTACAGGCCCCTGCCACCACGCCCGGCTTTTTTTTTTTTTTTTTTTTTTGTATTTTTAGTAGAGACGGGGTTTCACCGTGTTAGCCAGGATGGTCTCCATCTCCTGACCTCGTGATCCGCCTGCCTCGGCCTCCCAAAGTGCTGGGATTATAGGCATGAGCCACCGCGCCCGGCCAACTCAATACTTCTTTAAGGTAAATATCACTACACAGGTTTTTGAAGGCATATTTTGTATATTCTTGCTATTAGAATTAGTTGCCACATAATTTTAATATAAATTTAACTGAAATTTAAAGTGTTGAGATGACTTAAGACAGAGAATCACAAGTTTCTGAACTACACAGATGTAATTCTTTTGAAACCCCTTTATGTAAAATGAACACATTTCCAGTTGAAATAAACAGGGTAATGTGTAACTTTAAACCAATGTGAATATTTGTGCTTGAACTGTTATTATATAAGTGCTGATATAGCACACTTTTAACAACTAGTCCATAAATAGCCTGTGTTCCAAAGATCTGTAAGTGAGAATTCAATGGGGAAAATCATTTTGTGTTTTATCTTCTTAATTGTTCAGGTCACTTCACAAAATTTTGCAGATGAGCTTCTCAAATCTTCCAAAGAGAAACATCTTAGATACTTAATCTGTATGCTAGCATGTCGTTACATGACTACCCGGCATTCAAGTATCAAAAAGACAGTTTTTCTACAAGATTATTGTTTTCATTCAAAGAGAAGTTGTCTGCACATCTACTTCTATCATTTTAAACAACTTCTGAGAGTTACTTGAGCTATCTACACACAGAAAATAAAACACGTTACTATGGCAATCTCACAATTTTATGTTTTTATACTGCAGACATTTGATGAGTTTAAGTGACTGGCCTCCTCCTAAATTTTGCACATTCTGTTTTAATTTTTAACACATATTTGAGAACCATTTTACTAAAATGTCTATGATCTGGCCTGTCATCCCCCAATTCCCAACAATTTTTTCTTGCATTTTTTTTTTTCCCTGAGATTCAGTTGCTGGAGGGAGGAATGGGAGACAAATTTAGGAGTTAACAAGGATCAATAATATAGTCATTCTCATCATAGCCTTGAAAGAGAAGGGAGGGAAGTTTACCCTACACTGGGGGATGGCTGAGAGCATGTCTTTCCTTCTCTATAGGTGCTACAATGGGTTACCTGTGTGACCAAAGGTAAATTACCAAAACACTTTACTTTTCCACTTCCTAGTTACAAAATGAGTATACTCGTAGGATCTGCCTTATGGGGTTGCTTAAAAAAAGAAAAAAAAACAGATTAGTTTAGCGGCTAGAAGCATTATTTCCAGTTAAACTCTTATTTATTTTTATTTTTAAACCTAGAATATTTTTTAAACCTAGAATAACTTACCCTGAGTAAGTTTTTGAGTGTTAATAAAGATATCAAGCATAGAAACACAGTCACTCACACACACACCAAGGATACTAGAAAGCAATGATAGAATAGAAAAATAAAATAAACAAATACGCTTAGAAGCTTGCCACAGTGGTTTATATAGAGTCATACTTTAATGTAGGCCTCTTATTTGAAGGAACAAGAATATCAAGCAGCTAATAATTAGGCTGAGGCACAAAGCAGGAACCCCTGAAGGTTTGCCCTATTAAGAAAAAGAAGACTAGAAAGGTTCTGTCAGTCATTCCAGAATTATTTGTAACACTAAATAAATCATTAACTAAATAATCTTCTCCTCAGAAGAATGTGTTAGCTTAAGATGTCATGCCACACACACTCTCTCTGACTTTCTCCCTCCTTTCTCTCTATATCTCTCACTCTATATATTTATCTTTTATAATATATATATTTCTATATTTTTTAAAAGCCACATATATGGTAACATAGAAGAGGGTATGTAGCTTGATCAATGACTTTCTTCACAGAATTGGAAAAAACTACTTTAAAGCTCATATGGAACCAAAAAAGAGCCCGCATCGCCAAGTCAATCCTGAACCAAAAGAACAAAGCTGGAGGCATCACACTACCTGACTTCAAACTATACTACAAGGTTACAGTAACCAAAACAGCATGGTACTGGTACCAAAACAGAGATATACATCAATGGAACAGAACAGAGCCCTCAGAAATAATGCCGCATATCTACAACTATCTGATCTTTGACAAACCTGACAAAAACAAGCAATGGGGAAAGGATTCCCTATTTAATAAATGGTGCTGGGAAAACTGGCTAGCCATATGTAGAAAGCTGAAACTGGATCCCTTCCTCACATCTTATACAAAAATCAATTCAAGATGGATTAAAGACTTAAACGTTAGACCTAAAACCATAAAAACTCTAGAAGAAAACCTAGGCATTACCATTCAGGACATAGGCATGGGCAAGGACTTCATGTCTAAAACACCAAAAGCAATGGCAACAAAAGACAAAATTGACAAATGGGATCTAATTAAACTCAAGAGCTTCTGCACAGCAAAAGAAACTACCAACAGGCAACCCACAAAATGGGAGAAAATTTTCGCAACCTACTCATCTGACAAAGGGCTAATATCCAGAATCTACAATGAACTCAAACAAATTTACAAGAAAAAAACAAACAACCCCATCAAAAAGTGGGCAAAGGACATGAACAGACACTTCTCAAAAGAAGACATTTATGCAGCCAAAAAACACATGAAAAAATGCTCATCATCACTGGCCATCAGAGAAATGCAAATCAAAACCACAATGAGATATCATCTCACACCAGTTAGAATGGCAATCATTAAAAAGTCAGGAAACAACAGGTGCTGGAGAGGATGTGGAGAAATAGGAACACTTTTACACTGTTGGTGGGACTGTAAACTAGTTCAACCATTGTGGAAGTCAGTGTGGCGATTCCTCAGGGATCTAGAACTAGAAATACCATTTGACCCAGCCATCCCATTACTGGGTATATACACAAAGGACTATAAATCATGCTGCTATAAAGACACATGCACACATATGTTTATTGTGGCATGATTCACAATAGCAAAGACTTGGAACCAACCCAAATGTCCAACAATGATAGACTGGATTAAGAAAATGTGGCACATATGCACCATGGCATACTATGCAGTCATAAAAAATGATGAGTTCATGTCCTTTGTAGGGACATGGATGAAATTGGAAATCATCATTCTCAGTAAACTATCGCAAGAACAAAAAACCAAACACCGCATATTCTCACTCATAGGTGGGAAGTGAACAATGAGAACACATGGACACAGGAAGGGGAACATCACACTCTGGTGACTGTTGTGGGGTCAGGGCGGGAGGGATAGCATTGGGAGATATACCTAATGCTAGATGACGAGTTAGTGGGTGCAGCGCACCAGCATGGCACATGTATACATATGTAACTAACCTGCATATTGTGCACATGTACCCTAAAACTTAAAGTACAATAATAAAAACAAAAAGAAAAAAAAAAAGAAGAGGGTATGTAAATCTATGTATTTCCTGCTTGATCCATATTTGTTCAGAAAAAATTTGTTCAGAAGATTGTTTGTTTAATATAAATTCATTTACTCTCACAAAAAATATTAAATATAATTATATTTGGATGTCACAATGCACTAACAATTTCCACATCAGGAAAAAAGAAAAAAATGAATACTATCCCTTTTCTAGGAGAGATGCCCTATTGTTGACCACAAGGAAGCTGCAGCTACTTTAGACTCCTGGGCATTTTGGATTGAAAAAGAATACAATTTTTTGTCAGGGATGAAGTAATGGGATGATATCTGGGTGCTCAAAAGACAATAAAGATTCACTGAGTTCTTTGGGAGAGAATAAAGTTTTACTGTAAAAGATTTATTTTACAGTATATTATATTTTTTTCAGATTTTTACACAAAACATCCAATTGTGGTGCCTCTAATGCAGAAAACTATGGCATCCACATATTTGACCAGTTGAAAACAAGCATTTGAGTTCTTACCTACTAAAATATGGTAAATACACTAGCATCTATATAAATTTTTCCAGAATCTTTGCTCAGGAACCTTTGTCAGCCCAGAGCAACTAGAACAGGAGGTCTCCTAACTCCACAAATTGCATTATCTGAATCACAGTTCTGAACCATTCCAGACACCTTATTTTACCTTTAAAAATCATATATCTCAGTGCTATTCTTCTCACTGCAAAGTCTGAAACGTACTGCTCAGATACCATATCCAACTGCGATAATCATAACAGCTTTCTAACAGTAGCATAACTCTTTCCTTACAGCTTTCTAACAGTAGCATAACTCTTTCCTTACAGCTTTCTAACAGTAGCATAACTCTTTCCTTACAAGTCCTATGCTAAACTATGTTCCTTTGCAAGGGATTCAAGTCAATTTGCTCTTCTCTACAAATGTGCATAATTATCCAACCTCTTTAAAGTAACTTAGAATTATGGGTGTTAGTAAAGTCCTAGATAAAACACTACATTACACAGTAAAATATTTAACCTAAGTTTTTGTACAAGGATGTCACATAAATTATTTTCACACAACAATATTAATTTTAGAAAATAAAATCATGATACTGTTACGGGATAGATATACAAGTCGATTAGTATACTCCGTAAACATAATATTACCTTAAGAAATACAGGCATTTTCGAATTCTTTTGTTCCTGGACACAAATCTTTATATATTTCATGACTAGTCACTCATTCGATATGATTTCAGTTAAACTGAAATCACTTCTTAAATTTTATATCAATTTAAAGCCTGCCTAACAGTAAAAGTACTCTAATGAGAAATTTTAGAAGGACATAGTTGTAACATTACCATAAACTTTAAGCAATTGGAGAGAAATATAAAAGAGAAACTTATTGAACATGAGATCACTAATAAATATCATTGTCTATTTATGCCAAAAAAACTGGTCTAATAAGCCACAATTTGTTGTCACTCATTTGTCAGGCACTGAAATATGAAATTTGTATTTATTATCTCTTTCATCCTCACAATGAGGTGAACATCAATAATTTTTCTTTTTTCACATATGAGGAAACTGTAGTTCAAAAATGTTTTAAAAAAATCAGGATACCACAGTTAGTAAGTGATAGGATTAGGAATGAAACCAGGTCAAATTGATGGAAAAATCTTCATATGCTCACTACGCTATTCTGGCAGGTGATTAATTCTAGGCCATCTAAACTTCATCTAATCACACAAGTTATATCATGAATACTAGGAGAATGTAGCTGAGTTTACATAAAATAAATGTTTTTTACTCAAAGCATTTCTTGGTAACAACTATTTTGATCTTCTGCATTAAGTTATTGTTATTTCTTCCTGAAAAACTTTGGAGTTTTATACCTCTGACCATGGGCTGAGTTCGAGGTGTTATGTCTGTGTATAGGCAAATTGACTGAAACTTTTAGAACTTGAAAGCCTTTAGTTGGTAAATCTTGAGCCAGTAATCTTATCATTTCATCCCCAGCCTCTATTAATAAAAACTGACTATCCCCTGAACTTATTTGATTGAGACTCAGGTTGATTACTGAAGGAGATAATAACCTTGCAGAACAACTAAGATATTTTGTAAAATCTTAAATATTTGCTGCAGAGTTAATATGTAACTTAGTGGAAAAAAACATCACTGTACTTCAAATCAGACTCACTCATTGAATGCATACAATAGTCAAATATCTTATAGACACTTATAGTGAACCCAGTCATTGATCAAAGAGCATATATGTACAAACTAAATTAATCCTCATGAGAATTCTAAGTACTATTTCCACTGTAAAGATGGATAAAATGAGGCACAATGCAGTTCAAAAAATTTGTGTTCACATAGAGTTAGGCCCCATAACCCTTCTCTTAACCATCCTGTCATTCTTCCTACCTTATGCCTAGTCACTGATGCAGTTTTGTGGTGGATCGTGATATTTAACAGTTTCCCTGCTAACGTAAAGCTTAGAACCTGGGTTTGGTTTCCTATTTTAGAGCTATTTAATTTTTAACATTTTTTTTTCTGAATTTGTTGCAGTCTGTGACACCCTATATATATCAGATGTTATAAATATTACTGAAAATTAAAGAGGGCTGTGATATCTTTAATCCTCAGAAATATTAAACAACCTGTAAACAAAGGAACTTATTAGGTTAAACAATATTCAAATTTTTATATGCTTAAGAAATTTGAGGCACTGTATTGAGAAACACACCTAAGAAACTGCAGTCAATTCACTTTGGACAAAAACTTGGAAAACATCTTGAAATAAGTTATCTAATGGTAACATATATATATATATATATATATATATAGACACACACATCTATACATATATATGTTATATATATAAGAATATATATATATGTTCTTACATGTTTCAACAGTGTTTAATATGCTTGTGACCTTAAAAATAATTCAAAAATGTCAAAATTATGGGCCCTATTCATTTTTGTGGGCTTCAAATTGACACAATATAGGTTATTTATTTCTAAACAATAGCAACAAATGTTTTTCTTACATGAATTTTCTATTTCTCTGTAACATCAGAAAACTATTTAGAAAATGAAAAGATATTACCAGAAATAAGACATAAAGAATGTTTTGTTATTAAGACATGCCTTCAAGATAATGAGAATTAAACTGACAAAAGGACATCTTGGCAAAATGCTCTCCAGTGCATTTGATTCATATGATAAAGATAAAGGAAATGAATAAGTTATTACAATCTTGGAAGATAATATTACAATGCTTTGTATACTCCCTTCCATATTAATTCTAATTTCTATCATCTGTTATACAACATGAATGTAACTTGGAATCTCTCAGGAAACATTTTGCAATGATTGGAAGGCACTTTATTTATCAATATTCACATGAAAATTACAAAAACTCCCTTGAGCAAGTTACCTTTCTTAGCACTCCAAAAAATAATTAATTGTAGTCGTCACTCTTAACAGCATTCCTAAACACAATAAATGTTTACAAATTATATGTTTTGAACCACAAAATCCAATCAAAATATTTTTAGTTAAGAAGGCATTTTGGTAAATTAAAATTAAATATAAAAAATTTCTGTGATTATAGAAAGATTTTAATAAAACCTAACAGGCTGTGGATTTGCCATGTGACCTTGAACAAGACATTTAACACTTTTGTGTCTCTTTATCCTCAATTTAGCAAGTTTGGGGTTTAGACTCTAAGTCCTAGTCCTACACTGAAGTTCCCTGATTTATATTAATGAGTAGCCCAGTTATTTACACATGCAATTTTTGTTTAATGATAATAGGGAGAACAATTAGCTTAAAGTGGTGGATTTTAGAGTCAGTCACATTTTAAGGTTCATTATGTATGTTGATCTACAGTGACACATCACAGTTTTAACTTTGTCCGACAGCATAAAAATAGGACTAATGTATGAGGGAGGATAAAAAGACCAGCACAAGACAATAGTATCTGAACATAAAATGCAAGATAAATGGTGGCAGATTATTTGAGTTATTCATTTAATGTTTTAAGATTTCAGTATGTGAAGTTAAAATACCATTTTTAATGTTTTAAATACAAACAGATAAATGGTCACTAAGATGATTAAATCATTTTGGGGTATCTAAAATTAGATGGATAACTTTTACTGTTTTCAGTATTTAGTATTTAGTAAGTGTGTGAGCATAGGATGTAATACAGTCAATTTTTTTAACTCAAATGGCTATTTTTTCAAACTATAGCTATGGTTTTGTAGCTTATTACTCAGTTATAAATATAAAGTTACTTTTTGAAAAAAATAAATTAATAAAATGTCGGTATATAATGTTAATATACATATGCTATACATATCCCAAGAAGCTTACATTCTTCAAACAAGAAAATACAATATAATAAAATAAAGTGATAGAAAAGAGAATATTTATAATAGCAATGAATAGATAAACCCAAGGCTGACAATCATAAATATACAAAGCTTTTTATAAAGATAACTTAAAAAATATTGTGGAGACATTATGCTTCCTGAAATAGATTAGTTTAATATAATCCTGGTCAAAGTAACAAAGGTATCCTTTATTTAATCTGAAAAATGCCTAAAAATATACGAAGAGACCAGAATTATTATGAAAATGGACAATAAGGGGCTATGAGCCTTATTTGATTATAAAATAAACATTACAAAGTGACATGAATGAAAATAATAAGATCTTAAGCAAGAACAGTCAAGCACATACATTCAAGTTTAATATAGTTTTAAAAAATAAATGCAATTACATTTGGAAATTTTATGTAATAAAAATTGTTGACATTTTAAATTACTCGAAAATGAACAGGTTATTGAACGAAAGAATTATAATAACTGATTAGTATTTGGAACAAAATATGAATGCTATGTTACCTTATTTAAAAACAAAAAACTTGAACCAAATTTTTAGGTAAGAATGATTGAAGCATGAAAAATTGAACCATGCATCAAGAAATGGTGGATAAATATTTTATAAAGTCGGAATGGGAAGATATTGCTAAACAAAAGCCATCAAGTCTCAAAATCAAAAGCTATAAAGGAAAACACTGATTTTTACTATCTCCAAACTAAAATATCTGTTTAATGAAAGATACCGTAAATAACAAAAAAAGAAACTATGAATATTCAGAAAATGATTTTGACACATTCCACAAAGTCTAGTTTCTTTAATAAACAGAGAGATTGCAATATGTCAAGGGAACAATGGTCTGAAAATGAATACTACTAACTAATAATAATGAAAAATACACTAATAATTCAAGACATATAAATAAAAACTATATTGAGATACTATTTTAGTCATATTGGAAAATTATAAAAGGTGATTATCTGGAAGTGTTGGTGAGAATAAGAATCTATCACCTCCACATACTGTTGTTGTTTGACATTGGATTGACACTGCCATTTAGAAGAACAGTCTGGAGTTTTCTATCAAAATTAATTCTTGTAATATGAATTATTTTACCCCTAAATTCCACTTTCTAATTAATCACATATTTTCCAAAGATATGTATACAACACCTTCCTTATAATTTTATTTGAAATATTTTAATGGAATTATTTAAATGTCTATCTCCAAATGATTGAATAGGCCGGGCATGGTGGCTCATGCCTACAATCCAAGGACTTTGGGAGGCAGAGGCCAGAGGATCCCCTGAGGTCAGGAGTCCGAGACCAACCTGACCAACATGGTGAAACCTCGTCTCTACTAAAAATACAAAAATTAGCCAGGCATGCTGGCGCGTGCCTGTAATCCCAGCTACTCGGGAGGCTGAAGCAGGAGAATGGCGTGAACCCGGGAGGCGGAGCTTGCAGTGAGCCGAGATCGCTCCACTGCACTCCAGCCTGGGCTGAAATAATAATAATAATAATAGTAATAATGGTCTAATAAAATCTGTTAATATTATAAAATTGTTGGATTACAATAAAAAAGAATAAGAAAGTGATATATGTTCTTAAATGGGGAGATTCCTAGATATATTATAATTGAAAACAACAAAAGTAGAAATATTGTACTATAAAAAATTCTGCAAAGATAAAAAGAATTCATGGCAATGGCTTAATCTGAAGAATAGAATATGTGTGAGTGTATGGAATAATACCATGAATAAAAATTAAAAGACATATTTTATGCTTACTATGAGCATACATTTCTTTAAAAACAGGTTTAAAAATGTTTAAACAGCAAAAGCAGAATAAACATCACATTTTCAGTTAGCCTATCGTACTTTCCTGTTTAAAATTGCAATATTCCCAAGCCTACTCATCCATCCAAATGGAGCTCCTTACCCCCTTTCCATTTTTCCTTTTCTGTACTGCTCATTACCGTCATCTCATGTATCATATAATTTGCTTGTTTATTCGGTTAGCTTTTTGGAGCTGATCATTTTGTCCCTGATTCCTACAAAATGTATAGCATATATAAACATGCAATACATATTTGGTAATAAATGATTCTTGTCACTCCATTTCTCATTTTATAGCCTTGGTTATAAGATAATAAGCTGTTTCAGTCTGTATCTACACAGTCTATTCTGAGCTACTTCCTTTTAACTCTCCATGCTCCAGCAACACAGGCTGTCTTTCTGTTTCTGTGATCTCTTCTTACTTTAAGGTACTTGATTATCCAGTTTCTTCTGTCTGAAATATTCTCCTTCTAATTATCACCTACTTTTATCTTTTTCATCTTCCAAATATCAACTAAAATATACCTTTCTTAGAAAGGGCCTAGAATTTTTTTCATCTCTTAGCAGTCATTTATTTTACTTCAGATATTTAAGCTTATTTTCAAATTACAATTTTTTGTGTTTGCTGTTCTATTTAGTGCTTCCTTCCCAGATGAGACTGTTAGCTTGATAAGAGCTCCTTAAAAACCTACCACTTGGTATTCATATTCTGATGTAGTAACTTCCACATAGTATTTGCAATAAGTATGTATTAATGAATAAATAAAAATATTACATGTGCTTTTTAACCTTTATACTCAATGCTGTGTAAAACATTGCCTGATGCTGTGTGCATTGTAGGCTCAGTACATATTTTTAAAATGAACTAATTTATTTTATTCAGCCATTAATTTGTATCTCTATCTTGCTGCAGTTTAGGTATAATCTCATACTTATCTTGTTAAGAACACATTAGCCTCAGACAATAGACACAAAAATCATAACCACAAATATGTAATTGTAATACTGATAACTGCATTTTACCAAGTGCTCCAGGTTTCAGGCCCTAGGTTGATTGTTTTAGATATTTTATCTCATTTAATTATCATACTTATTCTATGATATACATCATCGTCATTTAAAAATTAGAAATTTGTTTAATAAGCCAAAATAACTTGTCCTCATTTATATTACTATTGTAATAAGTATCAAAGCTAATTCCGCCTTTAGCTTTGTAAAGCTGTGTAATCTCCAAACCCATTCCTTTTAATCATTCCTTGGGAACTATCACTTGCAGTCTCTCTCTCTCTCTCTATTTCTCTCTCAATGGCCACACTTTAGCTATCTTTCCTCTTTTCTTTTACAACATTAAAAAAATCCTTGTATTGTTGTCAATGATTAATAAAATACAGACATGTAAAACATTCAGATTCTCAATAAGCCATAGTCCAACATGAAATACAAAGACAGAAACAAACAATGGATAGCAATTGTCAATATTTAAGATGGGTGGAGAAAAGTGAACCCAGAAGAGAGACTGGGAAAGCATTTTCATAGAGGTGAAAATAACACAAGGATAATGTTAAATAGATTGGTCTTCCAATATGCTCAACTCTCTTGCCCTGTTTGTTGTTCTCTCACAATTGCCCTCCAAAATTCAACCTCTGCATCAACACCACCACTCTTTATTTCTATTTCTAGATTTTAGTAAATTCCCAGTAGAAAACCACCTCTTCAGGTATTTAATACAACACTATTTTATCTGTTTTTGAGCCCATGGGTGATTCATTCCTTAATATGCTATTTGTTTCCTAACAGTTAATATAAATAGATTTCCATTCAAATGCACTTTAAGCCCATATCTCATTTTGATATATTTACTTTCAGTTAACTAACTTTACCTCTGCTGTGCAGTTTTCCTTCCTGACATCTGTATTCCAGGCGTTGGAAACACTTAGACAATCATTAAGACTGGAGCCACTGTAATCCATGGTCTGTACCCACCACCAACTGCAAAACAGTATTCTATTTCCCCTCTAGTCAAAATTCTCTCTCATTCTTTATGATAGCAATTACAAGTTTTCTGGTAATTTATTATGCTATAATTCAACAAATACCTACGCAAATACACACACACACACATATATACATACAAATATATATGTAAATATATTTTTTATAACTCTGAAGCTGCACACTTACCGAACTGTAGCATGCAAGAGCAAATCATGTGGATAGCAGAGATATTTCATTCTTGCATGAATTTGAACATGTGGTTCTTTCCTTCTAGAAATCTTTTTTTGTTCCCCAAGCTACCTTTTCTCTGTGCATAAAAAACATGTGTGTCAATTTCTTGAGAAAATTATCTATACAGGTTTTTTTCACATTTTTTTTCTTTGAGAGGGAGTTCCACTCTTGTCGTCCAGGCTGGAGTGCAGCGGTGTGATCTCGGCTCACTGAAACCTCCATCTCCTGGGTTCAAGCGATTCTCTTGCTTCAGTCTCCCGAGTAGCTGGGATTACAGGCACCTGCCACCATGCCCGGCAAATTTTTTGTATTTTTGGTAGAGATGGGGTTTTGCCATGTTGGCCAGGCTGGTCTCGAACTCCTGACCTCAGGTGATCCACCTGCCTCGGCCTCCCAAAATGCTGGGATTACAGGTGTGAGCCACCTCTCCCAGTCTTTTTTTTTTTTTTCCACATTTTTAATGGAGTTATTTGTCCTTTTGCTATAGAGTTGTGTGAATTCCTTCTATATTTTGGATATTCACCCCTTTTCAGATATATGGGCTGCCTTTTTGTTCTTGTTGATTATTGTCCATGCTTCAAAGAAGCTTTCTAGTTAGATATAGGCCCAGTTTATTTCTATTTTATTTTTATTTTTATTTTTTGCTTTTGTTACCTGAGCTTTTGGTGTGATAAGACAAAAAAAATATTGCCAACAGCAATATCAAGAAGCTTTTCCCCTAGTCTACTTGTAGGAATTTCATGGTTTCAGGTTTTATGTTTAGGTTTTTAATCTTTTTTAAGTTGATTTTTGTGTCTAGTGTAAGATAAGGGTCCAGTTTCATTTCTTTGCATGTGGATATTCAGTTCACTCAACATCATTTATCGAAAAGACTATTCTTTCCTCATTGTGTTTTATTGGTGAGTGTATTAGTCTGTTCTTACACTGCTATAAAGAAATACCCGAGACTGGGTAACTTATAAAGGAAAGAGGTTTAATTGACTCATAGTTCCACATTGCTGGGGAGGTCTCAGGAAACTTACAATCATGGCAGAAGGCAAAGGAGAAGCAGGAACCTTCTTCAAAGGGTGGCAGGATGGAGTGAGTGCAAGCAAGGGAAATGCGAGATGCTTATAAAACCATCAGATCTCCCGAGAATCACTCACTGTCACCGGAACAGCATGGAGGAAACTGCCCCTGTGATATGATTGCCTCCACCTTGTCCCATCCTTGACATGTGGGGATTATGGGGATTACAATTTGAGGTGAGATTTGGATGGGGACAGAGAACCAAGCCATATAAATGACCTTGTTGGAAATTAGTTCGCTGTATGTGCTTGAGTTTACTTCTGGGCTTTCTATTTCATTGCATTGGTTTAGGTGTCCTTTTTTATGCCAGTATCATACTGTCTTAAACACTATACCTTTGTAATATAATTTAATATCAGGAAATGTGATGCTTTCAAACTTTTTTAATTTACTTCCAAGATCACTTTGACTATTTCTGGTCTTTTGTGATTCCATACAAAGTTTAGGATTGCATTTTTCTATTTCTGTGAAAAATGTCATTGGAATTTATAGGGAAATCATTCAATATGTATTTTGCTTCATGTGTATATTGATTTGGGTTGTATGGATATTTTAACAATATTAATTCTTCCAATCTGTGGACATGGTATATTGTTCATTTATCAGTGTCTTTCTGAACTTGTTCAAATAACACATAAATATGGCCAGTAGCCATCTACTGGGTTTATGCAAAAGTGCTCTACATCACTAATCACCAGGGAAATGCAACTGAAAGCCACAATGAGACATCACCTCACATCTGTTAGGATAGCTAATATCAAAAAGACAAGAGGCCAGAACTGGTGGCTGGCTGGACACAGTGTCTTACGCCTGTAATCCCAGAACTTTGGGAGGCTGAGGCAGGTGGATCACCTGAGGTCAGGAGTTCGAGACCAGCCTGGCCAACATGGTGAAACCCCGTCTCTACTAAAAATACAAAAATTATCTGGGCGTGGTGGTGGGTGCCTGTAATCCCAGCTACTTGGGAGGCTGAAGCAGGAGAATTGCTTGAACCTGGGAGGCAGAGGTTGCAGTGAGTCGAGATTGCATCACTGCTCTCCAGCCTGGGTGACAGAGTGAGACTTCGTCTTAAAAAAAAAAAAAAAAAGAAAAAAGAAAACAGACAAGAAATAAGAAGTGTTGATGAGTTTATTGGAGAAAGGAAACCCTGTACACTGTTGGAGGGAATGCAAGTTGATACAGTCAGCATGGAAAACAGCATGAAGACTCCTCAACACGTTATAAATAGAACTGACATATGATCTACCACTTCTGGGAATATTGAAAGAAATTAAAATTAGCACTTCATAGACATATCAGCCCTTCCATGTTTACTGCAGTGTCATTAATAACAGACATGATATGAAAACAACCTAAGCATCTATGAACAAATAAATTATCATATGTCCAAAATATATACCATGGAATATTATTCAGCTTTTTAAAAAGGAGTTACTGCTATTTGCAACAACATAGATAAACCTGGAAGACATTATATTAAGTGAAATAAGGCAGACATAAAAAGGAAATCACCTCATTATTATACTTATGTGTAAAATCTAAAAAAGCTGAATGCATTAACACAGAGAGTGGAACATTATTACTGGGGGCAGGGAGGAAGAGGAAATCAGGATAAGTAGAAAGGGTATAAACTTGCAGTTATATAAGATTAATAAATCTAGAGATCTAATGTACAGCATGAGGACTATAGTTAATAAGGGTGATACACTGAACATTTGATAAAACAGTAGATTTTAGGAGCTCCTACTACACACACACACAAGAGAAACTATGGAAGGTGATGGATAGGTTAATTTGCTTAAGTGTAGTAATCATTTCATTATGTATATTATGTGTATATCAAAACAGCATGGTGTGCACCTTAAATATATACAATTAAAAATCCAAATTGAAAATCTGCTTTCCCAGAAAAGTTCTCTATATACATATATTTATATAATATATACATAATATATTATATGTAATTTCTCATGAAACTTACAATCTAGTAGGGAAGATAATTACTTCAAATTTTAACAAAATCAATGTCATCAAGATATAGTGTGCTCTGAGCAGAGCAGTGTGAGGTAATATAGGCAAACATACTAGAAGCAACAAACACAGAAGTGGTGAGTCAAGAGGATTAATAATATCTAAATTGAGACGTGTGATTGGAATAGTTTATCTTGCGAATGAGTAGGCGACTTCAGATTTTTCTAAACAGTTAAAGGCTCCAAAGCCAGAATTAGCATGATCCACTATTTGGGACAACAGTGGGTCTGGAAAAACTGCTTTGTGAAAGTGCAAATTATCGATGTGCCTGTTTTGATGGAAAAAAGAGCAGTTAACTTAGTGGAGAAAAACAAGTTTCTCCACTTGTTCCTATTCACAGGAGAATAAAATGTCTCTACCAGAATATCTGCATGGTCTGCTCTGGCATGCTATGATTTGGGGAATGTGCAGCTTCATGCTTCTTTGTAGCTGTTGTTACAGCTGTGAATTGTATTTTAAGGATGGACTTGCAAGGTTTTGAGCAGTACAAAAAAATATAAAGAAAAAAACTAAAATCACCTGTCATTTCACCAGTTTCCTACCCTTAGCATATTAATAAATTTCCTTCTACTAATTTTCTATGCATCTGAGGAAATATTTAAATAATGAGGATCACATCTACAGATATACTCATTAGCCCCTAGGAATTTTTGTATTTCAGTTTTACCAAATATAGTGAATAATAACAAGCCATAGTCTTCTTTTTATTTTTGGTTTGCATATGTGCAAATTGTACGCAATAATAGAAGAGACTATTTTAAGTATGTACTTGCCTACTTATGCTTCCTAACCTGGTAAAGCTTATTTCAGCATATTTCCACCTAGAAATTATCTTTTAATGCAATTTCCTCATATATATTCTCCTGAAAATGAATATCCTCTCTCAAGTGCGGTTCAAACACGTGTTCATAGAAGGACACTTGGTGATGCTTTGGAACTTGCTGTGACAATTGCCAAACTGTTTGCCCACTTAAAATCTCTTGATAAAATTATACTAATCACATTTCTCATTGTCTCCGTTCTTTCACTTTTTACTCTCTTCTGCTCTATCACTCTTCTAGTTAGATTGTACTCTGTTTTATTTCAGTTTGGACCAAAGTGAAAATGAAAGTTCACAGGCAGTAATATAGCATCTATCCCTTTTCTACTAAGGCGAATTTAAAAGTGTAACATGTATGAGAGAAATGTGTATTCTCACCCAACAACGGTAAGCTCCTTAAATGTGTTTCTGCTGCTTTCAGCATCCCCAGTGAATTCAGAAATAAGGAGATAAAGCAACATAAAAACAAAATTTACTTTGAAATCAAAAGATTTTGGCATCAATCAGCTTTAGAACACACCCTGTTTGGTAGTGTGTCTGCACAGTGCTCTATTGCTAAATCTGCAAAAAGGATTTGAAAGTCCATATTACAGAGGTATTTTGAATGCAAAAAGATGTTATAACTGAAGTTTATGATACATACTAGGAGCTCAAAAATACAAGTTCTTTTCCAGTTCCTTCAGTTTGTGATCTTTAAAGCCCATTTTTTATCCCCTCATTTTTATTACAGTGCCTGATACATGATTGACACTTATTAAAAGCTAGTTGTACTGGACTAATCTGAAACATTTTCGTGTAGATTTATTTTTAAATACTATATTAATTATATATAAGACAATTTAATAACATATAATTTTTTATCATTGCTATAATCCTAATAGAATTTTCCAAAGTAGTTTATTTCCTAGGTTGTAAAGCATGTATTATAGTCTACTAACCTGAAAGCTTACTCATCCCTCATGAGATAGCTAAAGGGCCAGCCCAGCAGGACAGCCTTCCCAACATTCTGAGCCTTGCTGGAAACTCTCATCCCATCCTATTTTAGCATGCTAACATTTCTCTTTACCACATTATGGAATAAATTTTTACTTTACATCGCTGAATCTACCAGTGGGAAGCTATTCTCATGAGAATAGTGGCACGATTATAACTCCAATACCTGGGAAAGAGAAAGCTGACAATAAATATGTCCTTAACATTTGGAGGAATATAGAGAAAATAATCAGAAATATAAGCAAAAAATAAGGAAATGATAATAAATAATTATGTAGCTTTAACAGGGTCTATAAGAATCCTCATATCACCATATGAATGCATTTGTTAATTCAAATTAGTACGTTAAAATGTGAGATCCCAAATGTCTTGTTTTAACAGGCAATATTAATAGTTTGGAGCTATTTTACTTGAAGAAAACATCTTTGAATATTTTATAATTTAATATGGGTGTACTATGTTGATGATGGTGGTTAATACCATTTCTCTTTTAAATGAAGAATGATTTTATGTAAACTTCATAATGATCTATTTGTGATTATTTCACTCTGAAAGATGAGAGTGAGCAAGATTATCAGATTGAGCTTGAGGAGTTTGGACGTCATGTATTCTGATTTCCTTTTCTGGGCTGGGAGAAGAAAATAATACTGTGAGCAATATTAAATCGTAGGCATGTTTTCTTTTAAAAATCATAATAGATGATATATAATATCCTACAGTTCCACATGATTTGGTTAAATGAAAGTTCTATTTCCTCATAATTATCAAACTCTGTTTGCATAAGATTGATACAGTAATTGAGCTAAAAATAATTAGAGCTCAAGCCTCATGCCTAGGCCTTTGAAGAAAAGAATAATCAATGTTTTTTATGTAAGCCTGATTCAGATGCATCAACACGAGCGAAGAGGGACTGGCCGGCAGCAGGCACAGTCCTAAAGGTCAGGAGGACAGGAAAGGAAGGACATTTTAAATCAATGGTTTCACTCTGCATACACAGTAAAACAATTCGGAAAGTTTTAAAATTAGCAATATACTTCACCAGTAATCACCCAGCAATATTGGTGATTTAATTTTTCTGGTACTGGGGTGGACATCTATATATTTTCTTTAAAAGATTAATGAGAAACTGCAAGGGGCAGTTCAGTCTGAGAACCACAGACTTAGTGCAAGCAAAACAGAACTCAGGCAAGGACTGATGCAGTCCACTTCTTTTTTAGATGCTCTTTTGCTTGGACCTGCTGTGTCTCACAGAGCCATAACCAAACAAAAAGACCAAGGACTACAGATTGGGAGTGGGATAGAATAGGTAGACTTTTAGCTTTCATTCTCTCTCTCCCTTCCTCTATCTCCCCATTCCCCCTCTGCTCTCTTTTCCTTTCCCTTTATTTTTTTCTTCCCCCCACGCCATGGTTGATCCTAATTGCTTTATTCAGTTGTATTATATTGACTAGGTAGAGTTTGAAATATCTATTTTCTATTTCTTGTATTTGTCAAACAAATTAATAAGTGAACCTGAAATATTATGTCAAGAAAACAATGCAATGACAATTCTTTCACGGCAACTAAAACTATTATGCTTGTCATTAAGTGCAAGGATAACAAAAATAGGTTAGTCTGGATACAGTAATGCAGCACCGCATTTAGGTAGTCTGTTAATTTCTAAATAGTCTATTAACCATATAAATTACACAACCCACCTATTTGGAAGCTCGTTTGACGTTTTCCAGACAAAGCCAGCCAGAAACAAATTGTATTTTAAAACTTTTCACATAGCACACAAATCACTGAATTAATTTTCTTTCCTGAATTAACAAGTTATCTATCTCATGCTTTTGCAATAACAAACAATTCTAGGCTAAAAAAACCTTACTTGTTAGGGCTTCATGTATGTTATCAACATCTGTTAATTACTAGTAGATTATTTTCATACCCACTGTTATTATAACAGTAAATCATATTAGAGTCTGTTATACTGTGCATGTTTGTTAGTTCCTAGATATTGTCTGAGCAAATTAGGAGGAAAGTGAATAAGCTAAGGAGAGGAAAAAAAGTAACAATTACAGAACACTTGGAGGATGTAGGAATTTTTTTTTCCTTTTAGTGAAGGCTAAGGGGAGTTTGAGTAGAAGAGAATAAACACAAAGAAAGAGACAATTAGATCCGAGGTATTACTGTGGCAGTTGATACCTAAATGATATAATGACTATTAGAAAGATACAGAATGTAGAATTAAGCAATTTTTGTGGCTAACTGGATTTGGGGACTGGAAAGAAGGATTTTCACATTATTTTTAAGTTTATAATCGGTAAAATTGGATGGATAGTAATGTTCCTGCGTCTTCTGTAATATTTATTCCATGTAATATTATTAGGTAGAATCAATTAGCAACATGTAGAATTATTTGTCCAGAATCAATAACAAAACGTAAAATTATTTGGCCCTAACACACAAACTATGAATGAAGATCTAAGACTTATGTAAGTAATCAACACAACTATGTTCTGCTTCAATTAATTAACAATAACAAAAAAGTTGAAACAACAAGGAAACAGCGTCTTTGTTTAAAAGCACTTCTAGGACAATTCAGTTCAGAGTTCTAATACTTTTATTGTAATATAATATAGGGTTAACTGACACTGTAGTTAAAAGTATTTTCCAAAGATTTAGTTGCTGTATGAAGTAAGGGAATAAAAATTAAGTTTTGAGAGAACTCAACACGAGGGAGACTTCCTAGGATATAGAGGTTTTTGGTGAAGATTCAGAGAAATTGGGTAAATTAAAAGAATATTGAAAAAGATGAAAGAAAACTTTTCAATCTCAAAGTTTCAACTGGATACCAAAAAAAGTACATTTGAGATTTTCTTGGCTCAAACGTTGATAAGTAGTAGGTGCTTCTGTGGAAACCTATTTACAGCAGGGCTGTATATTTGAGAAAATGGGAGCAAGATGTTCTGATTAGATCTAGTCTTTTTTCTTAATATCTCTATAATAAAAAGAGTTACTGGTGATCTATATAAAAGGAATAGATTTCATCCTTCAGTTGCATTTTAAGCAGTTCATGTATAAATGCATATAAGGTAAATACATGTAGTAAATATTATTTATTCATGATACAAAAATAGCTCGAAATTTAATCCAAATTATTTCCCAACATGCTGATGAATAGAAAGCAATTTTAGACAGATAATTGGTGTTATTTTGATTAAATAACTGTTATATGTTATTGTAGTATAGGTAAACTTATGTACAGTGAAAGGCAGAGTCTGTAAGTACAATTTGATAAGTTTTGACAAATGTAAACAAGTCTGCAACCAGAAGTCTAATCAAGATAAAGAATCTTTCCTCTACCTCAGAAAGTTCCCTCACTCACACTCCCTTCAAAATAGCCTCTGTAATCTGTCAGATATTTCCTACCCATCAACTTCATGTAATTAGCATCATGTAGCATGTGTTCTTTATATATCAGTCTTTTGTCTATTGACATAATGCTCCAAGGTTGTTGTAAAAATTAGTAGATTTATTCCATTGTATAATATACAACAATATGTCTATCCAATCACTTGCTGAGAATGTGCTTTTTTATTTTTTTTATTATGGATAGGCTTTGAATTTTTCAAGGGATTCTAATACATTTATTGAGATAAATGTTTTTATTTCTCTTAATTAAATTTTGTTCACTGTATTTTGAGTGAATTTTACATTCCTTGTATAAATCATACTTGGTCACCTTGTGTTACATATTCTTGTATAGTTCTGAATGTTATCAAACATTTATGAAGACATAATATCAATTATATGTAACTTCTCCAGAAATTAAAAGAGGACAAAACGTTCTCCTTCCAGTTTATAAATATAGCATTATCGTAACACTAAAACTAAACAGGGTAATTCAAATAAAAAACTCTAGATTAATATCCTTCATAAATATAAGTACAAACATCCTTAATTTAGCTCTATGGCATATGAAATCTCACAACATGCAAGATGTATAATATATCACGACCAAGTGTTGTTGCTTTTTTTTCCTCAAAGAATGCAAGGTTGGTTTATCATATAAGGAAAAAAAAGGTACAAAGCAACACAACTATTTTACCTATGTGACAGGCTGAATAAGCTCCCATCAAAATATCCACTTCTGAATATCTGGAATCTGAGGATAAGTTACTTTACATGATTAAAGAGAAGATTTTAATACAGAACAGATGCGTCGGAGTAATGTAGCATAATAAAGACTCAGCAAACCATTTCTGGCTTTGAAGATGGAAGAAGAAGGGACCAAGAGGCAACGCAGCCTGTAGAAGATGGAAAGGAAGAAATAGATGCAGTTCCAGAGTCTCCAGAAGGAACAAAAGCCTGATAACACCTTGATTTCAGTCCAGTGAAGTCCATTTCAGACTTCTGACCTTTAGGACTCCATGGCAAGACTTCGTGTTGTTTTAAGCAACTAGGTTTGCAGTAATTTGTTACAGCAGTAATAGGAAACTAACATACCATATTAGCAGAGTAAAACACATACTTTTATCTTAAAAGATGCAGAAAAAGCACTTGAAGTATACCTGGGCGGGGTGGGGGGTACTAAACGAAAAGTAACATTTATACTTTAACCGAATGTTCTTTCCCTTATGTCTGGAACATGCCAAGGATGTCTGCTTCTAGTATATTTATTCACAGTCCCACTGGAAGTCCTCTCCAGTGTAATGTGGTCCAGAAAATAAAATAAAATGTATGTAAAGTCGAAAAAGAATGTACAATGAATTACAATGTGTTATTGGAATTGATAAGTAAGTTAAGCAATGTCATTATAAATGTATCAACTGTATTTCCACATGTTAGCAACAGGCAATTAGAAATTGTATACTTAACATCAGTGCTTTTATTTTGTGTAAATTATAGATAAATTAAACTGATTAAAAAACAAACAGCTGTCCAGGTGAGGTGACTCAAGCCTGTAATCCCAGCACTTTGGGAGGCTGAGGCGGGCAGATAGCTTTGAGCTCAGGAGTTGGAGACCAAGCTGGGCAACATGATGAAACCTGTCTCCACATAAAATATAAAAATTAGCCGGCCCCGGAGGCTCACCTCTGTAGTCCCACCTACTTTGGAGGCTGAGGCTGGAGAATTGCTTGAGCCCGGGAGGCAGAGTTTGCAGTGAGCCGTTTTGGGCCACTGCATGCCAGCCTAGGAGACTGAGTGAGACTCTGTCTCAAGAAAAAAAAAAAAAAAAAAAAGAAAATCTAAATTTCTCCTTAGCCAGAGGAAATAAGTGTTAATCTCTTGTTATATAAAATGCATGTTTTCTACACATAATAATATGTGCATATGCAAATAAGATAATATTGCTTGTACAATTTAGTAATATAACTATAAAATATTATTTAGACAACATTCCATTTTAATAAATGTGCTATTATAATGCTTATATTAAAAAGATTGTTTTATCACTACATTATTGTTGAATATTTAAAACATTTATTTGTCAGTACTCTACCATAATAAAGAGATCTCAGAACTATATCCTAGGAACTAAATCCTTAGTATATTCATCACACTTAAGATATATTTCCATCAAAATTTTTTTGTGATAAAAGATCTATAATTAGTCCTCTAACTTATGATGAAAAATTCTTTTTTTTTTTTTTTGAGATGGAGTCTTGCTCTGTCATCCAGGCTGGAGTGCAGTGGCATGATCTTGGCTCACTACAAACTCTGCCTCCTGGGTTCAAGCGATTCTCCTGCCTCAGCCCCCCAAGTAGCTGGGACTACAGGCGTGTGCCACCACGCCCAGCTAATTTTTGTATTTTTAGTAGAGACGGGGTTTCACCGTATTAGCTAGGCTGGTCTTGAACTCCTGACCTCGTGATCCACCCACCTCAGCCTCCCAAAGTGCTGGGATTACAGGTGTGAGCCACCATGCCCAGCCTGAAAAATTATTCTTAAAGTTCTACCAAATTATTCCACTAGCATTGTAAGAGTTTTCACTTTTGGTTGGATTAATTGGAATGTAACTACCATTTATTTATTTCATTTCATTTATACAAAGGCAAAGCATTTATTAGTGTTTCTTTGATTATAATAAGATAGAACTTTAAAATTTTTCAAATTGTCACTAATTTATTTATTTAGAACATTGCTCTTTTTCTTCTTGACTTTTAATAGCAATAGTTTTTTTAAAACATATAAAGTTATTACACATTATTTTAACAAATTTGAATTTTTAATTTTAATTTCTTTTCATAATTATATAATAGTATTTTTAAATTATAGAATATTTATTTAATATTTATTATTTTTACGTAGTATATTTAAAATATTTATTTTATGCATGTAATATTTTATATAATTATTAGTGTTTCTTTACTGCAACGTATTTACCCATTATGTCCCCCTATATAAAAATTAATTTTATGTTTTTTAAATTAATTATATAAATTTATTTGTTTTTTGAAAATTATTTTGATGATGTAGGAATCTATATTTTAATATTTCAACAGGTATTTCCTAAAATCATTTATTATATAAACCACTTCCACCCTTCCTTTGAACTAAACCTTTATCTTATAAGAACTGTCATTTTATATATTTGCCATTCTGTTCCTTTTACCTGCTTATGTTATTCAGTGTCAAGATAATTCAAAATTTCGGTTTTATAATGTTTTAATATGTTATACCTAGTCCACTATTATTACTCTTACTCATGTATACATGCATTCTTCCATATTAATTTAAGAACTACATTAAGTTTCCAAACTACTTCTCTCAGAAAATCAAATTAAATCATATTAAACAAAAATAATTTAGAGGGTAATTACATCTGTATATTATTTAATTTTTTCTTTCCAAGAATGAAATATTTGATTCAATATAGGTATTCTGTCTTTGTCCTCCCATGAAGTCTACAGTCTTTTCTGCTCATTCCACCCATTTTTTTCCTTAAATGCATTTCTGTTTTCTATTTATTTACTATATGGCTTTACTATTGTACAGAGAATTTCCATCTGTAATGGATATTTCATCTGTAAGAAAAGTCACATTTTATTTTATCTGTTAACTCTATAGTTAAAATATACTTTCACACACAAAGGATACTCTAGCCTGAAAAAAATCACTTTCTTTGGAGTATGTAGAATGACATAATTATGATCATGATATACTATTCAACTTTTTATTTTTCAGGAATTTATAAGCATTAGAATAACCGTTAGAAGCTTATAAATCATATAATATATGCAGGTTTTTTTCTTATTTGTGAGCAAAACTGGTCACGGATGAGATTCTTCAAAGCTATTGATTCTGACGTGCAAAGAAACCCATAAATCTAGAATCTAATGACAATTTTCCAGAACCAAAATGTCAATTTGATTATAGAGGTTGAGAGTGTGATAAACAATTACTTTAATCTGATTATCTTTGTCAATCAATTCAAGAAGACAAAAAAGAATAGTGTTTCAAGAACTGTGTGATAAAGAATAATTGATTATAATGAAATTTTATCGTGGGACACAAAAAGTCACTAGAATATAAAAAACCAATATATTGAATATACAGTATAATGAGTATAGTTGAATTACACAAATTGAACTAGAAAATCAGATAGCAAGCTCATGTAAAAATCACTGGGAAATGGACAAAAAAGAAAAGTTGGGTGTGAGGAACTTTGTAAATAAAAATGACCCCTCTACCAAAACCAAACAAACAAAAATGAGATTTATAGAATGGAAATAACAGTGATTTTAATTTCTTTGAATTAAAGAAAGACAAACAGCTGTAGTTCTAAACAGATTCAAAAGTTTCAAATATTAGGATAAAGAAAAACCCACACCTAGGCTGACACATTATTATTTCATCCAATAACATCAAAGGCAAAGAAAAATTTCTAAAAGATTATATCAAGAGAAAGTAGAAAACAAAGGAAAATATCACATAGACACCAAAATTTTCTCAGCAACCCTGTACTCAGAAAGATAAAGCATAATTATTTCAATGCGTTGAAGGAAAAGAAAGTTAAGTCTAGAATTTTACAACTAAAAAAAGTATTAAAATATTATGAAGATGCAATGATAATTATATGTAGATAATTCTAAGCATAATAATTTCATATATGCATATATGTGTATATATATTAAGGATATCTAGAAAAAAATAAGAAACTTGATATAAAAGTTAGCATCTTTGGGGTAACTTCCAGAAGAAACAATATGTGATGTTTAATTTTATAGCATCAAGAGGCAAAGCAACTCACCTGAAAAAATTTAAGAAAGAACAAAAAGAGAAACACAATATGATTAAAGGAAAACACAAATGAGATAGTTTTATAAACCCTAATGTAATAGATAATGCTAATCAAGATAAAGGTAAAGGAATAAAATATTTTGGCCACAAAATAAAAACTCAGTTTGGACAAAACAAAGAATAAGTCCTCTAAAATATTGTAAGCATGTATAAATGAGATACAACTGAAATCAATTTTTTAAATGTTGTAAATAAAATGGTAAAAAAGTCATACCACATAAAAAGGAAATAAAAATATGAAAAATATAAGTTGCTACAAAAAATTCTAACAACAAATCAAAAAGATGTATTAATCATGAACAGCGTGCCCTGGCAATCCAGCCACAAAATATAAAAAGAAAAAAATTGAGAAGACAAGACATAGCATAAAAAAAAAATGAACAAGAATTTATCAACAACTATTGTTAAAAAATTGATTGAGCAGCCCAAAATAGGCAAAAGTATAATGTATTTATATATTCACCATAAATTTAAGCATGTTAAAATTAATATGCTATTAAAGTTCCTTTTTTATTCTTGTAAATGAATTAGATTTTTTCATACTGTATAATCCTCCATAATTATTCAATTTCTTTTACATAGAAGATATCATGTTTATTTCCTCCAACATTTATAAGCCATATGTCTTATATTGTTGAAATTTATATGTATAAATTCCCAATTGTTTAAATATAATCTAATATTACTTCAAATATATATATATATAATATTACTTCAAATACACACATATATATACATATATATATGTAAAGTATTATTTTTTTTAGTCCATTAGGGCTATCATTTAAAATGCCATAAACTAGGTAGCTATTGAATAACAGAAATTTGTGTTTCATAGTCCTGTAGACTGGGACATCCAAAATCAAGTTAGATTCAGTGACAGTTGTGGGCCCACTTCCTGGTTTATAGACGGTGGTCTTTTTACTGTCATCTCACATGGCAGAAGTGGGGAGAGGCTCTCTGGGGCTTCTTTAATACTGGAACTAGTCTCTTTCATGAGAATACTCATGACTTAATCATTTCATAAATGCCACACCTCCTAATACTATTATCACCTTGAGGGTTAGGATTTCAACAGATGAATTTTGAGGGTAATACAAATATTTAAATTAAAGCAAATCTTGGTCAGATTAGCAATCAAATCCCATGACATTGTTTTTTTTTTTTTTAATTATGTTAGTTTCTGGGGCATGTGCAGGTTTATTACATACGTAAATTGCATGTCACTGGGGTTTGGTGTAAAGACTATTTTTAACACCCAGGTAATAAGCATACTACCATACAGGCAGTTTTTCTGTCCTCACCTTCCTCCCAACCTATACCCTCAAGCAGGCTCTGAAGTCTGTTGTTCCGTTTTTTGTGTCCATATGAATGGATGTTTAGCTCCCATCTATAAGTAAGAACATGTGGTATTTATTTTTCTGTCTCTGCATTAGTTCACTTAGGATAATGGTGTATAGATCCATCCATGTTGCTGCAAAAGACATGACCTCATTATTTTGTATGCCTGCATAGTATCCCATGGTGTATATGAACAACATTTTCTTTATCCAGTCTACCATTGATGAGCATCTAGATTGATCACATGCCTTTGCTGTAGTGAATAGTGCTGCAATGAAGACACACAATGCATTTGTCTTTATGGCAGAATTATATATATCCTTTTGGGTATATACCCAGTAATGAGATTGCTGGTCTGAATGATAGTTCTGTTTTAAGTTCTTGTAGAAATCACCATACTGCTTTCCACAATGGCTAAACTAATAGACATTCCCATCAGTAATGTATAAGCACTCCCTTAACTCTGCAAGCTAACCAGCATCTTTTATTATATGACTGTCTAATAGTAGCCATTCCGACTGCTGTTGAAGTGTATCTCATTTTGGTATTGATTTGCACTTCTTTAACTATTAGTGATGTTGACCTTTTTATATGTTTCTTGGTTGTATGTCTTCTTTTGAAAAGTGTCTGCTCATGTCCTTTGTCCACCTTTTAATGGGGTTGTTGGGTTTTTGCTTGTAAATTTGTTCGAATTCCTTATAGATTATGTATATTAGACCTTTGTCAGATGATATTTTGCAAATATTTTCTCTCATTCTGTAGGTTGTTTGCTTACTCTGTTGATAGTTACTTTTGCTGTGCAGAAGCACTTTACTTTAATTAGGTTCCATTTGTTAACTATTGTTCTTGTTGCAATTGCTTTTGGCATTTTTGTCATAAAATCTTTGCTCAGTTTTATTTCCATAATGGTATTTCCTAGCTTATCTCCTGGAGTTTTACAGCGGAATTTTTTTTTGTTTTTGATACTGAGTCTCACTCTACTGCCCAGGCTGGAGTGTGGTGGCACAATCTCAGCTCACTGAAACCTCTGTCCCCCAGGTTCAAGTGATTCTTGTCCTTCAGCCTCCCGAGTAGCTGGGATTACAGGCACCTGTCACCACGCCTAGCTAATTTTTGTATTTTTAGTAGAGACGGGGTTTCACCATGTTGGCCCGGCTGGTCTCTATCTCCTGATCTCGTGATCCACCTGGCTCAGCCTCCCAAAGTGCTGGGATTACAGGCGTCAGCCACTGTGCCTAGTCATAGTTTTAGGTTTTACATTTAAGTCTTTAACCTATCTTGTCTTGATTTTTGTTTATGGTGTAAAGAAAGGGTATAGTTTCAATATTCTGCATATGGCTAGCCAGTTATCTCAGTACCATTTATTGAATAGCAGTCCTTTCTCCAATGCTTGTTTATGTCAGCTTTGTTGACTATCAAATGGTTGTTAAGTGTGTCGCCAATATTTAAACAATTGGGAATTTATACACATAAATTTCAATAGTATAAGACATATGGCTTATAAATTTTGGAGGAAATAAACATAATATCTTCTATGTAAAAGAGACTGAATAATTGTGGAGGATTATACAGTATGAAGAAAATTGAATTTATTCATTTCCAAGAATAAAATAAGGGACTTTAATAGATAGCATATTAATTTTAATATGCTTCAATTTATGGTGGATATATAAATATATTATACTGTTGCCTATTTGGGCCTGCTTAATCAATTTTTTAACAATAGTTGTTGATAAATTCTTTTTTTCTGGGTTCTCTATCTGTTCAATTGGTCTATGTGTCTGTTTTTGCACTCATACCAGGGGATTTTGGTTACTGTAGCCATTTAGTATAGTTTGAAGTCAAGTAATGTGATGTCTCCAGCTCTGTTCTTTTTGCTTGGAACTGTCTTGCCTATTTGGGCTCTTTTTGGTCCCATATGAATTTTAAAATAGCTTTTTTTCTAATTCGGTGAAAAATGTCATTGATAGTTTGATAGGAATATCATTGAATGTGTGAACCGCTTCCGGTAGTGTGGCCATTTAAAAAATATTGATTCTGCCTATCCATAAGCATGGAATGTTGTTCCATTTAATTGTGTTATCCCTGATTTCTTTGAGCGGTATTTTGTAATTTACATTGTAGAGATTTCTCACCTCCCTGGTCAGCTCTTTTCCTAGGTATTGCATTGTTTTGTGGCTACTGTGAATGGGAATGTGTTCTTGATTTGGCTTTCAGCTTGAATGATTTTGGTGTATAGGAATGCTACTGAATTCCATACATTGACTTTGTATCTTGAAATATTTCTGAAGTTGTTTATCTGATCAAGGAACTCTGAGCACAGACTATGGGGTTTTCTAGGTATAGAACCATGTCATCTGCAAATGGGGATAGTTTGACCTCCTCTGTTCCTGTTTGGATGCTTTGTCTTTCTTTCCCTAGGCTTATTGCTCTGCCCAGGACTTCCAGTACTATGTTGTACAGGAGTAGTGAGACAGGGTGTCCTTTTTTTTTTTTTTTTTTTTTTTCTAATTATCAAGGGGAACCCTTCCAGCTTTTTCTCTTTCAGTATGATGTTGGCTGTGGGTTTGTCATAGATGGCTCTTATTATTTTGAAGTATGTTCCTTCAATGTCTACTCAGTTGAGAATTTTTAACACAAAAGGATGTTGATTTTTATCAAAAGCCTTTTCAGCATCTATCGAGATAATCATGGTATTTTTTTTAGTTCTGCTTATATGATGAATTACATTTATTGCTTATATGATGAATTACATTTATTGATTTGTGTGTGTTGAAACCATCTTAAATCCAAGGGATAAAGTCTACTTCATCATGCTGGATTAGCTTTTTAACGTGCTTTTGGATTTGATATTTAGTTGAGGACTTTTGCATCTTTGTTCATCAAGGATATTGTCTGAAGTTTTTGTTGTTGTTGTTGTGTCTCTGCCAGATTTTAGTATCAGGATGATGCTGGCCTCATTGAATAAGTTAAGGAGGAATCCCTCCTCCTCAATTTTTTGAAATAGTTTCAGTCAGAATAGTAGCAGTTCTACCTTATACATCTGGTAGAATTTGGCTATGAATTCATCTGATTCTGGCTGGCAGGCTTTTTATTACTGATTTAATTCTGGAACTCATTTTTGGTCTGTTGAGGGCTTCATTTTTTTTTTTAACTGGTTCAGTCCTGGAAGGTTGTATGTGTCCAGGAATTCGCCCATTTTTTTTTTCCCCAGATTTTCCAGCTTGTGTGCATAGAGGTGTTCCTAGTGTTCTATGAGGGATTTTGTATTTCTGTGGGATCAGTGGTCAGGTCCCCTTTGTCATTTCTGATTGTTTTTATTTGGATCTTCTATCTTTTTTTATTTATCAGTCTAGCTAGTGGTCTATCTTATTAATGTGTTTCCTCAGAGGTTTCATTCATTTCTCTTTATTGTTTTTTTTCTTTATTTGTGTGGGACTGAGTTATTTCAGAGAGCTAGTCTTCGAGCTCTGAGATTCTTTCCTCAGCTTGGTCAATTCTGCTACTAATACTTGTGCATATATTCTGAAATTCTTGAAGTGAGCTTTACAGCTCTATCAGCTCAGTTTGTTTCTTTCTTTAAATGGCCATTGTGTGTTTCATCTCCCATATCATTTTATTGTATTCCTTAGAATTGTTGTATTTGTTTTTAACTTTCTCTTGAATATCAAAGATTTTTGTTCTCATCCATATTCTGATTCTATTTCTGAAATTTCTGCCATTTCAACCTGATTAAGAACCATTGCTGGGGAAATAGTGCAGTTATTTGGAGGTATGAAGACACTCTGCCTTTTTGAGTTGCCAGAGTTATTGCAGTGATTCTTCTCATCTGTGTGAGCTGATGTTCCTTTTATATTTGATACTGCTGTCCTTTGGATATTTTTAAAATTTCATTTTCTTTCATGTCCTTGGGAGTTTGATTGTGGTATAAGGTGGATTCAGTCAACTAGCTTTATTTCTGATAGGTTTTTAGGGGGCCAAGGCTCAGCTCAGCACTCCCGGGCTGTGTGATGTAACTCTGGGGGGTTATGGAGCCCCTAGGTGTGTTCTCTTCTCTCAAGGTTGGGCACCCGCTGTCCTGGAGGGGTCGTGGTGTTTCCAGACCACTGGCCACAACACTCTGAAGGGTGGTGCCCGTCAAAGTGCTTCATGGGGTGAAGGCTGCAGGATCTGTGCTTGTTTGCATATGCCAGCAGCAGCAGCAGTGTGGCAGGGTGCCTGCTTATTAGCTGGGCTGGGAGGTTGGTGGTCCAGGGGCTTCTGGCCTCAGTGAAGGTGTTGGCAGCGGCAGTGGTGGTGGTGCAGTATGGTGAAGTTGGAAAGGGTGGGTGTGACCCCTGGGGTCTGTGTGTGCATTTGAACAGTGGCAGTGTCTGCACAAGGGCAGGGTGTTCGTGGGCATGGGGCTGGTGACCTCAGTGTATGCATTCACACCATGACTGTGACGTACTTGTGTGTGTTTGCACAAGCAATGGCGGCTTGGCAGCAGGTGTGGGTGCACTCAGGCTGGTAACAATGGCACAATAGAGTGCACATGCACCCACAGTGGGCAGGGAAGGGGATGCAAGGTCCATCCATGTGATGGCAAAGCAATGGAGGGGTGGTCGTGGGCAGGTGCATGCCGGCAAAGTGGCATGGGTTAGGTTTTGTGGGTAGACTGCTGTGTATTGGTGGTGGCCACTCTGCTGGAGCTCATCAAAGGTCAAGCACAGTCTGTCAGCATAGGAGCTATGACGCAAGTCCCTGGAATGCACCATGGTTGGGCATTTAAGGCTGCACTGCAAGCAGGCATGTCCAAGCTGCGACCCTGGGAGGGGTCAACAGACGGAAGTACATTCACGTCAGACTGGGCCGGTCTCATGGGCAAGATCATACTGCTCTGTTGAGTCCCGGCAGTTCTCCTAAGCTAGAGTCTCTTACGGGAGAATGGTGAGCCTTGGAGAATGGGTGTCCTTGGCCATGCTCCCCTCCAGATATTCCTGCATCAAACCATATGGGCTCCACATAGGCTGAAGTTCTGCTCCCACCTCCTCTATAAGAAGCCACCTCTATTAGGAAGGTAAGCAATCACAATGGTTTTAGTTAGTATGAGGTGAGTAAATGTGGACAGAATTGGTCAAATTCAAGAACTTTTTTTTTTTTTTTTTTTTTTTTTTTTCCCTGAGACAGAGTCTCGGTCTGTTGTTCAGGCCGTAGTGCGGTGGCACGATCTCAGCTCACTGTAACCTCCGCCTCCTGGGTTCAAGTGATTCTCCTGCCTCAGCTTCTCGAGTAGCTGGGACTACTGGCACATGCCACAATGCCCAGCTAATTTTTGTATTTTTAGTAGAGATGGGGTTTTGCCATGTTGGCCAGGCTGGTCTCGAACTCCAGGCCTCAACAGATCCGCCTGTCTCAGCCTCCCAAAGTGTTGGGATTACAGGGATGAACCACCTCTTCCAACCTCCAAAAATATATTTTGAAGGTAGAAATGACAAATATTCCCTGGAAATCTGTTCTTGAACACTATATGTTATTCTCCTAGAACTTAGTTCACAGTTATAAACATAGTTAAAGAAAGAGCTATGGTAGAAGGAAGTATTGGTAAGTCTTTGGAAAGGCAAGAGAGAAAAAGTTCTAAAGGGATCAAATTTATGCTTAGGATGCAAAAGTTTTTCATTAACTTTAGTAATTTTAATAGCTGCTGAACACATTTAAGATTTCTACATTAGAGTTATTTACTGAAGAGAAACTTCCCTAAGGAAAGGAGTTCCTGTCCTACTTCAAGGGAATTAATTTTAAAAGAGGGCAAGAAGTAAAAATTGGTAGAGATAGAGATAGAGGCAGAGAGAGGAGAACAATTTTATGAGATTGCACTAATGCATTAAAATTTGATAAATTGAAAATATATAATGATAATTACACTAAAAATCATTCTTGCTACGCTATCCTTCTGATGGTTCACTATATTCTTGTAAAAGATATAAACTCAAATATTTGCATTTGATTTTTTAGGAGATCATTATGTTATTGAGGCTGCAGGCTATATGCTGTTATGATGAATATGATACTAAGCTATTAACATATGAGAAATAGAATTAATTTGAAATAGCTACAATTAAAACCTTGTTCAAATCTTTCTCTTAACCTACATTGTACAGATATTGATACTTATGCTATTTTTGTTTTAGTCTTTCTAATAAAAGGTGACACTTTGGCCAAATGTCATTTCTTCAAGAAAAAAGTATGTATTTATTAACTGGGAGGTCTGAATCCTACAGGTGCCTCTTTAGCCCATACAGTGTTGAAGAAAAAAATTGCAAACACACCTTCAAGTTTGTCTCCAATGTCTCATCTAAAATAAATCTTTCTCTTTTTAAAAATGTAATATTTCTGTGTTTGTGTGTGTTTGTGTCTGTGTCTGTGTGTGTGTGTAAAGTTCATTCCGCTGAATGTGTATTGATCTTTTCAAGAGAAATACGAAGTGTCTTAGTGTGTTTCTCTTGCTATATCATGATACCACACTATGGGTAATTTATAATAAAATAAATTTATTTCTTATAGTCCTAAAGCCTGGAAAGTCCAAAGTCAAAGATTCTGCCATCAGTGAAGGCCATCTTGCTGGGTCATAACACAGTGATGGGCATCACATGGTCAGAAGGTTAGAAGAGAGAAAGCCAAAATGGCTTTTTAGAGGACCCATTCTGGAGATAGTTAACTCACTCCCCCAATAATCCATTAATTCACTATTTCAAAATTCATGAATAGATTAGTACATTCATGAGGACAGAGCCTTTATCAACTAATACTTCTTACAGGTCTAACATGAATTTTGGGGAGGAAACCCAAATTAGAGCAGGAAGCAAGAAAAGAAAAAACAAAGGGCTAATTATAATCTTATGACCACACAAATTTAAAAATGGCTGGCTAAGGAGACCATCAGTCTATTTCCATTATCTTTCATATTGGTATTATAACCTTATAAAGTATATTACATTATATAAATTATTAGAAGAATAGTAATTATGTAGATTTTATCATGGTAATTTTCTAAAGCATGCAATATTTAAATAATCTTATTATTTCTGAATTATGAAATATCTTAGCAATTACATAGCCAACTTATTTTAAAATGATACAAAATAATTTGTTTTTCATCTAATTCTGACCTGCTAGATGACCAAGAAAAATTTGAGGTTTTCACGATTTACTTTTATTACTACATCTTGAAATATGCGATAAACCGTATTTCTTATATTCCAATTCCAGAATTTTTGAATAAATATCTTAAGTGGGTCACAGAAATGCAAAGGTTAACAATATCTAGACAATTTTGTTGCAAGTGGTTCTTGGGATATATTTTAGAAAAAACATTTCATTTTTGGATGTGTTCACAATAGACAAAATCATATCCGTACTATTTTTCTTAACGTTCTACTGACTTGAATGACATGTTTTCTGAAATCCTTAGAGGACAAAAAATATGTATACATGTTTTTTTTGCTCTGCATAAATATCAATAATTTAAATTAGGAAAAGTATTTTACACCACAGAAAGTCATTGCAGTTTATGCTTGTAAGCAACAAATGATCACTTCATGAATGTAATGGACTATGACTAAGTTGTACATTCTGAGTACAAAACTAGGACTGATAACTCTAGCTTGAAAGGAATGTCAAATCAATTTATTAATATTCTTCTTACTTTTACATTTGATTTAAACAGAAAATTTAATTTAAAGAAATCTTACACTGATTTTATATTACAGTGATATTATATGGTAATTTCAGGTAATAATTTATTAAAGTTTTTGAAATAGATTTCAGATAATCAAGTAACTACAGAGCACATAATATTTAAGTTAAGAAAATAGCCTTAAGTTGATATTTGTAATGAATGAAACTGTATGACTTACTAAATCTACTAAATGATTGAGCCATCAATATAGAACCATTGGAAAAATGTGTGAATTCATCAACTGTTCTTCTTTCATGACCTTAGTAATTAATCATTTGAACTTTATTAATAACATACATGAAATATAAGAAAAGAATGAATTAAACAATGGAGATACTTTATATTTTGCCATGTACCACAAATAAATGACTATTTTTCCACACTTAGGCAATTAAAATTTTATTTTAGTTTTAATTAATACTAATATAGTGACTTGAAAAAATAAGTATTTAGTGTCAATACTGATTTATATTTTATTAAGACATTTCTTGAAATTTTCCAATGGTTAGTTTTAAGTTAAATTCCAAAAATAAAGTCAAATGCATACATATGTTTTTGATACTGAGATACTACTACTAAAATTGGTTCTATGTACACACAAGCCCACACATCTCTTAGAAGCGTGGTACAATTAAGCTATTGGAAGTCTTGATATTCTAGATTCACTTCTAACCAAGATGATCCATTGCAGGATTCTCTAGATTATATGTCTACTAAAATTGGCTAAAATCAATAGAACAGAAAGATGAATTGTCCACTTCTTATTTATACTCAATTGGTGAAAGTCACACATTGAAAATGTTTCTTACTGTTAATAGAACATTTACAAATAGTGTATTGAATTTTCATGTAGTTTTTTAGGGAAGTGGAGTCTGGAGCCAGAATCTAGTCTCAATCCTTGCTCTGACACACAGCTGCATAAATTTTGAATCTACCTTTCCTTCTTGTGTCTAAATTTTCTCATATAAAATGAGCATTATATTAGAATATGTTTCAGAGGGGTGTTTTGTTATTTGTTATGCAGATTCAAGGTAGAACCTTCTGTGTAGAAAATGTATAGAATAGGACCTGGCATATCATTAGCTGTATCTATCTATCTATGTATCTATACTATATATGTATATATGGACACACATACATATATAGAGAAATATATATATAAAGTAATATGTGTATTATATGTACATATATATATATAAGCTCTTAGTATATTTATTATTTTTACATTATTTGTTTTGTTTATATTGTTTCTCCTGGCATTGTCCCATGCATCAGGGAAACACAAATGAGTAAGATGTAATTTCTCTCTAAGAATCTCAGACAAATAGAGGTTCCTAGTCTATTTAATAATTACAATTGACCCTTGAGTGACACAGGTTTGAACTATGTGGGGCTGCTTATATGTGAATTTTTTTTCTGCCTGTGCCATCCCTAAGATGGCAAGACCACATGTATACATATGTAACAAACCTGCACGTTGTGCACATGCACGCTAAAACTTAAAGTATAATAATAAAATATAAAAAAAAGATAGCAAGACCAACTCCTCTTCTTTCTCCTTCTCTTCAGCCTTCTCAATGAGAAGACAGTAAGACTTAAGAACTTTGTAATAATCTATTTCCAATTAATTAACAGTAAGTGTATTTTCTCTTCCTCATGATTTTCTTAATAACATATTTTCTTTACCTTATTGTAAGAATACACAATATAATACATATAACATACAAATATGTGTTAATTGACTGTTTATGTTATTGGTAAGGCTTCCAGTCAACAGTAGGCTATTAATAGTTAAAATTGGGTGGACTCAAAAGTCTTATGCACATTTTTGACTGTTCAGGGAAGGAGAATGTAAGTACCTCTAACCCTCATAGTTTTCAAGGATCAGCTAGAAAAATATTTCATTAATTGGAGATGATGGAGGTGAAAAGAGGTAAAATGAAATACTCTCGGGGGGTGGAGCCAAGATGGCCAAATAGGAACAGCTCTGATCTACAGCTCCCAGTGTCAGCGACGCAGAAGACGGGCGATTCTGCATTTCCATCTGAGGTACTGGGTTCATCTCACTAGGGAGTGCCAGACAGTGGGTGCAGGACAGTGGGTGCAGCGCACCATGCACGAGCCGAACCAGGGCGAGGCATTGCCTCACTTGGGAAACGCAAGGGGTCAGGGAGTTCCCTTTCCTAGTCAAAGAAAGGGGTGACAGATGGCACCTGGAAAATCGGGTCACTCCCACCCTAATACTGTGCTTTTCCAACGGGCTTAAAAAACGGCACACCAGGAGATTATATCCCACACATGGCTGGGAGGGTCCTATGCCCACGGAGTCTCCCTGATTGCTAGCACAGCAGTCTGAGATCAAACTGCAAGGTGGCAGCCAGGCTGGGGGAGGGGCGCCTGCCATTGCCCAGGCTTGACGAGGCAAACAAAGCAGCCGGGAAGCTCGAACTGGGTGGAGCCCACCACAGCTCAAGGAGGCCTGCCTGCCTCTGTAGGCTCCACCTCTGGGGGCAGGGCACAGACAAACAAAAAGCAGTAACCTCTGCAGACTTAAATGTCCCTGTCTGACAGCTTTGAAGAGAGCAGTGGTTCTCCCAGCACGCAGCTGGAGATCTGAGAACGGGCAGACTGCCTCCTCAAGCAGGTCCTTGACCCCCAAGAAGCCTAACTGGGAGGCATCCCCAGTAGGGGCAGACTGACACCTCACACAGCCAGGTACTCCTCTGAGACAAAACTTCCAGAGGAACGATCAGGCAGCAGCATTTGTGGTTCACCAAGATCCGCTGTTCTACAGCCACTGCTGCTCTGTAGCCACCACTGCTGATACCCAGGCAAACAGGGTCTGGAGTGGACCTCTAGCAAACTCCAACAGACCTGCAGCTGAGGGTCCTGTCTGTTAGAAGGAAAACTAACAAACAGAAAGGATATCCACACCAAAAACCCTTTTGTACATCACCATCATCAAAGACCAAAAGTAGATAAAGCCACAAAGATGGGGAAAAAACAGGGCAGAAAAACTGGAAACTCTAAAAAGCAGAGCACCTCTCCTCCTCCAAAGGAATGCAGATGCTCACTTGCAATGGAACAAAGCTGGATGGAGAATGACTTTGACGAGCTGAGAGAAGAAGCCTTCAGACGATCCAATTACTCTGACCTACAGACGGAAATTCAAACCAATGGCAAAGAAGTTAAAAACTTTGAAAAAAAATTAGACGAATGGATAACTAGAATAACCAACGCAGAGAAGTCCTTAAAGGAGCTGATGGAGCTGAAAGCCAAGGCTCGAGAACTACATGAAGAATGCAGAAGCATCAGGAGCCGACGCGATCAACTAGAAGAAAGTGTATCAGTGATGGAAGACGAAATGAATGAAATGAAGCGAGAAGGGAAGTTTAGAGAAAAAAGAATAAAAAGAAACGAACAAAGCCTCCAAGAAATATGGGACTATGTGAAAAGACCAAATCTAAATCTGATTGGTGTACCTGAAAATGACGAGTAGAATGGAACCAAGTTGGAAAACACTCTGCAGGATATTATCCAGGAGAACTTCCCCAATCTAGCAAGGCAGGCAAACATTCAGATTCAGGAAATACAGAGAACGCCACAAAGATACTCCTCGAGAAGAGCAACTCCAAGACACATAATTGTCAGATTCACCAAAGTTGAAATGAAGGAAAAAATGTTAAGGGCAGCCAGAGAGAAAGATCGGGTTACCCACAAAGGGAAGCCCATCAGACGAACAGCGGATCTCTCAGCAGAAACTCTACAAGCCAGAAGAGAGTGGGGAACAATATTCAACATTCTTAAAAAAAAGAATTTTCAACCCAGAATTTCATATCCAGCCAAATTAGGCTTCATAAGTAAAGAATAAATAAAATACTTTACAGACAAGCAAATGCTGAGAGATTTTGTTACCACCAGGCCTGCCCTAAAAGAACTCCTGAAGGAAGCACTAAACATGGAAAGGAACAACCAGTACCAGCCACTAAAAACATGCCAAAATTTAAAGACCATCAAGGCTAGGAAGAAAACTGCATCAACTAACGAGCAAAATAACCACCTAACATCATAATGACAGGACCAAATACACACATAACAATATTAACTTTAAATGTAAATGGGCTAAATGCTCCAATTAAAAGACACAGACTGGCAAATTGGATAAACAGTCAAGACCCATCAGTGTGCTGTATTCAGGAAACCCATCTCACGTGCAGAGACACACATAGGCTCAAAATAAAGGGATGGAGGAAGATCTACCAAGCAAATGGAAAACAAAAAAAGCCAGGGGTTGCAATCCTAGTCTCTGATAAAACAGACTTTAAACCAACAAAGATCAAAAGAGACAAAGAAGGCCATTACATAATGGTAAAGGGATCAATTCAACAAGAAGAGCTAACTATCCTAAATATATATGCACTCAATACAGGAGCACCAAGATTCATAAAGCAAGTCCTTAGTGACCTACAAAGAGACTTAGACTCCCACACAATAATAACGGGAGACTTTAACACCCCACTGTCAACATTAGACAGATCAATGAGACAGAAAGTTAACAAGCATACCCAGGAATTCAACTCAGCTCTGCAGCAAGCAGACCTAATAGACATTTACAGAACTCTCCACCCCAAATCAACAGAATATACATTTTTTTCAGCACCACACCACACCTATTCCAAAAATGACCACACAGTTGGAAGTAAAGCACTCCTCAGCAAATGTAAAAGAACAGAAATTATAACAAACTGTCTCTCAGACCACAGTGCAATCAAACTAGAACTCAGGACTAAGAAACTCACTCAAAACCGCTCAACTACATGAAAACTGAACAACCTGCTCCTGAATGACTACTGGGTACATAACAAAATGAAGGCAGGAATAAAGATGTACTTTGAAACCAATGAGAACAAAGATACAACATAGCAGAATCTCTGGGACACATTCAACGCAGTGTGTAGAGGGAAATTTATAGCACTAAATGCCCACAAGAGAAAGCAGGAAAGATCCAAAATTGACACCCTAACGTCACAATTAAAAGAACTAGAAAAGCAAGAGCAAACACATTGAAAAGCTAGCAGAAGGCAAGAAATAACTAAAATCAGAGTAAAACTGAAGGAAATAGAGACACAAAAAACCCTTCAAAAAATTAATGAATCCAGGAGCTGGTTTTTTGAAAAGATCAATAAAATCAATAGACCTCTAGCAAGACTCATAAAGAAGAAAAGAGAGAAGAATCAAATAGACACAATAAAAAATGATAAAGGGGATATCACCACCGATCCCACAGAAATACAAACTACCATCAGAGAATACTACAAACACCTCTACACAAATAAACTAGAAAATCTAGAAGAAATGGATAAATTTTTCTACACATACACCATCCCAAGACTAAACCAGGAAGAAGTTGAATCTCTGAATAGACCAATAACAGGCTCTGAAATTGTGGCAATAATCAATGGCTTACCAACCAAAAAAAGTCCCGGACCAGATGGATTCACAGCTGAATTCTACCAGAGGTACAAGGAGGAACTGGTACCATTCCTTCTGGAACTATTCCAATCGACAGAAAAAGAGGGAATCCTCCCTAACTCATTTTATGATACCAAAGCCTGGCAGAGACACAACAAAAAAAAAGAGAATTTTAGACCAATATTCTTGATGAACATTGATGCAAAAATCCTCAATAAAATACTGGCAAACCGAATCCAGCAGCACATCAAAAAGCTTATCCACCATGATCAAGTGGGCTTCATCCCTGGGATGCAGGGCTGGTTCAACATACACGAATCAATAAATGTAATCCAGCATATAAACAGAACCAAAGACAAAAACCACATGATTATCTCAATAGATGCAGAAAAGGCCTTTGACAAAATTCAACAATCCTTCATGCTAAAACCTCTCAATAAATTAGGTATTGATGGGACGTATCTCAAAATAATAAGAGCTATCTATGACAAACACACAGCCAGTATCCTACTGAATGGGCAAAAACTGGAAGCATTCCCTTTGAAAACTGGCAAAAGACAGGGATGCCCTCTCTCACCACTCCTATTCAACATAGTGTTGGAAGTTCTGGCCAGGGCAATTAGGCAGCAGAAGGAAATAAAGGGTATTCAATTAGGAAAAGAGGAAGTCAAATTGTCTCTGTTTGCAGATGACATGATTGTATATCTAAAAAACCCCATCCACTCAGCCCAAAATCTCCTTAAGCTGATAAGCAACTTCAGCAAAGTCTCAGGATACAAAATCAGTGTAGAAAAATCACAAGCATTCTTATACACCAATAACAGACAAACAGAGAGCCAAATCATGAGTTAACTCCCATTCACAGTTGCTTCAAAGAGAATAAAATACCAAGGAATCCAACTTCCAAGGGATGTGAAGGACCTCTTCAAGGAGAACTACAAACCACTGCTCAAGGAAATAAAACAGGATACTAACAAATGGAAGAACATTCCATGCTCATGGGTAGGAAGAATCAATATCGTGAAAATGGCCATATTGCTCAAGGTAATTTATAGATTCAATGCCATACCCATCAAGCTACCAATGATTTTCTTCACAGAATTGGAAAAAAACTACTTTAAAGTTCATATGGAACCAAAAAAGAGCCCGCATTGCCAAGTCAATCCTAAGCCAAAAGAACAAAGCTGGAGGCATCACACTACCTGACTTTAAACTATACTACAAGGCTACAGTAACCAAAACAGCATGGTACTTATACCAAAACATAGATATAGATCAATGGAACAAAACAGAGCCCTCAGAAATAATGCCACATATCTACAACCATCTGATCACTGACAAACCTGAGAAAAACAAGCAATGGGAAAGGATTCCCTATTTAATAAACGGTGCTGGGAAAACTGGCTGGCCATATGTAGAAAGGTGAAACTGGATCCCTTCCTTACACTTTATACAAAAATTAATTCAAGATGGATTAAAGACTTACCTGTTAGACCTAAAACCATAAAAACCCTAGAAGAAAACCTAGGCAATACCATTCAGGACATAGGCATGGGCAAGGACTTCATGTCTAAAACACCAAAAGCAATGGCAACAAAAGACAAAATTGACAAATGGGATCTAATTAAACTAAAGAGCTTCTGCACAGCAAAAGAAAATACCATCAGAGTGAACAGGCAACCTACAAAATGGGAGAAAATTTTTGCAACCTACTCATCTGACAAAGGGTTAATATCCAGAATCTACAATGAACTCAAACAAATTTACAAGAAATAAACAAACAACCCCATCAAAAAGTGGGCGAAGGATATGAACAGACACTTCTCAAAAGACATTTATGCAGCCAAAAGACACATGAAAAAATGCTCATCATCACTGGCCATCAGAGAAATGCAAATCAAAACCACAATGACATACCATCTCACACCAGTTAGAATGGCCATCATTAAAAAGTCAGGAAACAACAGTTGCTGGAGAGGATGTGGAGAAATAGGAACACTTCTACACTGTTGCTGGGACTGTAAACTAGTTCAACCATTGTGGAAGTCAGTGTGGTGATTCCTCAGGGATCTAGAACTAGAAATACCATTTGACCCAGCCATCCCATTACTGGGTATATACCCAAAGGATTATAGATCATGCTGCTATAAAGACACATGCACACATATGTTTATTGCGGCACTATTCACAATAGCAAAGACTTGGAACCAACCCAAATGTCCAACAATGATAGACTGGATTAAGAAAATGTGGCACATATACACCATGGCATAGTATACAGCCATAAAAAATTATGAGTTCATGTCCTTTGTAGGGACATGGATGAAACTGGAAACCATCATTCTCAGCAAACTATCGCAAGGACAAAAAACCAAACACCGCATGTTCTCACTCATAGTTGGGAATTGAACAATGAGAACACATGGACACAGGAAGGGGAACATCACACATCGGGGACTGTTGTGGGGTGGGGGGAGTGGGGAGGGATAGCATTAGGAGATATACCTAATGCTAAATGAAGAGTTAATGGGTGCAGCACACCAACATGGCACATGTATACATATGTAACAAACCTGCACATTGTGCACATGTACCCTAAAACTTAAAGTATAATAATAATAAAATAAAATCAAATAAAGAAAAAAATCACAAAAATAGAACAAGTTTTAAAGAAAACAGAAAAAACGAAAAAAAAAAAAAGAAAATTGCTTTTCTGTTTTCCTAAGCCTGGTCAGAAAGAAAGAATGAGAATGAATTAATAAGTTGGAAATATTCTATTTTTTACTACTCCAATTAAACATTGATAAAATATTTGGAATAATAAAAGACTTTATTCCATCTACATATGAACAATTTGGACTGACGATGATAATATAATGATTTGCTTGATTTAAAAAAAAAAAGAAATAGTCTCAAAATTAGTGTCATATAGGTTTTAGGAGTCATTTGCCAACCTTCTATTTCTATCCAAGCTTCCAAATACCACTCCTATTTGAGGACTGTTCTCCATTATGTGTTGTATTATTGGAACACTGTTTTCCATTTCCCACATATAGACTAAATCACAAAGCATTCCCTTTACATTGACCCAAGATAAGGTATATTCAAGTAGTCCAGGCTTAAACCACAGAGTAGAGAGCCTTGAGCTTTACATTTGAAATGAGTCATATAAAAATACAGAACTAGTTATCATTTTGGATTTTTTAGTAACTGAAAATGGGATACCAGCAGTGGTGTCTAGAGGAAGCTGTATTCTACTCTAGAGGTGGGAGTGTTTTGATCAATCTGGGGCTACTTAAAGATTGAGTTTTAAGACAACAAATATCTGAATTGTAAGTTTGAGTTTTAAGACAACAAATATCTGAATTGTAAGTTTGATTCCATTAGTCTTACAAATTATAAGATCTCTCATAACTGTTTAGTAGATTACTGTATAATCTCTTGCTTCACATACTCAGAGTCAAGTTTTAGTTCTTGTAACCAAGAATTATGTTTGACACAAAATATAATCTGATTGCAAATGTAAATTGCATTCCTCATGTATTAGCCTATAGTGTAGACAATTCTTCTCTAGGAAAATGCATTTAGGAGTAGGTTCCAATCCAATCATTTTTCTGAAGTACAGATTGTGAGAAAAATATCTTAATTTATCTTGGAAAATACAAATTTCTCCTATTATTTTATGGTTTTTTTGTTAATTTCTAGAGATGTGGTGAAATTAGAGAGAAGCTAGAAAGTGGAACTAAGGAAGATTATAAACAATTTCATTTGCTATTTTTAAAGTTTATCGAGGGTTGTCTAAGGTCACTAACATATCAGGACTTGACTGTTCCGTGGATGCTCCTCAGTGACTCCTAGAATTTCAGTATCTAGCAGTATTGAAAAATAACTTCCAGAGCTATTCTGTTTTGATTCAGGTGCAATTTTGTCCCAAGTTTTGCTTCAAATATATTTTTACTTAAGCTCTCTTTCCCCATTTCTTGCTTCTTTCTAATCTTCACATTCTCCTTATCTTCCTTAAGTAGGAAATTTAATTTTGACCAAAATATGACACAGTTCCCAAATTGCCATGTGCTGCTGCTTTTAAAGTGGTTCCTCAACTAGTAATTAAAAATAATAAAAGTTCTATCTCTTATATCTATGCAAAGTTTCTAGGATATTTTACATTAGCCAAGCGTAGCAATATGAAAGCAAACATGCATATAAAATCCCATCTCATAAGTAAAGCACTGGAAACCAGAGCCAGTAGCTTACCAGAGTAAAAGTTAATGAAACACAATGTATTAAGCTTTGAGATGAAAATCTATTATTCAACTCCAGCTTTGATAAATTTTTATCAGAAGAATAAGTAACTATAATTTCAATTTTAAAAAGGTGCTCATTTTCAAAAGAATTAAATTATTTTAATATTTTTAAATACATTTTTGTGAAAGGTCATTTAACATCTTAAATATAATTTATTGTTAAATAAAATTCATATGGAGATTATTAAACACTGTTTGGAAAAAGAGAAGTATGTATTCCATGATTTTCAATGGTGTTTGAGAGAATGTATTCTTAGCTGACGAGTCATAAATTCCATACCAAAAATGTCTAATAATAACTGCATGTAGCTATCTCTAATCCATTATGATTGGTGAAAACAAGAAAAAAAATGACCATTCTTAAGAGCAACAGAATGAGAATGAGGAGAAAGTAATGTCTAATGTTTTAATACATGCCAGACACTAGGCCAACACTTACAGAAATTATCTTTTTTTAGTATAGGAAAGGGAAAGTTACCGCTTTGCTGCCGGTAGCAAAGATAAAGATGAACAAATAGTAATACAGATCTACATTCCCATGCCAAATTCCTTCATTTTAAACTTCTTCACTACTCTCAATGAATAAATTGTTTAAGCTATTAAACATAAATCAATGTCTTATACTATATGAAAATAATAATCAGACCCTATAGCTCATCTTTTAAGAATAGTTTTAGAATTAGAAGTTTTGAATTTAAAAAATTCCAAATGTATTTTAGTAAAGCAGAAATATTTTCTGTTTCTTTTTAGAAATTTAATGGCTAAGAAAGGGAAGAACGAAAGGGGACATGAGATGTGAACACATGCTTTAGCTTTGTATTCTTCATTAAATATCCCAATACAATTGTTAGTTCAATGAATTTTTAATGTGCTGTGCTTAGTTACATTATACTTTCATTCATTATGATTTCTATTCCTCATTCAGGATGTCAACCATATTACGTGCATGCTAAATTTTACAACTCAGATTTCTCTTAACCAAGTCAGAAATTAGGCTTGCTGTATTTAAAAACATCTGGGATTTGTTGCTAGAGAATGCCATCGATGTGTAGGACTCTGGGAGCATCTGCATATTTGACTTTAATATTTTATTTCCTTTTGAAGAAAATGTTAGAATTATAAAATTGGAGAAAAGATAATTCTTTGTCCATTATAAATTCTATTGTTATGTGCGTTAATTTATATCAGAGATGAAGTTTTACTGGTACAACACAGTTGCTATGTAAATAAACACATAGGACGCCAACGAGTTAATCTCCAATTGTCATTTTTGACGTGAAGTATTTCCTACTTATATGAAAGCCAGTCATTCAGAAAATAAATGAAATGAATAAGAAAATAAAGTAGCTTAAAAAATAAATGTCTTAATCTCTGAGAAATATGGATATAGGATGAAGATTTTCTTTTCTCTCTCCTTTGAATGAGTGTCCTTATTATGGCTTTATGATTCTAATGCTTTCTAATATAAGGTCTAGGATAAAACTGATTTCCAATATATGTTCTGAAAAGAAAAGTAAGATTACCTTGATAATTACATTCAAGCACACATATCCGTGTATCTGTAGTGATAAGTGCCAGGGCCATAGATGCTCCTGAAGAAGACAGGGAATGCCCCTAAATCACTTTTCCACACTATATATAAATAAATAATCATGTGTCTCTGGAGGAGATAGTTTTCCAAGTCTCTGACACTTCTGCAAGTCTATATATTAACAGTCTTGGAAGTTAGAAAAACTGTTTCTATGTGGATCAGTTAGCAAATTTATTCATATTCTTTATGTAGAGAAATACCAAGATAGGCCTCCTTCCTTTCCCCATGGGCAAAGTGTGGGCAGATTTGTCAGCCATCCCTAATAATTTTAGAGGTTCGTATGCTGAGTGTTCTTCAACTATGGCAAAAATCACCATGTGTTCACCATCTGCCTAGGCACACATGAAGCTCATGTTCTCTTCTGTGCCATTAGCAGCATTCTGTCTAAATCTATGTGGGCTCATTATGTTTTTCTTACAACTAATTTTATATATATTTTTATATATATATATATATATATACACACACACACATATAATGTATATGTTATATATGCACAGATATGCATATATATCTGTATGTATTTTATTTGTACATCAAAAATAAAAACATCTTATAAAGGTTCACAAAGAAGAACTCCAAAATACCAACAATTTAAAGCAACAGCTTGCATTGTCATGGATTAAATTCTCAGACTATAGTTTAACAAAACAATAATTATGCTACACTGGAGAGTAACAACTCCAAACCTTATGTACTTGAAATTGTAAGAGGGTCGGCCGGGCACGGTGGCTCACGCCTGTAAATCCCAGCACTTTGGGAGGCCGAGGTGGGCGGATCACGAGGTCAGGAAATCGAGACCATCCTGACTAACACGGTGAAACCCCTTCTCTACTGAAAAATAGAAAAAATTAGCCGGGCGTGGTGGCGGGCGTCTGCAGTCCCAGCTACTCGGGAGGCTGAGGCAGGAGAATGGTGTGAACCCGAGAGGCGGAGCTTGCAGTGAGCAGAGATGGCGCCACTGCACTCCAGCCTGGGCGACAGAGTGAGACTCCGTCAAAAAAAAGAAAAAAAAGAAATTACAAGAGTCAAAAAAAAACACATAAAAGACACACAAACAACAAAACTTCTAAGCAGCGATCACTTAGATAACAATTAGTAGTGGATCTGAAATGTATTTTTTTTCCCTTTACCTTGGAGACAAATCTTGGAGGAAAAAAGTGGTCCAGTAAAACTCTCTTAAAAATATGCTGTTGACATGTTTTTTAAAACACATTGATATGTGTTTTAATAAGCACATTACTTGGATCTGAACATGAAAGAGTCCTTACTTATAGGATGTTTTTAGCAGAGTGTACCTATTCTGTATAGGACTCCCATGGTGAACAAATCTATAATCTATAGATTTATGCATTGTTTTTGGAAAATGTCATAAAATAATGCAAATATCAGTGTATAAAATAGTAGAAATTTCTTAAATGAAATATTTCCCTTTTCTTCCAGTTTTTTGAGGTATAATTAACACATAAAATTATATATATTTAAGGTATACATAAATTTTGAAATCTTTATATATTGTAAAATGATTGTCACAGTGAAATTAATTAATACCTCCTCACCTCAGTTATCTCTGTGTGGTGTGTGTGTAGGGGGTTGGAACACATAGGTCTACACTCTTATCAAATTATAGAATGTCAGACTGTGATACTAACTATAATATTTTCAGATATTATAATCACTATGCTACACATTGGATATCCAAAACTTATTAATCCTATAACCTTTTGTTGGTACTGTTTGGCTAATATCTTCACATACCCCACCCACCTCACTCCCAACAGCTCCTGGCAACCATCTTTCTATACTCTGCTTCTATAAGTTTGACTTTTATAGACTCCACATATAACAGAGATCATGCAGTACTTGTCTTTCTGTGACTGGCTTATTTCACTTAGCATAATGTCCTCCAGGTTATCTATGTTGTCACACATGGCTTGATTTCCTTCTTTTGTATGGCTGAATAATATTCTGTTTTGTATACATGCCACATTTTAAAATCCATTTATTTGTTGACAGACACTTAGGTTGTTATCATATCTTGGTTATTGTCAATATGGCTGTAATAAAGACATACTGCATCTTTTTAACCTTTGATTTGACTAACATTTCCCCATTTCTCCCGCTTTGCTGCCTCTGGGGACCACCATTTTACTCTCTGCTTCTACGTTTTTGACTTTTTTAGATTCCACATATAAGTGAGATGGGACAGTGTTTTCCTTTCTGTGTCAGGCTGACTTTATTTAGTAAGTGAATGCTGCAATGTATATAAGGGTGTGTAAAACAAGTTCACTGGGTACGGGTAACCAACTTGTCTGAGTCCAGTGAAACAAACACTCACACAGGATGAATTACATGAATGGGACTTATTACTTACAGAAAGGCAGCCAGGGATAACAGAAGCCCAGGATTCATTTTGAGTTGCTCTCCCAAGGCTCAGGAGAGCTGCACAGGAGTTGATGGAGTCTTAACTGCGCATGCCTTACTTGCACTGCAGCTGAGGGACCCCAAAATGCTGCGCTGAAAAGGTTGTATACCCAGGGACAATTTAAGTTGTTGGATGAAAGTGTCGAAGGACCTCCTTTTTTCTGAGTGGTTTGGTAGAGGAACAAGAACAGAATCCAACCTATTTCTGACACTCCTTCTCTATCTCAGAATGTTGCATACCCAGCATATTCTACAGTTATTAGTGAGAACTACAAATTAGAAGATGGAAGAACTGAGTTGGTCTAAAGCCATCATGAGAACTGTCTTCCAGGGTGTAAATATCTCTTTCAATATACTGAATTTATTTACTTTGGTTTTATACCCAGAAGTAGAATTTCTGGATCATATGGCAGTTCTATTTATAATTTCTTAAGCAATATCTACAGTTTTTTATAATGCCTGTACAAATTTATATTTGCTTTGTAAAAGGGTTTACTTTGCCACAGATCCTCACTAGCACTTGTTATCTGTCTTTATTTTTTATAGTAACCATCCTAACACGTGTGTGGTGGTACCCCATTGTGGTTTTGACTTATATTTCCTTATTCATAATTAATGATGTTTGGGATCTTTTTATATACTGGTTGGCCATTTGTAAGTCTTTGTTGGAAAAATGTCTATTAGATCCTTTGCCCATTTTTTAATCAGGTTATTTGCTCTTTTGATATTGATTTTACACATATTTTGTATATATTTTGTTTATTAACCTCTTATTAGATATATTGATTGCAAACATTTCCTAATATTCTGTAGGCTGCCTTTCATTTTGTTGACTGTTTTCTCTGCTGTACAGAATTTAGTTTGATGTACAATAGTCTTTCTTGATTATTTTGCCTCCATTGCCTGTGCTTTGACTGTAATATTAAAAAATATTGCCAACACTCTTTTTCTATGTTTTTGGTAGTGTTTTATGGTTTCAGTTCTTACATTTAAGTCTTTAATCACTTTTGAATTTTTTTGTGTGTATAGTGTAAAAAAGAGGCCTATTTTATTCTTTTCAGGTAGATATTCAGTTTTTTCCAGAACTACTGAAGAGATTATCCTTTTCCATTATGTATTCTAGGTGATCTTGTCAAAGATTAGCTAACTGTATTTGCATGAGTTTATTTCTGGGCTACTTATTCTACTCCATTTGTCTATATATGTATTTTGAGGCCAATGACATACTTTTTTGATCACTTTAGCTTTGTAATATAGTTTGAAATCAAGGCATGTGATGTCTCCAGCCTTCCTCTTTTCTCAAGATTCCTTTGACTGTTTGAGGTCTTTTCTAGTTCAATATGAGTTTAATTTTGTTTTTCTTCTTTGAAAAATTATATTGGAATTTTGACAGGAATGCATTGAATTTATAGATAACTCTGGGTAAAATGAGCACTTTAACATCATTAATGCTTTAAATTCATGGCCATTCTTTCCATGTACTTGTGTCTTTGTTAATTTATCTCATCCATATATAGTTCAGGGTGCAAATCTTTCACCTCCTTGGCTAAATGTATTTCTTAGTATTTTATTATTTTTGTAGCATTTTAAATCAAACTGGTTTGTTGATTTCCTTTTCAGGAAGTATGTAATTAGTATACAGAAAAGCAACTGATTTCTGTATGTTGGTGTTGTATCTTGCAACTTTACAAAATGTGTTTGTTAGTTCTAACAGTTTTTGTATGTGTGTGTGTAGAGGTGTGTCTTTAGGGATTCCTATGTATAAGATCAACTCATATGTAAATAGCAATAATTTCTCTGTCCATTCTCATTTCAATGTCTTCTATTTATTATACTTTTGTCCAATTCTTCTTGCTGGGACTTCAAGTACTATGATGACGAGAAATGCAGAGTGTCTTGTCTTGTTCCTGATCTTGTAGGAAAAGCTTTTAGCTTTTTATCATTGAGTATGATGTTAGCTGTGGGCTTGTCATGCATGGCCTTTATTACATTGAGGTGCATTACTTCTATGTCTACTTTCTTGAGCATCTTTACATGTATCATCAGAAGATGTTGAACCTGTCAGAATTTTTTCTTGCATCTATTGAGATGACAATATTATTTGTATCCTTCATTCTGTTAATGTGCTGAATCACATGTATTGATTTGCATATATTGAACAATTCTTGCAACCCAAGAATAAATCTCACTTACCCCTTGGGTATAATCTTTTTAATGTGTTGTTCAATTTGGGTTACTAGTATTTTGCTGAGGATTTTTGTATCTGAGTTCATTGGGGATGCTGGCCTATGATTATCCTTCATCGTGGTGTCTTTATCTGGCTTTGGTTTAAAAGTGATGTTGGCTTCATAAGATGAATTTGCATGTTTTCCCTTCTCTTTCATTTTACAGAAGAGTTTGAGAAGGATGGCTTAATTTTTTTAGGACTACCTATGGAAGCACAGTCAGGTGTGCCTCCTGCTGGGCCCCTGAGTAGGCAGGACTTCCCTGGACCATGGCTGGAAGGACCTAGAACTGGGTTACAGGGTTGTTTCAAGATCAGCCATGGGACCAAGGTCAGGGATCAGCTTCTGGGGATCTGTGAGAGCATGTTTCCAGGCTTGTGCGTGGGCAGGCAAAATTATTCCCAAGCTGTGGCTGGTAGGGGCTGGAGCTGGGTTATAAGGTTGATGCAATATCTGTAGTTGAACTGAGGTCAGTGGGCCTATATCCATAGACATAGACAAGTTTTTTCTGGTGGGTCCTTAGGTGGGTAGGACAGTCCTAACCCACAGCTGAGAGGGGCTCAAACTGAGTTACAGTGCCACTTCAGTATCCGCAGTCAGATCCGCCTCTGTGGGCATGGATTTTAAATATCTCCCAGCAGATCCCTGGATGGACAGAACTATTCCCAGATCATGGCCAGGAGGGGCTGAAGCCAGGCCATGGGTTGTTTTTTGGTCTATAGCTGAGACTGAGTTTGACAGATCTGGTAGCTGAGGCATAGGTGGGCCTGACTCTGCCCAGGTCTCTTGGTGGAGGGTGCAGGTTGCAGGACAGTGGTCAAACAGGGTTATAACTGCTTTTATCCAGAGATGTCTGCAAAAGTACTGTTGTAAGGAAATGCAAGTTGGGAAATATGGGGTTTTAGCATATTATAAATTAGAAATTAATTGGTGACAATAGCCAGTTGCCCCTAGAAATTTATGTAGCTTTTTTTTTTATTGACAGAGAGTTTTTTGCTTTTTTTTTTTCATTTTCAGCTGAGCTTTTGAGTATTCTGTGGTATCTCATGTCCTAAAGAGGTTGCAGCTGGTTGTACCCATTATGAAAGGAAAACAAAAAACTGGGACTCCAATTCACTATGTGAAAGGGAAAAGTTAAACTGGAAGCTGTTGTCACAGAAGAAACTGCCTTTCCTTTTGTTCCTACATGGATAGCTACAGAAAAAAAAAATGTTTCCACAGGAAGCTACTCTATGTTGATTTTATCTTACATGAAGTACAGACCGAGCAAGAGTCAAATACATATTGACTATTCCTCTACTGTCTCCTTTTAATGTGCAACATATGGATTCAGTAATGTGACCATACCCTTCCTCCAGCTCACTCTTTCTCTTTTAGTATTGAAGGCCTCAAAAACCTCTTTGGAAAAAGCATGGATCACAGATTGTTCTTGTGGTTTTGTGTTCCTTTTTCCAAGACATATCCTTAACCTTGGATAAATAAATCTCTAAATTGATCAGATGCAATTGGTTCTCACCACTGAAATTTTGATGGGAAGTCTTTACAGCCTCATTCAGCTGTGCTTTTAAGAGAATGAGGGAATCTGTCAGAGGACTCTGTTTAGTTTGGTTAAAAGCCAAAGGTCATCAAATACTGAAAAAGAGTGGAGCCTTGGGTAAAGTTTTTTCAGTCCAAGTCAGCATTAGGGACTTGGAAAAAATACTGGCTGGGATTCACAGTATTCCTGATGTATGCAAGTTTATGTTAATTGTCTCCTTCTAAATGTAAATGCAAAGGGAAATTGTAAGTAGGGTACAATGGAACTAAAAAGAAAGCTGAGCAAAAGTTAATTATTATAAACCAGGTGCACCAGCAGGGACTGAGGTAAGAATGGTAGCTGGATTAAGGACTATGAAGTTGGGTAAATAGGAATTTCAAAAGAGTTTCTGGCTCTTAGATATCGTACAAATCAATAGATTTCATTCCCATCTGCATTAAATTCCTCTTCTTTCTTTAATGGTAAGATCGGGATGTTAGAGGGTAAAGAAATAAAGAATGCCCAGCTATAAAAGAGACCATATTATAGTTTCAATTCCTTCTTCTGCATCTTGAGAGAGGAGGTACAGGGCTACTGACGAGAAAGGCTTGTTCTTTTTCCAGGTAATGAGTACAAGTTCTGCCTTTAGTCACAATACAAACTTGTTTGTACCACGAGGCCCAGAGAACAGTTGGCATATTCTTAAAAATTGTATCATTTTCAGTGGATTTTATATTAAGATGAGTTTCCATTAGGAAAAGTAGGAAGTTTGAGAATTGGTCTGAGGGCAGGAAAATAAAACTCCTTTCTCATTACATTTTATGGTGGCATTCAATTTAATTAGCAAATCTCAACCTAAAAAAAATGCTGGTGAAGGGTAAGAAATTAGAAATGCATGATGAGAGTTAAGAGAGCCTAAGGATACTGGGGTGGCCCTGAGATGTTGACAATGAAGTAGGTTTCCAAGAAACTCCTACAGCATAAATAGAATTAGAGGCGACAGGCAGAGATACATCCTCTAAGAAAATGGTAGAGAAAGTCACACAAGTGTCCATTCAAAAATCCAGTTCCTAATCATCTTCTATAAGCTTACTAGTAGGTTCTGAGGGACAGCAGAGGATGGGTTAACTCTATCAATCTATGGGGTACTGTCACTCAGAAGGAGCAAAATAAGCCTTCTGAGTGTCTTGAAGTCTGGGGACATTATTATTTACGCTTTCCTTTCTCTTATATGCCAGACAGTTGTCCTTTTAATGTCCTGGTATTTTACAGTATCTACAAATATCAGGAGGCAAAGAGAAGGGTGAGTAGGGTTTAAGTTTTACCTGGAGTTTCACTTTTTTTTTTAACTCAATTTGCCAAGCAACTACTGTTGATTTTAATTATCTTTTCTTCTTATTTTTCTTGCAAGCTACTCTCAAAGAATAGTGTAACTGATTCCATAATAACATTGAGAGATTGACCTGTCCAGCCAATGTCATCTTGTATTTGCTTTTTTATATCAAGGAGAAAATTTCTAACCTGGGCAGAAATTAAAAGACTTCTGTGTTCTGCAGTTTCAGGGTTTAATGTATTATACCTTTGAAAAGTTCGTATAAAGCATTCTACAAAAGCCTTGGGCTGGTCTCTTTTCTTTTGAGTGCAAAATTCAACGTTAGACCAACTAACCTTAATGGAAAAGGCCTTTAGTATTGCTCCAATCAGCCCTGAATATCAGCTTCTAGCTGAGCCATTTCCTGATCATTTGAAGGAGGGCCTGGGAAAAATTCTGGCCATTTCTTTCTTCTGTTGGGAGGATCTTCCTCTGAAGACCATCTGGCTTGTCTGATAACCATAGTATAATAATAAGTGGGAAGAATTTTTCATAGGAGCCGACCAAGATCACTGTAAATACGATTGTGAATAGCCACTGACCTTCCTTATTCTTCTCTAAATTAGGTGAAATCTTCTGAAAGTGGGGCAAAAGGTGATTGTAATTTAAAAGACATGCTGCTGTCCAGGGGATATCAATTCTTTGTGGCAGGGGTCCAAGACTCATTTGGAGTGGGTATTGCATAAGGTCTGAAGGAGACAAAGTTTCTTTGCAGAGCCCCAGGAAGCAGGAGGAGTTGTAAGGTATTGTAAAGCTGGCTTCATGTACCTGGAGCCTGTGCCAGATTTATTTCTTAGCTGTTAACATTTACACAAGTGACCTGCATGGCTTGATCCTAGAGATCCGGTCATTGTGCCTTCTGTAAATTTCGAAGGGGAAGGGAAGTTAAAGTAGGCAGTTAGACATTTAAAATATTTTCTAGGGAACTTGGAGGAATTTTGAAGTTATAGGAATTTGCTGAGGAGGTGGGACCAGATTTTGAGAAAAGCAGGTTTAAGCCAGAGGCCCAGCAATCCAAAACAGCTACTACGGAGTCAGGGACAGGAAGCTGGGATAAAGGGGAACATGGGTGGGTGAAGAATGAAGATTTATAGTGGCTGTGAATTTTAACTTTTGTTCTAAGTTTGATTTTTGTTCTTTAGCCTTGTTAAGGGAGTCCCTAAGGTTAGCAATTATACTCTATGTGCCCTCTTTTCAATTTGATCTTTCTGTAAGTACCAGCAGGACAGTTGTGTAGAATGAGAGCTAATTTTTTTTTCCAAATATAGAAGTTTTCCCACTTCAAAGAATTCATTGTCTGGCCCTTGAAGCATAGAATTTTCAATGCCATAATTACTCCAATAGTCACCCAATTCAGTCGGGCTTTTTATGGAAAGATTCAGAGGTAATTTTTAAGGCTTAGAATAAATCTCTACCATGAACACAAGTGGCATTTGCCAAGTGGGTGCAGAAGATGCACCTCCAGGATCCAAAAGCTCACTCCCAGAGAGAGCCTAAGAAAGCAAAGAACTTTGTTGCCACAGGCAATAAGAATAGCATTTGTGAAGAAGGTATCGCTTATCTCCTATGGCACATGGGTGCCTCCAGTTAACAGATTCTCTAATCTGTGACACTAGGCAGGTACAACTCACATAAGGAGTTTGCAGGTAGCCATGGTTAGGACAATAAGTGGCCCTTATGGACTGGGACTTCTTATTAAGACAAACTCCCCTAAGATCTGGCATGATCAGACAAAGAAAATGCTGCTTGTCACTTTGTACCTCAGGTTCTCAGCCTGTTTGAATGGCTGTCAGATACAAGATGATATTTGCACTCCCTGGCTGGCAGAGATAAGAGAGGGTGTTCTCAATGGTCACAAAGCCAAGAACTCTGGACATAAAATAAGACCAAAAAATGAGCCTAATTAGTGGTGTGTGTATATCTCTCTGTGTGTTTTCCTTTGGAAAACCACACCAAATTTTGTCTAAACTGCTGTTAGTCTGGTGAGAACTGTGAATTCATCAGTCTGTAATTCTGGCTTGAAGGACAGTTTATAAGGACTTATACTTGTGTCATGCCCTGTGATTCTCCTCTTTATGAAAATTACACAAAACACAAGAGATGAAGGAAGACAAGGACCCTCTCCAGCAGGGAAAGGACCAATCAGAAAACAAGGTTACTCTACTTATAACACAAAACACCAGAGTCACTGTACCCAGAAAACTAGCTCATACGTATATTTTCTCCTGATAATCTAAATTAAGAAAGAGAAAAAAAAACAATGAGAGACTCTATCACTCTCTCTTTGATGGGCCCCTGCAGGCAGAGATCTTGGAGGCTGACATGGTAAGAATTCCTACTGCTGGCTTTTTGTCAGAGGCTCAGTATCTCCCAGTGGCAATACAATCGCAGAGTTAAGTATTGTTCCAGTCACTCTGAAAATCCCTTCTAGCCAGAAATTAGAGGAGCTAGAGTTCCTTTTTAGAGTTTCTTTTGTCTGGGCCTGAGAATTAAATTGACATAAGACAGATCAACAGGAGAAAAGCACACAAATTTATTTAACACACATTTTCTGTGGCATTGGGGCCTTCAGAAAGGAATGAAGACCCAAGGAAACAATTAGAGTCGGTTAGATACTGAATTAGACAAAGAGTAGTAAGCTGTGAAGAAGCAACTAACTTACGTGGGGAGGCTAAAAAATAAGAGTTATTCTAATAAAGTCTAGAATTCTAATAGTATTTTCTAAGTTGCAACTTCTCATCATTGAAGATAAGAATGTTGCCTTTTATTCCAGTCTGGGGAGCGTGTTTTTCACATGGGACTTTCATCTCCTGCTTTAGGAAACAGAAAATAGGCCAGAATGTTCTTTTTGCACCTGCTGTTCTTCAAGTGCCTTTAATTCATGATAGTTGATATGCCAAAGGTGGTATAATTTTAGCTCCTTCATTAGGGACTATATGTTTACAGAAAACTGTCCGTACATTAGATAATTTTACATTTTACATTTAAGTAATTTTACATTTAGTCATTTCTCTAAACTAAATTTTATGTTGTTTCTATTCTCAATCCCAAGCTGAATGGGATTTTTTTTTTCTCCGCTTATTTTGGGGACTACCTTTAAATATCTTATGCAATCGTATAACCATTTCTTACTTATGGAAAAGGAAAATACAAGATGACAAGATATGGTCATTGTACTCACTATTTTTGCTATTGATTCTTTAGATAAAATTGCTATTAAGTACTTGTTTCCATCATCTTATCTGGCTTAGTCATTTGTGTTAAAAGGGAGTTCAGATGCCCATCCAATCAGTTTTTCATGATGAAATTCTGTTTGTTATTCCATAGTTATTTTTCCATCAGTGGCTGTGTTTGCAAACGTGGGCCTGGCTTCTGAAAATGGTTCAAGCTTCCTAATAAATCTTCTGTGGTAATTTTTACAAACTTTCTCTTAAAGGTTCTGCTTTTTCCTCTCTAAACACTTGTCTCATTCTCCTGCTTTTTATTTAACCATTTGGCTGTATTATCTAAAGTGACTACAAAACAGCTAATATCCTTACTTTCTACCCTTGAACAGACAGAACATACATACGGAGTGTTGAGCTGTACCATCATCTTTACGAATAATAGCATCTTATAATTCCTGGCATAATATGGGGAAAATATATGCTAAAGTAAGTCATTTTTTACTAATAACTCATACAATTACTTCTGAATCTCTTGTGCTTGTGCTTGGTGCAATGTCCTGAGTTTACCCTGCCTGAAATATGGTATACTGTATCATTTCATAAAATGTCTTCCTACTGTGACATTTAACCGTTTCTTTAGTTTAAGTGCTGAGGTATCCCTTGGTAAATGGGTTCTTCTAGTTAAAAAAAAAAAAAAAAAAAACACTTGTTTCTGCCACTTCTTGCTCTTGTATGGAGATATCATACAATATTTTGTTTTCAAATCATATTTTGATTCAGAAAAATTTATTGATATTAACTGATTTATATTTCTGTTTAATCATTGCTGCATTTTAAAATATGAAACATTATATAGAGAATATATTTTGTGCAGTCTGTACATATATTTTCAGATTAAAGGAAACATTAATAAAACCAATTATGCAATTTTATCCAATGATATAAACTAGAATATTTTAGAACTCTCTCTCTTTCTGTGGAATGTCCCTAGTTGATCATATCTTCTGCCTTTACTATCAATAATCACCATTATGACTTTTACTTTTCCCTGCAGCTTTACCAAATATGTTATAATAGCTTACATAAAACATATAGTTTAGTTTTACCTGTTTTTGAACTTCATGTAAATTGAACCAAGTGTAATTATTATTTGTTAAATACCATGATTGGGCGGTTTATATATGTCCATTCATGTAGGTGTAATGTGTTTATTTTCAGTATTGAAAAGTATCTTAGTATGTCAATATAACACACACTTTTTTTGTTTTAATTTTTATGAGCATATGTGTAGTTTCTGGTTTAAAGATATCATAATCCAGGGGTCCTCAACCCGGGGGCCCCCTGTTAGGAACTGGGCCCCACAGCAGGAGGTAAGACGAGATGTGGGCTAGCTAGCATTACCGCCTGAGCTCCACCTCCTGTCAGATCAGCAGTGGCATTAGATTTTCATAGGAGTGTAACCACCACGGTGAACTGCATATATAAGGGATCTAGGTTGCACACTCTTTATGATAATCTAATGCTTGATGATCTGAGTTGGAACAATTTCATACCAAAACCATCTACCCTACTGCACTGCCACCCATGGAAAAATTGTCTTCCACAGAGCCTGTCCCTGGTGCCAAAAATGTTGGCAACCTTTGTTATAAACAATAAAGCTATAACATTCTTGTCCATGTATCCTGGGACATAGATGCACAATTACCCCTAAAGGTATAAAGGGGCATGGAATTATTTGGTCATACACGGTACACATTCAACAGAAAATTTCAAAATATTTCCACTCAGTTGTGCCAGTTCACAAACTCCACCCCTGCTGCCTCCTAGCCTCAACAAAACAGACAAATCTATGCACATGTAATGTTATTTCAGGTGTTTCTGATTTAACAGCTCTGTGTAGGTAAAACGTTTATCATTTTGGAAATGTTTATTGATCATTTAGGTTTCTTCTTTCATGCAGAACTTGTTAAAATCTTTTACATATTTTTCCTACTGGATTATATGTCTTCCTATTGACTTATAATAGTCGTTGTTATGTGGTAGATGTCTGTTTTAGTTTAATTTTTGTCAGTTGTATGCAGTGCAAATATATTTCCCATCTGTCGCAAGTTGTTTTTACTTTCTTGTCAGATACTTTTTATAAATAGCAATTCACAAAATAAATATATAAGATAAATTTTCTATCATTCTTTTTCAGTTTTGTTTATTCCCTTCCTGACATAATGAAAAAAATTTCCAATATTGTCTTACCAAATATTTACATTTGTTATTTCATATTTACATCTTTAATCAATCTGTAATTTAATTTTTTTGAAATGAAGTAAAACATTTTTTCATGTGGTTACATTGATGCTTCATTACCATTTATTGAAGATCTCTTTTTCCCTACTTCTATGCAGTCCTATTTCTTCCTTATGTCATAACTTCTTATTTGAGTGGCTTGTTTCTGGGATCTATGTTCTGTTACATTAATCTCATTTTATACATACTCTTCTTATTCTTCTTTTATCTTTGATTTATCTTGGAACTTTTGTCAGAAATCATACTTCTACACTAAAAGAAATAGTCCAAAAATATGACTTTTATTTTTGTCTTGTGACCCTTGTCTATTATCACTTTTTTTCTTTTCCACATGTATTTTAATGTCAGTAAATCCCAGAAAAGTATTCTTATGTAATCCTTTTACAAAATAGTTGTGCCAATTTATATTGACACTAATAAAAAATGAGTTTATGTTGCCACACACCTGCAACAAAATACACAAACCTGCGTATGTGTTTTGATATTTCAGCACAATGCAAGTTGCATTTCCTTGAAAAGAAAAAGGATTTTGTTGAATGTGCATTCCAACTTCAGAAATAATTTCCAAATTCAAATATATAAATATGATACAACTCACCATTTACTTAAATCTTTTTAAAATGCATCAATAACACCTCAAAATATTACCCAAAACATGTTAATCACGGTTAATTCAAAATTTTGAGGACTACTTCCATAACATAAATACATCTATTTAAAATTTAAAATTTAAAATTAGGTGAGTTCTGACAAACATAGACACTTGTATAACCAACACCACAACAAAAATATACAGTATTTTCCTCACCTCTAAAAGTATACTCCAGTCACTTGGAATGTAACCCACTTCTACGAATACACCGATATGCTGGTTCTAGAGTGTTATATTAATGGAATTATTAAAAAAAACATATTTTCTTGAGTCTGCTTTCTTTTGTTCAACCTCATATTCTCAAAATTTGTTTTAAAACCTGTGCATATGCTCCATGACTTACAGTGGGGTTGTAAATAAACTGAATAAACCCATCATAAATTGAAAATACTCGAAATCCAAAACACATTTAACACACCTAACATTCCAAGTATCACAGCTTATCCTAGCCAACCTTAAAAATGCTCAGAATACTTACATGTACCTACTGTTGAACAAAATCGACTGGCAACATAGGACACTGTCAAGAATCGGTTGTTTATTCTTGGGATCGCATTGCTGACTGGGAGCTGCGGCTCACTGCCATGGTCCAACGTCACAAAAGAGTATTATATCACATATCACTAGCCTAGAAAAATCAAAATTCAAAATTTAAATTATAATTTCTACTTTTGCACCATCATAAAGTAAAAAAAAAATTCTAAGATTAAAGAAAGAATCTTAAGTTGAATCATCATAAGTCAGGGGCAAATTATGCCGTGCATTTCTATTTAGATTATTCCTTCAAAGTTGTCAGTGCTTGATTTAGTTAGCTTATTTTGTGGAATTAAGTTATAATTTTATCTACTTTGGCCAACTTAATTTTACCATTGTAATTAATTCTGGAAAATTGCAGTAGTTGCTTCCTGTAGTAGTTTCTTCTAATGGGAAATCTATTGTAATTGCTTCTACTGTAAAATTAACTCTACTGCAATTACTTCTACTTCTATTGGAAAATAAGGTGCTTTTATGTTATGCAAATAACAAAATATTATGTTAAAAATTTATGTTCTCAAAATTTTGAATTAAAATGGTTCCTTTGTTTCATTTCCTTGTAAAATTATTATAACTGATGTGGACCAAATTATTTTCTAATACACATATTTAAATGGAATATGGACTGTATTACCCAGGAGTAAGTAATAGGAAGTTGCTGAGGAATGAGGTAGAGACTTAGGACAAGAAAGTGGTGGGATAACATTTCAAGTTTGAGAGCAAGATAGCAAAGGGCCTAAAATACGGCCACTCTGTGTAATCTGTGTAATATCTTTTCTTCCGGATCGACTGTTATATCAGAATACATTCGAAATCTATATGTTTTCATAAATATTGACTTCTGTGATATTACAGTTACTCTAAAAATAAGTTTTATTGAGTTAAAATTCTACATAGAATAAAAAGGACTCCTTTAGAATGTATAATTTAATGATCTTTGACATGTGGCTGCATTCATGTGATTTTGCTAAACTTCCTTATTAATTCTCATAGGAATTTTTTATTGTCTTTAATATTTTCTACATTGATGAGCATGTTATCTGCAAACAACGATTATTTTATGTCTTCTCTTGTAATATATTTCTTTTTCTCTTGTCTTATCTTGGTTTCTGGGACCACCAGTATAACAGTAAATAAAACTGAGATGAAAGATAACAAGCTTTGGTGAGAATGTGAAGAAATGGGAACTCTTGTACACTGTTGGTGGGAATGTAAATTAGTACATCCACTATGAAAAATGATGTGGAGGTTCCAAATATATATATACACACACATACATAACTAAGAATATAATTCCTATACAAGCCAGCAATCCCACTTTTGGGTATAGATCCAGAAGAATTGAAATTGAGGTGTCAGAGGGATATCTGTGCTCCTTGCTCATTGCAGCGTCATTTACAATATCCAAGATATAAAATAAACCTATGTTCATTAACAGATGAATAAATAAAGACAGTGCGGTATACATAAATAAAAGACTATTATTCAGCCTTTCAAAAAATAGGAAATAGGAGTTACTGCCACTTGCAATAACATGGATGAACCTGGAAGACATTATGCTAAGAAATAAGCCAGGCACATAAAGCCAAATATCACATGATCTCACGTGTATGTGGAATCTAAAAATGTTAAACTCATAGAAGTAAAGAGTAGAATGATGGTTACCAGAGGCTGAGGATGGGGGGGAAGAAAAGAATGGGAAGTTGTTGGTCGAAGGGTACGAGGTTTTAGTGAGCAAAGACAAATAAGTTTTGAGATCCACTGTAGAGCACGTTGATTGTAGTCAACAATAATCTACTGGATACTTCAAAATAACTAAGATAGTAAATTTCAAATGTCTTATTACAAAAAGTTATAAGTTAATGAATATGTTCATTAGCTTAATTTAATCATTTCACATTTTATACATATATCAAAACTAGCATTGTGCCCCATAAATATATACAATTATGATTTGTCAATTTATACATATATAATTGTCAAAATTGTCAATTTATATATGTATTTATATTATATATATATTCCCCTGGAATATGTTATGCAGCTCTTGTCAGTAGCATGTATGCAGTGAAAAATTTTCAGTTGAGATAACCAGATGATCAGGAGGGGAAAGAATAATATTTTGTGAAGCAGGTTATTGTTAAGAATGCTTTCTGGAAAAACAAGAGGATACAAATGTTTTTATGGTGTGAAAAAGGAAATGACAGACCTAAATACACTTCTTTATACTGTGTAGCCAGGTTTATTTCCAAGAGTATTAATGTGACATGAAGATAGCAGGAATAAGAATAAACCAGGCATAGGAAGAGGGGCAAGACATCTGCGTGTAGTGACAGATCAGCTATTTAGATTGAGAAGAGAAAGGGATTTACCTACAGAATGGAGTTTGTCTTTGAAATGACTGGCACCATGCTGATAAAATTATTAACATGGTTGCAACACTGTAAGTGCTAGAACGAACAAATGTATTCATAAATAGGAAAAATTGACCTAAACCTAATTCTAAAAAATTATTTGAATAAATTAGGCAGATCCCATAGAAAGTACTGTTGCTGGAGCTAAGAACTACTGTTCCCTGCAAAAGTTCACATTGTTAAATATGTGACTCTGAATTGCTTCCGAGGCTGAAGAAATAGAAAATAAAATAAAGATCTAATAATTTGATGGGCAGAACAAAGATGTGAGAGCTGGTAGGTAAATTATTTGTGTAGGAATTACTGATAATTATCTAAATTTTAGTAAGTAGCTTTCAAAAATGTTTTAAGGAGAAACTTATAAAGCATTTGGTTTGTATTTGTGCATGAATTTTAGAGTGACAGATTTTGAAAGGAATGGCTAGCAGAACAATTCTAGTCTTTGCTTGGATATGACTTTCACCATAAACAACAAATCTCTTCTTCTGGTGAGGGAATGAATTATAAGTGACTTTGGGACACAGGTAATAGTGTGAACCAACGCAGGTACTTTCTTGATCATTAAAAAGAAGTATGTGCCATTAAGAAGTTAAAATAGATCATATAACACTCATTATTTGGTGATGTTTCTGTCATAAATTACTAGTTTCATAATGTAACTTAATTGATTTTAATGACACTCATGATATCAGTGATTACACATATTACATAACTGCACAACGTTACCTATAGATTGCTTTTTTTTCTGGCATGAGACATTAGCTGTGCCAACTTAAATCATACTGTGGAGTCTTAATTTAGTTTCGAATTAAATCTATTGAAAAATGTTTAGAACATGTTTTTTTTTTATTACAAAGAAGGCAAGCTGCAATTAAAATTCTACACTGATATTCAGAGTGTCACTGAGGCCAAGTAGCATTCTACCCTTTTTGCACAAGCTGTATGATATGTTTTTGTTCTTTACTATGAACTGTAAGTCTTGCTTTTATTCCCACAGCAATGTCTGAACTCCAATTACTGGGAAGTAAATGGATTCTGTATTATAATTGCCTAACTTTGTGAAACTGGGACACTGGTAATCTTTCAACAAAGGAAGAAATATGGAACTGACATTTTGAGGAGAAAAATAGGTCTTGATATTGTGGGAAAGAGTAAAAAATTACAGACGAAAAATGCAGCAGCCTAATGCGTGAATCGTGGTTATTATGAAAGAAGTGCCTTCCATTGTTCTTCTTCCAGGAGTATCATATAGAGTTGATTCTCACGAACTGAGTAGTTTTCTGCAGTGTCTTAGAGAATTAAATATATTACTCTAACAAAGCAGTTTAATATTGGAGAGAAAATTGGAGGCAAAATAAGACTCAAGTTAAGACAGGCCAAACCCTAAAGAGTTGAGATGGAGAAAATTTTATAAGGTGAAAACTGAATGAAGTAGATGAAGAATACCTGTTTGGGAAAACTTTTATGATGTACAAAGCTTTTACAAATCTATTATCTAATTTGACCATTACAAAGCCAGTGAAGTAGGAAGAACTTGTATTTTATTACTCTACAATCAGGGAGAATTGTATTAATTTGCTATAAAGTCCAGAGAGGTTAAGTGGTTTTTCAGCTCTAATACACATAGTTAATTGCAGCACCAAGTCTACCTTGCTTATATAACTTCAACGTATATCCTTAGTTTTGTATCATCATATTTGAATGGTCTTAATATTTAATGAAGTCAAAATTCCTATTTATAAAGTGTTTTATGACCTAATCCTGTATCTAGCGAAATCGTGTGTGTGTGTGTGAATCTCACTTTCATAAAATTTGAAAAAATAATTCAAAGATAATTTTTCTCTGCCAGTTTATTATTATTAGTTGCAGAGGAACAGTATTAAAACTATTATTACTATTTTTTAATTTTCTTCACAAACAGACTTTTCTGAAGAAATAAAGTAGTGAAATATAAAAGCAGTGTCACTAGATTGGCTATCCATTAGAAATTATGTAGCTCAAAGTATAGTATTCCTTAAAATATTCACCTTGAAAGTCTATATATTAATTCAATAATATTTATTTGCTCAAAACAATTTTAGAATTTATCTATTGCTTACACTATTTTCAAATGATGTAGTATAATATATCTTAATTATTTTTCTTCTTCTCTAGACTTATTGCTGAATAATATTTGCATATTGCCCTAAAATGCAAGTGACAATTTTTCCATAATTACAATAATTACTAAAATTGAATTCAAAATTCTGTAGGGGTTATTTTCTGGAGGGATTTCAAAAATAATTTTAATTATATAATATTACCTTAACAGTTCTGTGGTATGCTTTGTAGGATTCTTTCAGTAAGTGTAATGGTTTTGACATGGATGACAAATTAGTACTTCATGTAAACAGTTCTAATGAGAAAATGGCAAATAAATATATAAGGATTGTGTGTGTGCATGAGTGGCTATAAAGAGCTGTTTCTGTTCTCATACATGACTGCAAAGTTTGGCCGATTGTAGTTATATTTAGAGTCTGATTATTAAGTAACTCTTTTAACACCTGCATCAGATATACCACTAGCTCAATAGTATCCCTTCCTTTAAGGATTCAAGAATACAGCAAATATTTCTTGGTAAGTTCAATTGTCCCTCTTTTAAAATATAAAATAATTGAAACTTTCTATAACCAAGGAAAGGGGATAAGGGAAGAAGTGGAAAAGTAACGTTGGTATAATGGAGCATCTTCTTTTCTTGAAACAGACAAACAAAAAATAGAAAAGAAAAAACATATTCTAAAAGCCTTCTGTATTAAAATATGCATGTCTCAATTTCATAGGTAATTATTTCAACTCTAATGTACTCTATATAAATATAACATTTATTTGCTAATGAATAAGCATGTATTGATAAACTGTTTATAAAATAAAAGATAAAATATATTTTGATATGTTATTAAGAATAATCAAATAATTGTACACTTTGTGATCTATAAACTTAAGAATATTTAAATATATTGTAAAAAATTAGACTTCTTTTAAAGAAAATATTACAAATACTAATTTGGGAAACACACACAGAATATAAAGTAAAAAAAAAATTGTTTTGAGAATGCGGAGAAAACCTCCAAGGGAATTAAAAGTACATAGAAGAGAGAGTTATATTGACTTAAAGAGTAGTGATTCTAGGAATCCAGTAAACTGGGTAACTTCTCATCAATTAGATAAAAATACACTAGACTTAAATCAACAAGAACCAATGCCTCAAAACTGGGTAATCCCATATTCAAGCTGGACTCTGATAATCTGAACTACACCTTACTCTTCACTTTGACACTGTTTTGCTATTCCACTGTTTTTATTAATATTTCTTTTCTCTTCTAAGAATGTCCTGCCCTAGCAGTGATTCTACGGCTCCTTACAGGAACTTCTTGAGAAACCATCAACTTTTTAATGTAAAGTGTCAATAAATGGATTACACCCTAAGATTATTTTAATACTTCTCTCAAAGTCCTCCTCTTGCTGTTTCTATCACTTCTGAAGTATTGTATTCAATTCTTACCTAATCCTGATCGCCACATTGAAAAACCTGCCTTAAACCAAACTTAAAATTCTTAATTAATTCTGATATTTTTCCTATAGACACCACCAAAGCTTTGTGAGGTTGTATTTTCCCTTAAGCAAAAATCTCAGCTTTATCCTATTAACAGGTTGTGTTGCTATTTGATTAGCCAGATTTCCACACTGTACATGAAAAAAGAAATTCTTATATTATTTTCTCCCAGCTTTTGATTTTGATTGAACGATATTTTTGAAGTCACACTTATTCCTTTCTACTCTTAGTAATTACATATGGAAATGCATAGAACCTACCAAGTTCATTCATGTAAACCCCAACTGAAATAAAAATAAAATGAAACAAACTAATATTCGTAGCATTGTAACTGAGTGCAGGCTTGGCTGCTCACTGCTTGCAAAGCCAATAAAAAGTACAAAGTGCAGTGAAGGGACAGTGACTTTATTTCCACAGCGAGCAGTGGGGAAATACTTGAGGCTTGTGCCCTAATGGAACTATTTCAGCTATTTGGGTCAAGGACAAGGGTTTAAGAAAGGGAGCATCGTCTGATAACCATGCAGGAGTGATAAAGGGGTGCCAATCTATATGACTTGTTCCAATGACTATCTTGAGCTGTTGCCCCATCTGATGAATCGGCTGGCATCATCCTGGGTGCAGCTGTGCTGTAAATTAAATGTAGCCTTGAAGTAATCCCTAGGTGGGGAGACAGGATACCATAATGGCCTGAATTGTTTCAAGATTTAATATCTGGAACTTCTAAACAACCACACAATTAGACAGGAGAAACAGTGTACAAGGGTGGGCCTGGAGGAAAGAAGGAAAACAAAGACTATTCTGTCATTATTAAAGGCAAGACAAGGAATGGTCAGAAAAGAAAAAGACAGAGAAAAAGAACTTTTTGAAAACAAGACACTCTGTTACAGCAGTGTGTATTTATTTAAATAACTTTCCCTCCCACCCTCCCTCCTCTCCTCCCTCCCTCCCTGTATCCCTATCTCTCTCTCTCTCTCTCTCTCTCTCTCTCTGTCTCTCTCTCTCCATGTGCATGTGCATGCGCATATATGTATGTATGTATGTATGTATGTATGTATGTATGTATGTAGTGTGTGTTTGTAGATAGATAGATAGACAGATTTCTGAAAAACTGAGGGGCAATCCATGTGGATATCTAACGAAGTATCTTCTTTACTTATTTATTTATTTATTTATTTTTATTATACTTTAAGTTTTAGGGCACATGTACACAATGTGCAGGTTTGTTACATATGTATACATGTGCCATGTTGGTGTGCTGCACCCATTAACACGTCATTAACATTAGGTATATCACCTAATGCTATTCCTCCCTGCTTCCCCCACCCCACAACAGGCCCCGGTGTGTGATGTTCTCCTTCCTGTGTCCATGTGTTCTCATTGTTCAATTCCCAGCTATGAGTGAGAACAAGTGGTGTTTGGTTTTTTGTCCTTGTGATAGTTTGCTGAGAATGATGGTTTCCAGCTTCATCCATGTCCCTACAAAGGACATGGACTCATCATTTTTTATGGCTGCACAGTATTCCATGGTGTATATGTGTCACATTTTCTTAATCCAGTCTATCATTGTTGGACATTTGGGTTGGTTCCAAGTCTTTGCTATTGTGAATAGTGCCACAATAAACATATGTGTGCATGTGTCTTTATAGCAGCATGATTTGTAATCCTTTGGTTATATACCCAGTAATGGGATGGCTGGGTCAAATGGTATTTCTAGTTCTACACCACTGAGGAATCGCCACACTGACTTCCACAATGGTTGAACTAGCTTACAGTCCCACCAACAGTGTAAAAGTGTTCCTATTTCTCCACATCCTCTCCAGCACCTGTTGTTTCCTGACTTTTTAATGATCACCATTCTAACTGGTGTGAGATGGTATCTCATTGTGGTTTTGATTGGCATTTCTCTGATGGCCAGTGATAATGAGCATTTTTTCATGTGTCTTTTGGCTGCATAAATGTCTTCTTTTGAGAAGTGTCTGTTCATATCCTTCGCTCCCACCAGGCCTGCCCTAAAAGAGCTCCTGAAGGAAGCACTAAACATGGAAAGGAACAACCAGTACCAGCCACTGCAAAAACATGCCAAATTGTAAAGCCCATCGAGGCTAGGGAGAAACTGCATCAACTAACGAGCAAAATAACCAGCTAACATCATAATGACAGGATCAAATTCACACATAACAATATTAGCCATAAATGTAAATGGGCTAAATGCTCCAATTAAAAGACACAGACTGGCAAATTGGATAAACAGTCAAGACCCATCAGTGTGCTATATTCAGGAAACCCATCTCACATGCAGAGACACACATAGACTCAAAATAAAGGGATGGAGGAAGATCTACCAAGCAAATGGAAAACGAAAAAAGGCAGGGGTTGCAATCCTAGTCTCTGATAAAACAGACTTTAAACCAACAAAGATCAAAAGAGACAAAGAAGGCCATTACATAATGGTAAAGGGATCAATTCAACAAGAAGAGCTAACTATCCTAAATATATATGCACCCAATACAGGAGCACCCAGATTCATAAAGCAAGTCCTTAGAGAGCTACAAAGAGACTTAGACTCCCACACGATAATAATGGGAGACTTTAACACCCCACTGTCAACATTAGACAGATCAATGAGACAGAAAGTTAACAAGGATATCCAGGAATTGAACTAAGCTCTGAACCAAGTAGACCTAATAGACGTCTACAGAACTCTCCACCCCAAACCAACAGAATACACATTCTTTTCAGCACCACACCACACCTATTCCAAAATTGACCACATAGTTGGAAGTAAAGCACTCCTCAGCAAATGTAAAAGAATAGAAATTATAACAAACTGTCTCTCAGACCATAATGCAATCAAACTAGAACTCAGGGTTAAGAATCTCACTCAAAACCACCCAACTACATGGAAACTGAACAGCCTGCCTCCTGAATGGCTACTGGGTACATAACGAAATGAAGGCAGAAATAAAGATGTTATTTGAAACCAACGAGAACAAAGACACAACATACCAGAATCTCTGGGGCACATTCAAACAGTGTGTAGAGGGAAATTTATAGCACTAAATGCCCACAAGAGAAAGCACGAAAGATCTAAAATTGACACCCTAACATCACAATTAACAGAACTAGAAAAGCAAGAGCAAACACATTCAAAAGCTAGCAGAAGGCAAGAAATAACTAAGATCAGAGCAGAACTGAAGGAAATAGAGACACAAAAAACCCTTCAAAAAAATCAATGAATCCAGGAGCTGGTTTTTTAAAAAGATCAACAAAACTGATAGACCGCTAGCAAGACTCATAAAGAAGAAAAGAGAGAAGAATCAAATAGACACAATAAAAAATGATAAAGGGGATATCACCACCGATCCCACAGAAATACAAACTACCATCAGAGAATACTATAAACACCTCTATGCAAATAAACTAGAAAATCTAGAAGAAATGGATAAATTCCTCGACACAGACACCCTCCCAAGACTAAACCAGGAAGAAGGTGAATCTCTGAATAGATCAGTAACAGGCTCTGAAATTGAGGCAATAATTAATAGCTTACCAACCAAATACAGTCCAGGACCAGAAGGATTCACAGCCAAATTCTCCCAGAGGTACAAAGAGGAGCTGGTACCATTCCTTCTGAACCTATTCCAATCAATAGAAAAAGAGGGAATCCTCCCTAACTCATTTTATGAGGCCAGCATCATCCTGATACCAAAGCCGGGCAGAGACACAACAAAAAAAGAGAATTTTAGACCAATATCCCTGATGAACATCGATGCAAAAATCCTCAATAAAATACTGGCAAACCGAATCCAGCAGCATATCAAAAAGCTTATCCACCATGATCAAGTGGGCTTCATCCCTGGGATGCAAGGCTGGTTCAACATATGCAAATCAATAAACATAATCCAGCATATAAACAGAACCAAGGACAAAAACCACGTGATTATCTCAATAGACGCACAAAAGGCCTTTGACAAAATTCAACAATGCTTCATGCTAAAAACTCTCAATAAATTAGGTATTGATGGGACGTATTTCAAAATAATAAGAGGTATCTATGACAAACCCACAGCCAATATCATACTGAATGGGCAAAAATTGGAAGATTCCCTTTGAAAACTGGCAAAAGACAGGGATGCCCTCTCTCACCACTCCTATTCAACATAGTGTTGGAAGTTCTGGCCAGGGCAATCAGGCAGCAGAAGGAAATAAAGGGTATTCAATTAGGAAAAGAGGAAGTCAAATTGTCCCTGTTTGCAGATGACATGATTGTATACCTAGAAGACGCCATCGTCTCAGCCCAAAATCTCCTTAAGCTGATAAGCAACTTCAGCAAAGTCTCAGGATGAAGCGTCTTCTAAGCAAAGTAAAAACAATCTGCATGAGAGCATATCTAATAGGCTCAAGGAGGACAGTGCATCAAAACTGGATTCTTGGAAACAGTGGTAGCAGACTGCATCAGAATAGTGGTGTTAGGTGAGAATTAAGTTTATCATGTAGTGGGCATTTTAGTCTTTGCAAAAAAAAAAAAAATTTCTCTAAGTGACCTGGGTAGCTGCTTCAAACTTTTGAAAAGACAGTAATGTTCAAGAGGTTTAAAAAATTCACATTAGCCATTGTGTTGAGAGTGAACTATAGAGAAGAGGGCAGAGATGAGAGGTCCGGGGGACTATCACAAAAATCTAAGGTGACAGATAGTGGTAATGATGATCAGGTTGTAAAGGAAGAAGTGACATTTTCTACACATAATTTAAAGGTAGAAGGAATAGTATTTAGTGACAGTCAGAAGTGCATGTAAGTGATCCAGAAGAATGATTTTAGACTGTGGCTTGAACTGACATTAACTATGCTGAGATTTCTGTAGGGGAGCTATTTTCACATGAGAAGACCAGACCACGATTTTTGTTTAGGACTTGTTAGATTTGGGCTTAATACAAGTGAAGATGTTAAGAGGGCATTATATATAGGAGTTTGCATTTTAATGAGAAAATCACCTTACAAATGGCTTTTAAGCCCATGCAATACTATATGTTACTACTAGAGAAAGTTCTGATTAAGAAGTAGTCCTGGAACACTCAGACTTTTATGTGTCAAGAGACTAAGAGAAACCAGCTAAGAGAAACTTAGACACTTACAACATCCAACGCAACATAAATATAACTAAGATGCAATGGGGTGCAAGTAAGAACAAATAGTTCCCAGTAAAGGAATATTGCAGCAAGATCAAGTAATATGAAGACTGAGTCTTAGCTATGGAAACAGCAGCTTGGAGGTAAGCGTTTAACTTGAAAAAAATGTATTTTGGCAAGAGCTAGATTTAACTAGCGTCAATAGAAAAATGAAGAAGATGAATCAAAATAATAGATGCAGACATAATCTTATTTTGAGGTGTTTTGCTGAAAAGTCATGCGCATGAATGAGAAAAAATTCTCCATCAGCTTGACATTTTCAGACCATCAAATTTCATTACCCTCCAATCTCTGTCATTTTTCTTAACCACACATTATACAGACTCTCCTATTATCTATTTGGTTTGATTATTTATTCTCAAATTTCTGTGTTTTCTATTTCATGACTTACCCTATAACTATCCCTCTCCTTCTCCATTTCTCTGAAATTCTACAACCCCAAGTCAATGGTACACAAATACCCCTCCTTCCCTAGTCTAATGACAAATTGTCTGTCCACTTCCTGAAATCAATTGAGACTAAGCTCTCTAATACTGCTACTGCCCCTAAGCTTTTTAAAATAAAAGCTACATATTTTCTTAGGTTCTAGATGTAATGTCACTCTTATGTCAGAGTTCAATGACACTTCTATATCAAAATTTCTGCATTACACATGTATATAATATAAATATATTATCTTTAGCCATTAGACAATACCACTGTCTGAACCTCCTAATTTCCATCATCAATGATTGTTTTTTGGTCATTCTCTACCTTTATTAAAAATGTTAGTTTAGTTCTCACAGTGTTAATTTTTATTACATGTGACATGAACATAAATATGTGTTCCACAACACATGCTTATGTCTATTCTCCTTCTCTTCCTTCTTCTTCTTCTTTTCTTCCTTTCTTCTTCTTCCAGATAACCCTTCCCTACGGGAAAGTAATTGCACATGTTCTGATGAAGCCCAATATGCTACATCACCAATTAAGTGTAAATTACAATTTTCAAACTCTATTTAAAATTGTCTTATAATCTAAGCCTAGGTAATTCAAACTCTCTTATTTTCTACAGATATTTGGGACTACATTTGTTTCATTTTTAATTAGGATAAATAAGTTTTTATGATGTAAATCCAATGCTATGATCGTTATCCTGTTATCCTACAGAGAAGGCTTATTACAATGACACTAATCAGAGCAATCAGAGTTCAGAGGTATAGAGAAGAATAATAGAGCACTGGCTTAAACACAGCCCCTGATACAAGCAGTGCCAAAAGCCAGATTTTTTTTTTTTTTTAGTTTCCAATTACATGAGCCAATGCATTTAGAATGCCAGTTTGAATTATTTTTCACTGTTACAACATTTTTGAACAAAATTGCATGCAATAAAATGCGCAAATATACAGATTAGTAAATGTTTGCATATGTAAAAGCACTTAAATAAATATGGCTTTACATCATTAGATGCAGGCAGACATCCCCCCTCACACATACACACAAACACACACACACACACACACACACACACACACACACACACACACACGCAGGTAAACTGTATTCTAACTTTTATTACCAAAGATTGACTATTTGTGAACACCATGTAATAGGAATTTTAGAATATAAATTATTTTTTGTTACCTTATTTGCTGATGTTTTTGAGATTCAATGATGCTGTTAAATACATCATCAATCTATTCTCTTTAATTGATAAGTAGTAGTCTATTAAGTATATCACAACTGGGTTTTCGCATTCCTGTTGATCACCATTTGACTAATATGTATAAGGCTGCTGTGAACATTCTTGTGCAAGATTTTTTTTTGGGGGGGGATATACACATATATATCTTTAGGAATGCATTTCCAGATTATAGAAGGCATATGTTTAATGAAATGAGAAACTTACAAAACATTTTCGAAAATGCTTGTCATTGTGACTTAAATAATTCTAACAAATGTAGATATTAGTATAGCATTATGAACTATAGGCATGAAAACATGAAACTGGCTGATCTGAAGTGTGGTGTGGACCACTATGGATTCTTCCCTCTCTGGTTGGGTGATCAGTAGCTGCGATGTGTGGTAGAAAACTCAGTTGTTAGGCTAATACCTTTTGCATCTTGAGACGCAGGTTATATGCCTATAGAGGGAGATTCAGGTTATATATCTATAGAGAGATAGACTCTGGTAAGTTTGCAGGAAAAAACATAGGTCATTGGAATAAGCTGGCCACATATTTCACATTTAATAATGTACAGCAAGAAAGAGAAAGTGTCAGCCGAAGTTGGCTCTCTGAAATGACATAAAGATTTTAGAACTTTATTGGGAAAAGCCTTTGATCTCTAAAGCTACATAATCATGCTGACAGTAAGATAAGCTTTCTCTTTGCAAAATTATTCAAACTGAATTATCTTCTTCAAATAAAATGAGTTTAAGAAAGGTAGTAAAGTGAGAAACACAGTGATAAATAAGGATAGGTACTAGAAGAAATCATAAGATTAGGTGAAACTTGTTCTTCACTTTGTTTCCTAAACTCTTCCTGCTGTCCACGGTCGACTTGAGAAAGATGAATCATAATTTACTCTTAAGTTAAAAATAATTTATCATATATTACTGACATCTACCCTGCACCAAAATGTGATGCATAATGAGAATAAAAAGCAGTGTAGAGAACTGGTCCTTGGCTTCAAGTTTCTGACAGTCCAGAGAAAAGGTAGGGAGAAACATAAAAGCAAAGTATTTTTTGATTGTAGAATGTGGTACACAGAAAAAGTGCCACAAATGCTCAGTGATGCTGTGGTAAATGTTGCCATTGGCAGAGGAAATACCATGACAGCTTTTTCAATGTTAAGAAATAATGTATGCCTTTTTGTTATCTGCTTACCATGAATAGAAGCAAATTTGATATCTAATATTTGCAAAATAGACATTTTTCTTTGAAATACATACATTTGCCAGAAGACACAGCCTTGCTCAAATAATAACTCTCTTAATACCATCGTTTAAACATTAGACATTTCCTAATGTTAACATGGAAAATAATGTAAGTAAATTAATTATAAATAAATGAGACCAAAATTAACTTGCAAGCAGCTTGCTGTCCATTATTCTGGATGCCTAGCACAGTGCTTATGCTTAGTAAGATTTTAACCTGTCATGATAAAATAAAATTGAATAAGTGGATTAAGGTTACTATAATACTTTTGGATGTGTACCTTGTCCTTCATTGTATGCGATTTTAAAATGTAAGTAAATGATTCTTTTAAATCCCTGTTTGCTTTAGTTAAATAAATTTATAATATATATTTATCTTTCCTATTGTTGAATACTCATAGGATATGTGTTCTAATATGAAAAGAGGTACAGTATGAAACTGTTTGTCTCAACTGCAGCATATGTTACTCTCCAGGAGATATTTACAATATATCTGCAGACATTTTTGTTTGTCTGAAGCAGGGAATTGGTAGGAGCATCTACTACTCGGAGGCCAGGAGTACTAATAAGTAAGTACCCTACAATGCAAGTGGAGGCCCCCTACAACAAAAATTTATCTAGACCCAAACATCAATAGTGCCAACACTGAGAAATATAATATTAAAAACATTATCTGTTTTGAAATATACAATATTATTGGAGCATGCTTTGTTTGCCTACTCTCTGCAGTTTCCTTTTACATAAAACCATTTATCTAGGCTTCCTTGGTGTGAAGCATTTTAAGTAGCTCACAATATGCGTAAACTACTAGCTCACTTCTGAAAATAATCTACACTGTTAATTGGATTTCTTTAACCTGCCTGTATTTTAATCATCTGCACATTTAATAACTGAATCAAAGGTTTGACAACTTTAGGTTATGGAGAGATAATTCTAATTCCAGGTGACAACTCAGAAATCGTTTTAGGAGTTATTTTTCTCCCATGTTGATATATTTTTATCCTGGATCATTACTTTCTGCAACCAGAAGACATTTTGGCTTTTTCATGCATCCCTAATGAAGACAATTAAAAAACTTGATATACATTATATGGACGGGATCTCTTTTTAATTGTTTATTGTTTGATTTCATAGTGATCAGTTATATTAAATGAGCCTTGAAGTTAAAGAGCACTTGACGTTCTGTTTTTAATTTATCATTTCAGGTGATGCTGACTGCTATTAAGAAACTAGTCAAGGAGCTGAAACACTGGTGATATTCAACAAAAGCATTGTAAATGAAATGAATATTTCAAGTAGCTTTAGGAGAAATTTTCAAAATTTAAAGAGTCTTTTCTTTTTTTTTTTTTTTTTTTTTGCTCTCAGAAAACCTGGTAACTAAAATAAACATACAGCCCTCTACTTTTTTCTAAAATGAGTTCACTGTAACATATTTATGATTTTATGCTTCCTAAATGATATAACAAAGACATGCATCCATGGATTAATAATTTAACCTGAATCAGATGAGAATAGAAAAAGCAACAGCATATGCAAGATAATAAAGACCAATGAGCACTGACTTCAGTGTTGACAAATATTAAGGAGTGGCATGTAGTGTAGCAAGCAAAAAAGAGAATGGCCATCTAAGCAGAAAGTTAATGGCTGCCACGTAGTGATAGAAAAGATTTCTCAAAAGGTAAGTTATTCAGACACCTAACTTACAATCTTCCTGATTTTACATGTTGCACATTAATTACCCTGAAAATACTCCATTAATTAAAATTGCAAGGTCAAAGACATTACATCTGTTTTCTACACATGGCCAGTGGATTGCTAATTTTCTTTATGACTTTTGTTCTAATAGATTTCAGGAATGTTCCTTAGTTTGTAAAGAAGATAAGTATTTATACATATAAATGGTTCACAAGTGCTCATGTTAATGTCCTCACTTCATCCATTGGTCTGGGAAAGATATGACACCCGAGGTACTTGCATTAGTCAGTTATTTTTGTAATGATGCTGCATGACATAAATTCCAAAATTTCAGTGCCTGATGTGGTTTGGATCTGTCTCCCCACCCAAATCTCATGTCAAAGTAGTCCCCAGCAATGGAGGTGGGTCCTGGTGGGAGGTGATTTGATCATGGGGGTGGATTTCCCTTTTGTTGTTGTTGTTGTTCTCAAAATAGTCAGGGAGTTATCATGAGATCTGGTTGTTTAAAATGTGTAGCATCTCGCCGCTCTCTATCCCTCCTGCTCTGGCCATGTAAGAAGTGACTGGTTTCCCCTTCATCTTCCACCATGACTGTAAGTTTCCCGAGTCCTTCTCAGCCATATATGCGGTGGAATCGTAAGCCAATTGCACCTCTTTTCTTTCTAAATTACCCAGTCTCAAGTATTTTTTATAGCAATGTGAGAACAGACTAATATAGTGGCTTTCAACAACACACTTATTTCTTTCTCATGCATCTGTATATCAACCGTGTTTCCTGTTTCACTTATAATCTATTCTAGAACACAGACTGAATGCCCATTGTATCTTTGATATACACCATTCACATGGAACATGGCAGAAGAAAAAGATGGCAAGTTAAATCATGGAAGCACATTTAAAGTGTCTGCTCAGGTAAAATGTATGTCATCACATTTTACTAGAAAAGCAAGTCAAAAGCCCAAGACCATGATGTAAAATGATATGAACGAAGGAGAAAGAACAAATTTTGATAAAAAAGTAACATTTACCAAAGTATTTTAAAACAAAAGAACATATTAAGCTGGACTTAGTAGTTGGTAGTGGTAAACCCTAATCATCTGTTTACCATTAGTGAAAGTCTGCAGATTGAAGTTCATTGGACTCAAACACTGATTATGGTGGCGAATTTAAGTGAAGTACTACTTACAAAGTACAATAGTTGTATAATAGTACTAAGCAAAAAAAATTCATAATGTACAGACAAGAAGAACTAAAATAAACTGTTAGGATTTACATATCTCATAGTTTGTGAATTCCTCAGCCACAGAATAAGACGATATTCACATAAAAATTAAACCAAACTAAATTTAGCTAACATTTTTAAATATTAATATTTTGAAATGTGAATTGACATTCATAAGATTGGGATATATCTAAAGTACATATTATACCTTGAATAATAGTCTAAAGAGTATTAAAAATTAAGTGTATAAGAAACACATTGAAAATATATTTTGTATTACATTACAATAATATTTCAAAGACAGAATAACAAAACAGGTGACAGAATATATTTTGAAGCTAGAATGAAAAACAACACTTGTTGAATGTGTAAACTTGAGGAAGCTACTTAAAGCCTTTCTTGATTGAGTTATCCTGCTAAATGAGGATTACAATAGAACTCATTACAAAGGGATAAAGAGAAAATATAAATAAGGTAATATTTGTAAATGCAGAATACTTAGTGGTTGACATATTGTATATCTATTTTACTCATATTACACATTTAGTTAACATTTCATTTCTAGATCACATAGATATAAATATTGATATAAAGGAAATACATTTAAAGATGATTTTGCTTATATTCGTTATGGGTAGAGGCAATAATCCTAAGTAAACTAATGCAAGAACAGAAAACCAAGTACTGCATGTTTTCACTCATAAGTAGGAGCTAAGTATTGAGCAGATACAGACATATATATGGGAATAATAGACACTGTAGACTACTAGAGGGAGGATGGAAGAGGGATGGGTTAAAAAACTACCAGGTACTATGCCTACTATGGTTAATGGGATCCATACCCCAAACCTCAGCATCCTGCAATATTCTTATGTAACAAATCTGCACATATAACCCTTGTATCTAAAATTTAAATTTAAATTTAAATAAGAATGGGACACAGGTCGGATCAGACATGTCACCAAAGAAGATATAAAGATGTCAAATAAATTTCTTAAAAGATGCTCAATGTCATTCGTCATCAGCAAATTGCAAAGTAAAACAATGAGACACTACTACCTACCAATGAGAAAGACTAAAGTAAACACGAACAAAAATTACGTGACTGCAGCTGATCAGAAAATGAAAACAAAAACAAACAAACAAAAACTGGCAATGATGCTACAAACACATGTACAAGCTTTTGTATGGGCATATGTTTTTCTTTATCTAAAATATACACCTAGGAGTGGAATTGCTGAGTCATATATTAATTCTATGTTTAATCATTTGAGGAGATGCCAGATTGTTCCAAAACAATTTTTTGATAAGACTGTCTTTTTTATGTCGAATAATCTTGACACATTTGTTAAAATCAGTTGACCATAACTGTATGAAATGATTGCTAGATACTCCATTCTATCCCATTAATTCATATGTTTATTCTTGGGCCTGTACCACACTGTCTTGAATACCATTAAGCGACCATGAGTTTTGAAATCAGAAGTTGTAAACCATATTACTTTGTTCTTTTTCAAGATGATTTTGGCTACTCTGGGACTTATATAATTCCATTAAAATTTTAGAATTAGTTTTTCACTTTTTGTAAAGAAGTCAGCTTGGATTCTAATATGTATTATGTTAATCTTGGAGACAGTTTGGAGAGTATTGCCATGTTTACATACTTTAAGTCTTCCACTCCAAGAATAGAAGGTACTTTTTTTTTCATTCATTTAGAGCGCTGTTATTTTCTCCCCAAATGTTTAGTAGTATTCAGAGTATATGTTTTGTGTGTCTTTTCTAAATTATAATTTTTCCTAAGTATTTTATTTTTCATGCCATTGTGAGTGAAATTGTTTTTCTAATTTTATTTTCAGATTGTTCATTGCAAGTGTATAGAAATAAAACTTCATTTTTGTACATTGATCATATATCTTTCAACAATACAGGATTCAACCTTGTCAAATTAAAAAAGCTATAATAGGTTTTTGGGAATTCCTTATGACTTTCTATATATAAAATCACTTGGAGAGTGGGTGAAGTGGCAGCCGAGGTCTTCTCCATTTGCCTCTCCTGGTGTGAAATCAATACCCCGTAAGTTGAGGCAAGAATGATCTGGGCCCTAGTATTCTCATCATGCCATATAGAAGGTGGTTTGGCAGCAAAAGGGAGACACCACCTCACTACTGTACTCACTTGGGGCTTAGAAACAGGTAGGTAGAAGCAAGATGATAAATGTTAATGTCATACTTCTTCAGGAAAGAAAACTCTCTGACTGGGATTTGTGGGAAAGAGGGAGCCCCAGTTCTCCCTTGCAGCAGTCTGAAGTGAGGTCTATGCCTCACTGAGCTGGCACGGAGGAAGCAGGGGTGTCTTGGGTTAAATACCACCGACTCAACGTTTTTAACTGAATTTTTATAGGTTTTCATATATAAATATTTCTTTATTTGTTGTTTTCTCTTGAACATTCGTCATATATATATATTCATGTTTCACAGAAGAGCAAGTCATTTATATATCTATATATATATATGACAATATAAAATGACTTATATAGACGACAGTGTGGTGCTGGCCCAAAAATAAACGTATGAGTTAATGGGATATAATGGAGTATCCAGCAATAATTTCATACATTTATGGTCAACTGATTTTAACAAATGTGTCAAAAGTATTCAACATAAAAAGGATAGTCTTATCAAAAAATTGTTTTGGGACAAGTAAATAGCCACATGCAAAATTGAGCTCTTACTTCACATCATATAAATAAAGTAAAAATAAATAGTTCAAAGATCTAAATGGAAGAGGTAAAACTATAAACTTCATAAAAGAAAATATATGGGCAAATATTCATGACCCTGGATTTCACAAAGTATTCTTTCCTATGAACCAAAAGCAAAAACAACAAAAGATAAAAACAGATAAACTAGACCTCATCTAAATTAAACACATTTGTACCTCAAAGGATACCATCAAGAAGGTGAAAAGACAATCTACAGAATGGGAGAACATATTTTCAAAGCATACATATGATAGAGTCTTTATTTAGAATATATAAAAACTCTTACTACTTGTAATAAAAAGACAAATAACCCAATATTAAAGAAAGCCATAAGTTTATAAATAGACATTGCCCCAAGGAAAATATCCAAAAGGCCAATGAGCTCATAAAGAGATGATTGACATCATTATTCATCAGGCAAATGCAAATAAAATCATGCGAGACACTACTTCACACCCACTAGAAAGGCTAGAATTAAGAAGACAGATAATAACAAGTATGTGTAACAATATGGAAAAATAATAACCCTCATACACTACTGATGGAAATTTGAATTGGTACAGCCACTTGGAACAGTCTGGCAGCTACTCAAATGATTAAACATAGAATTGATATATGACTCAATAATTCCACTTCTAGCTGTATATTTTAGATAAAGAAAAACATATGCCCATACAAAAGCTTGTACATGTGTTTGTAGCATCATTATTTATAGTAACCAAAAGGTAAATGCAATCTAAATCCATCAACTGATGAATGCAAAGGTGGTATGTCCATAAAATGAAATGTTATCCATAGAAAAGAATGAAATACTGAAGCATGTTACAATAAGCATGAGCCTTGAATTCATTATGCTAAGTGAAGCAAGCCAACCACAAAATACAACATGTTATATGTTCCATTTCATATGAAATGTCCAGAATATGAGGACCTACAGAGACTGAAACTAGATGGGAGATTGCTTAGTTTTAGAATGAGTGACATGGTAAAATGGAGTAATAGCTAAAGGGTATGTGGCTTCTTTTTGAAATGATTGATATGTTTTAAAATTGATTGACTGTGGTGATAGTTGCACACATTTGTAAATATGCTGAACATCACTGAGTAATAAATTTTAAAATAATACATTTAAAAGGAGAAAATAGGAGCTATCTTATGAATGAATTTAAGATATGGATGAATCTTAAATGAATATTGCTAAATGAAACAACCCAACCTGAAAGGGAGATATACTGTAATGATTCAAATTATATGACATTCTAGAAAAGGCAAGACTTTCAGTGATAAAACAATTAGAGTTTGCCAGAGGAAGGCGGGTAGAATAGGACAAGTGGAGTACAGTTGGAAATTGCAGAATTACACTATATAATATAGCAATGATGGATTCACCACACTGTGTGTTTGTCAAACTAGTAGAACTTTACAAAACAAAGAGTGAAACTTACCATGTGCAATGTAAAATAAATCATTTGGGGGCTGGGAAATATAAAGAAGGAATTCAAAATGTGACAAAAATGTAACTATCTTTCAAATTTATGAAACAACTGTACAGAAGTTTAGCTTAATATAAATAAATACAGTTAAACTGAGAAACAATTATAGATGTGTGTATATACTTACACCTCTCTTTTCTATGTCAATCCTAGACACAATATTCCCATAGCAATGATTACACTTGGCACCTACATCTTGATATCTAATACCATTGCCACCTACATCTTGGGATCTAATACCATTATCCAATACAAGGAGCCAGGACTCCTTGGAGAGCGATGGATACTAGGGCTAGGGCAGGAATTATACAAGATGAGCCTGCACTATCAGGTAGCGCCAGAGATTAAGAAAGGAATTCAAGAAATCACATTGATGGGGTATGTAAAGCAAGACAGGAACCATATAATAATTTATTGTATATTTCAAAATAGAAGAAAGATTTGAAATGTTCCAAACAGAAATTAATGATAAATATTTGAGGTGATAGGTATCCCAGTTACCCTTACTTGATCACTATACATTGTATGCAGGTATCAAAGTATCATGTGTACTCCCAAAATATGTACAGCTGTTATGTATCAATATAAAAATTTAAAAAGAAAAGTTACCAATAGCCGAAGTTGAAACAATTTGTCCAATAAGATAAACAAAGTAATATCCGATTATAACCCCCCAAAAAATACCATGTGTCCATATTAACATAAATGTTTGATTCAATAAATATATAAATGGGGAAGAGCAGACAAATATTCTGCACAGAAACATTTTAAATAATATATAGAGATGCTCTCCCCTAAAGAAGCAACAGCATAACATCCCATCTTCAGAATATGGTCTGTGCACAGTGACATCTTTTCAAAGAACACAGTATAAAAGGGGAGGTGGAAGGAGAATAACTTTACAATGGAGAAACCTGAAAAACAAAACACCATGCCAGTCAGCTAATCGAAGGCAACATCAACAGCGATGTCATGTTGATAGTACATACTCTTGATATGCTGTTATGAGAATGAAACTTTTTCTGTGTTTCCATCCTCAACACATATAACCCAGCTGCTATCATTTGGATGTCTGTCCCCTCCCCAAACCTTATGTGGATATTTGATCCCCACGATTGGAGGTGTGGCCTAATAGGAGGCGTTTGGGTCATGGGGTCAGATCCCTCATGAATAGATTAATGCCATTCTTGGTAGGTGGGGTGAGTTCTCACTGTATTAGTTCCCACAGGAGTTGGTTGTTTAAAAGAGCCTGGCATCTCCCCTCTTCACCTCTGGCTTGCTCTCTCACCATGTGATCTCTGCATATGATTGCTCCTCTTTGCCTTCTGCTGTGAGCGGAAGCAGCTTGAGGCCCTCATCAGAAGCAGGTGCTGGTGCTGTGTCTCTTGTACAGCCCGCAGTACCAAGAGTTGAATAATTTTTTTCTTTATAAGTTATGAAGCCTCAGGTATGTTTCACAGCAACACAAATGGACTAAGACACCAGCCCAATCATGAGAATAACATCAGAAAAATCCCAATGGAGAAGAATACCTGACCACTACTACTCCCAACTTGCAATAGTCAAATACAAGGAAAGTCTGGGACACTGTTAAAATCACAAGAAACCCACAGATAGTGCAGTAAAATTTAACATGGTATTCTTAATGGGACAATGAAATAGAAAAAGGACATCAGGTGGGAACTAAGGAAATTTGAAAAAAAATAGATAATACTGTGCCAACATCTGTTTATTAATTCTAACCAGTATACCATACTGATACAACAACAGGGGAACCTGGATGCAGAGCATATGAGCGCCATCAGTACTATCTTCATCTTTATTTTTGTAAATCTAAAACCATTCTAAATTTTAAAAATACAAAAATTAGTGAGTATTAAGCTAATTGTAGTCATAATGAAATTAGTAGAATAAAAAATTGGTAAATACTTTATTGATAGTAGTAGATAATAAAATCATCATTCCAAATATACACACACATACACACATCTGATAATAATATAGACCATATTTTTGTTGCCTTAGTTTCAGATAATTTGTGTGCATTTGTTAATCTACTGTGATTTCCCATATTTGTTCCCCTGACAGTTTGTGCATATTTCAATCATAATATTTGGCATTTGTAACAGATATATTCATTTATTTATGTGTCTATATTCCCAGCTAAATTCTTAGTACTTTAGTGACAGACACTGTTCCTTATGTATCTCCTAATAACCTTTTAGATGCACACTCTATTTCAATAAATCATTGATTCACTGAACGAATGAATAAATGAATGAAATAGGGTGTGCGTGAATAGAGTAGTATACTTGCATGGCTTTCATACGTGCACACACCCATGCATATACACACACATACACGTATATACTCTGTGTGTGTATGGATGGATAAACAGGTAAACAAATTTTAAAATATTACTAAATTACTACAAAATAGCAGAAAGCATTCAGTACAGTTTTTATGTATTTAATAATGTTTCAAATCCTATATAATGCATTATATATCTTTTTTCTTCTTCCCTAATCTCTTATAATCACTAATATCCTTTATATAGAGAGAACATTTATTGTATACTAGACACTGATATTTATTGTTATTTACTAAAAGTAAAATAAGATCCAGATATTAATGGTCAGAAAATACAGCAGTGAAGACAGATTATAGCATGCAAAATTAATAAAAATACTGATAGCATGTAGCCATACATACTCAAGTCCTAGTTAGGAGATAGGCACTTTATTTGGTTCCTTAGCAACTAGTACCTAATTTTGGTATAGAATTTATCCTGCTGTTTTGTAATTGAGAATTTACTTCCTTAGCACATGGTTTAGATTTTCATCCCTGTGAGAGTATGGATTTTTTTATTCATCAATCAAATTCCGAACCTAATAAAATGTTTGGCACAAAGCAGTGACTCAACTGAGACATGTTTAATCTAACCATTCGTCACTTTCTATATTAAAATCTCGTGCATTTTTCAAGGTGGTGCATGACTCCACCTATATTTTTGAACATCATTTTCTAAATTATTGAACTATACAAGGTTTTCTTATGTTTTTCCTCATGAAAATTCAATGTCTGTCTTTAATATGCTTAACTCATTCTATTCCCTATTCTTTCCAGCTTGCAACAGCCCATTTTCTTTCTGATAACCTCTTGTCCAAATCCCACCTGAATTCCAAGGCACACATTATTAAAATTTCCTCCTTTATTTTTTAAATTATATACATAAGCTCTCACAAACCTAGCCTGTATTTCAAAAATTTCCTATTTATTTTAGTCCATTTTTTGTGATTTAATTTTATTTTGAAATATAGTTACTAATGTCCATTTTTGTATCATTTTACAAATAGAAACCTTGAATTGAGACATTTTTATATTCCCTACAATTCATTTCACAATCCATGACGTATGCTCACTAAACACATTTTTAAAAGGGCTATGAAACTAAAAAACAAGCAGCAAACAGTATGTATCTTATAGTAGCTTAATTACTATCAAACATTTCAAAGCTAGGTTTACTTGCTAATTCTGTTATATAATTTCAACACTAACAAAATGAGGTGTCCTTAACTTAACGGTCAAATATTCTATTGTTTATGAAGATTTTGTAATAAGTAAAATGTCTCCAATTTTAAAGTAAAATGAAAAAAGAAAGTATGCCCAACACTAAGTAGACCACAACAATGGCAGGAAAATAATTTGCATTAAAAATGACTAGATTAAATAAATAATAATTATTATCACAATGTTAGGACAAGATTTTTTTTTATTTTTGGTATTCGTGATTTAATTCCTTCTCTGTGAATCATGCTATAGAGTAGATTTTCACTGGCTGAATAATCAGCTGTTTTTGATGTTGCAAATATAGATTTACAGTTAAAAAGTTCCTAATTTCACTTAAAAAATAAATTATCTTATGGAAAAATGGTAAAGTCTATGACATAATGTCGGATGCAAACTATTTCAGTGATGTGGAACCTTGGGAGAAAGCTACTTGTTATCATTCAATGACTATGATATCATAATTGACTAAAGCTTAATGAAAATATGCTTCCATAAGGTAGTAAACCATCAGCTTGTTATTCACAAGTAAGTAAATATTGATTCTAATTCAAGTGCCTAGAAAAAGTTGTATTTTAAGTAGTTAGTAGAAGAAAGCATCTTATTAATTTAAACTAGCAAAGATATTTTATACAACTAAAATTGGTATAAAATTTATATGAAGTTGTTTCATATACTTATGAAGTTAAACCATGCTTCTACCTACACCAAAGGCTTAAAAAAGACGTAAGTATTGGGTAAAAACAATTACTAGAATGACATCTCTTCATTTATAATATTCTTGTGGTTTAGGCACTTTAAAAATAGTGATATCTACTTTGGGAAAATGATTTATTTAAAAGGAAAAGTTTATTTTCTTCAACATTGTTATCTCCAAAGTTACTTACATTTGACCTTAGAAATTAAAATTACTGTATATTACAAAAAATAACTTTTAAAATGTGAACTTGAGATATGCTCCTATGAAGTAATGTTATGACATAAACTTAAGACAAGTATAATTGTTTATAATACATTTAGAAAAAAAAATAGGCCTCTGCTTTTCCAGTCTATCTTACATTCAAAACAGCAAAGCCTTATTTCTTAGATTATAGTTATAAGCAAAAAGCTATTTTTCACTTGAATTTTGATGAGAAATTGAGAAATGAGGTGGACACCTTACTTTATCTTGTATTTATATGAAATATTAAGGGGATAAAATAACTTTATTAATAATTGTACATGCATTAGCTAAATAAAATCATATATCAAAAATTTAAAAGATTTACCTATTAATTTTGGTTACTATTTTCTATAATTACAATGGTGAAATATATTATAATTGGTAAATTAGATCATTTATTCATGCATTCAAGATATATTTGAATATATTTGATGAGTATATTAAAAACCAGACACAATAGTGGTCACACTAGACAAGGTGTCTCGCTCACAGAGTTCACAGCATAATGTGGATTATTTAAACCATAATCAAAAGAAAGTTTGTGCCCAGAGTTATAAGTTTTCTGACTTGTTTAAAAGCTCTGATCTACCTCTCCTACCTTCCAAATTTACTTTTGCTATTTTATTTTATTTTATTTTAATTTTATTTTTGACAGAATCTCGCTCCATCGCCCAGGCTGGAGTGCAGTGGCAGGTTCTCGGCTCGCTGCAACCTCCACCTCGGAGGTTCCAACGATTCTCTTGCCTCAGCCTCCTGAGTAGCTAGAATTACAGGCGCACACCACCACACCTGGCTAATTTTTTATATTTTTGGTAGAGATAGTGCTTCACCATTTTGGCCAGGCTGACCTTAAGAGATCTGCCCGCCTCTGCCTCCCAGAGTGCTGGTATTAGAGGTGTGAGCCACCGTGCTCAGCCGCTTTTGCTTTTAGGAAATCAGTTACAAATATTTTCCTCCTAAGTTCTAATACAAGGAATTAAATCTTGTATGTGTCAGATATTATGGGATAATATGCAACATAATGTTGGTGAAAGTATATAGTATGTAAAATTAATATTGAATGGTATTTGTATATTCCAAAAGCTTCATCAATCACAGTTGCAAATAGGTAGCTGTAATATTGTAGATTAAATTTGCCAAATGAGACTTTATATAATGAGTATGTATAAGGGCATTAAAAATTTGTAAACCATTCTTCTAATTTTATTTATGTAATTAACCCTTGTTTTTTTTTCTAAGTTAATACTACCAATTATATTTTTCTGATTAAAAAAAATCAGAAAAAAAGTCAATATGTAGTAGTGACTAATAGTTTGGTCACAGAGAGTAAATAGAATGATTGTCTTTTCCTAAATGAGGATGTTTAACACCATAAATGTACTATAATTTCAGCAAGCAAATTGAGACATAAGACAATAATTATTTTATCTGCAAGTTGAATTTCTTTTTTTAAAGATAAATCATCCTTGTTTTCAACCAGTTATATACAGATAGTTTCTTATTGTTCTTTGTTAACCCTTCTTTCTTAGAGATTAGGTAACCATAAAAGCATGTTTTCTCATTAGTATTTCCTACATTCTAGTCTATTTTACCTGAGATTGTGTAGCCAGATTATACTCATAGAGATTAAGAGAATGGAATCAGAAATACTCATTTTAAGTCTCTAGAAAACAAAACAACAAATGAGAAAAATAGAATATCAAAGACGGAATGAATTCAAAACAATGCATTTACAAGACTTACATTTACGTAGTCTTTGCCATATTTAAAACTATGTGTTGTAACAGTAAAAAAAAAAAAAAATGAAGTACTATGTTTCATGAATATTCCTGAGATTTAATGCAGTGGTTGGCAGTTTTTGGTATAGTAGAATAAATGTGTTAGACTGTTATTTGAAAAGATTGAGTTACACGGCATTATAAATTGGTATTCCTGGTAAACTGGCATACTTTCCTTTGCTTTATGAAATCATAATGCCTCAGCAAAACTCTCATAGTACCTAATACTATTTTATGTGTATTAAAAAGAAAAATATTCAATTAATGTTTTCAAAGAAAATGTCCAAGTCTTAAATTGTTTCAACATGTCTAATATTGCTTAGTCACTTTTCTGTTGAGATATCAAAACATTGAAGAATAAATCTGTTTTTCAATGTGCATACTAGAAAGGGAATTTTATACAAGAAACACCACTTTTTAGGCTCAGAAGGAATGGATAAACTTTGGCAAGTTATTCATCTCTAAGGATAAATTTTTGGAATAGGACATTCAAACTTCATATAACAAATTTATATACATATATAAATATACATGTATTTATATATAACAATTTAAACAAAATACATATTTATACATAAATATATATAAATACATATATATTTCACAAGCTATGTTGTAAATGGTAGTTTAATATTTTTCTCAACACTGTATGGTTACAAACAAAAATGAACAAGTATTACTCTATTTTTTTTCTTTTCTGGTTGACTTATAGCAAACATATTAAAAAAGACATCAATTCTTCCACAAAGTAAAAATTGACTGTGAAATTGTATGTCCCTCACAAGTACTACTGCACTCACATTGTTAGTTTTAGCTTATGGATAACACAACAGAGATATCCATGCTATGATAGAAAATCAGCAGACTAATTAAACATTTTAAATCATAATGTTGAGTAACAATATTTTAAAAATTAATAGAGAGTTAAGAGTAGAATCAAGAATATAGTTAACAGTGGATAGTGATCTATCTCATAGAAGATTATCATCATTGGGGGATAAGACATTGGCAGAGGATATGGAAAATAACGCATACATTTTAAATTTATTTGTTGACAATAATCAATAGGACTTAATGAAGAATATGGTGTAGGTTAGGGAAAGGAAAAAAATAAATACTAGACTTTCAGAAAATATGGAGAATTAGAAAAAGAAAACAATTCTCTAGCCTGGGCAACAAGAGTGAAACTCCATCTCAGAAAATAAATAAGTAAGTAAAGAAAGAAAGAAAAAAAAGTTTGTGATATGAGGAAAAGAAAAATCAAAGACATATAAAGGCAAACTTTTCAGTAATTTAGTAGATTGTCAAATTTTCAAAATATACATTTTGGAAAATTAGTGAAAAATTTTAAACAGTTGTGTCAAATAGCAGTTTAAATGGCACGTAATTATAAGATATATATGTCACTATAAGAGAAGGCTTCTAGAAAAAAATAGATTGATATAATTTGTAAGAATTGTTATATCCAGTGCTTTATAGAATGTTTTCCTTTTATTATGCCAATTTCAAGGATAAAAATGAATTGAATCCTTTCAATTTTATTGTAGAAATAATTCTAGAATAAAGAAAAGTGGATTATAAATTATCTACAAGAATTGATTCCAATAATCTGTCAGTTAACTTTAGTAAAGTACTGTAATTCTTATTATCTTCATTTGAAGGAAATTTTTAATATCTCCATTGTCTTACCATTAAGTACTTCACTACTTGCTTTTCATCCTAATCTCTCTTGGAGATCATTTATAATGTATGTTCTTCATGTTGATGAATATTTAAAATCAAGCATCTGTGATTGGTAAACATGGTAAAGCAGAAAATCTGAAATATATAAGAAGTTTTTTCACTAATAGTTTACTTTTTGCTCACACAAGGGACCAAATTTACACACAGTTTGATTAGATTATGTGACATTTAAACAGCACACAATAATACACAGTGCCAAGTCATAAGTTAAATAGCATAGTGATTAGTGTAAAATTGAGTCAATATCAAATATTAGTAATTAAAATTGCTAGAGCCTTGGAAAACAAAATGCATTATTTCAAGGGGTCTAATTTTTTGTGTTTTCTTTTAATTTAAATCTGCCCCCAATTGGTTTACTTGTGCCTTCAAAAATGTATGCAGAAAAATATTCATACTTTCTGTGTTCCATAGAATATTTTTAAATATAATAGTCTACACAGATAGTCTATATTTATGTAATGAAACTATGTATCCATATTCATTCCATAAGGAAATAGTGGCAATGGATATTTAAAAGCTCATTTTTTTTTGTTATTATCCATCCTCTTATTTCTGATTACATAAAACCTAAGTCAAATAAACATGTTTTTACAAAATCTACCTTTGAATATTTTTTATAACCTCTCTAAATCTTTTAAAAAATTAATTTCATTCAGTAACACATTAGTCCAGTAACAGAAGGACTAATGTTTATTTGCATCCTACGAATTAGAAAAACACAATTTTTAAACCTAATTATATGAATATTATAGAAACCTACTCCAATAGGAATTAAAATATCAAAAGTATTTGATTTCTATGAATAATAATGAAGTGTATATATAATATATAAAATATCACTATTAAGTTTACTAATATTTATATTTGCATTCCAAATGTATATCATCATGTATGTGTATTTAAATAGGAACAACCAGTGGTTTCACCTATGCTTATGCATTTTTAGAAAAGTGATTATTATGCAAATCCCTCTACATTAATCACATCTACAAATAAAATTTACAGCTCTCATTTTAAATTAGCACAGGTTATATTTTTATATTAGTCACGAATTTTAACCACACTTTGTTGAGGAGGACAACTGCAATTTAAACCCTTTAAAAGCTGAAAACATAACACAACTTTTAAAATTTGACAAAAAAAATTAAAAGAATTCAAAACCAATCTGTTTCGTGCCAGATAACTCATTCGATTAGGTGATAGAAAGGATGAAATACTGCCTGTATTTTAAATGTTATTTCTGAGTTGCAAAATCAGTGTTCTACATTTTAACATTATTTGTGAGATTTGTCTATAGAAAATCAAACTGAAAGAGTATATCAGTAAATTACATTTTGTTTTTTAAACACAAAAGGGCTAGCAAAATCAAACCAACTGTGTTCCAAAAAGTAATAAAGCTCTGGCCAAAGAGATCATCTGTTTATCTTTGTCTTAGCTTCATTATTTATAAGAAAGTGAAAAATGTGCAAACTTTACAAGGTTTCTTCTATGTGTCAAACACCATTAGACATTTTATACAAAGTTTTTAACACTTTTTTTCAAAGTACACAATACACGCAAAAAAGTTCAATGTTTGTAGAGCTTGGTTAATTTTTAAAAAGTGAACACACTTGTGATTAATTTTTTAAAATCCCTCAGTCAAGAAGCAGAATCTGACCCCAAATATAACCCTAAGCCTAACTCAAATTCAGAATTGGCCGTTGTGCCACTTTTCAGTCATGGCATCAGAAGGGATAAACTTCTTGCACCATAGATATTACTGTTTTAAAAATTTATATAAAATGGATTATACCTTATGTGTCCTGTTGTGTTTTAAACCTTTCCTTCTCATATATTGGTGAGCTTTTCCCATATAATTCAGTAAAATTGTAACTAGTTCATTTTTCTATGTAATGTTTCCTTCGTGAATATAACATGATTTATTTATTCATTCTGGTGCTCGCGAGCATTTGTTTAATTTCTAATTTATGACTATCATGAATAGTACTAATGTTAGTATGCTTATACATATTTTATTGTAAATATACATGTCTTTCTGATGACTATATACCTAGGAGTTTAATTGTGGAGTTCTAAGGTGTGCATACATTAAGCTTTAGTGCATACTACCAAACCACTTTCAAAGTTGTTTTTCTTTACATTTCTCAGCAGTAAACAAGTTTAATATACATGTGTGTATATAATATTCTATTGTATAAAATATGTAATTTCAAAATACTACATAATAACACATATGTTTTTGGCTAGCAGCTCTATGAGGTAAGTGATTTTATCATTATGTGCAGATATAAAATTAGCTCTAGAAGGTTTTTAGGTAACTCTTTCAAGTCACATGACTAGTAACACACTGAAAATCACAACCAAAACCTTTCCAGTAATGAGGCTACATTTTTATATTTTAGGAATAATGGCTCATTATTTTAGCATCAGTTTCCAACTCTGAAAGGCCTTCTTGACTCCTCTGCTGATGAGGAGTTTGCATAGTTTTAAAGAGTTCAGCTGATGACAAGACTGTAATTTCTTGGAAGATTGCCCTAGCAGAGATTTCCATAAAACTTTCCAGTAGTTTATGGACCACAGAATTCAAAATATGCCCTGGCACTAAAATTAAAAAAAAAAAAAAACTTTAAGTCAAACACTTTAAATATAAGAAGTTTGTCTCATTATACAAAAATACCCTTAATAAACTTACGTAAATTTAAAGAACAATCATTTAGCATTTATCTTTTGTTTCTAGTTGAAACTATACATCTCCACTGTGTAAAAGAAAACTCTTAACACAGCTCTAGCTAATAGTTATAAAATTAATGATGAAATTAGGAAACTTTCATTTTGCAATTTTTATGTAATTATAGAATTAAGAGTCATCACGACTGCTAAACCCATTAAGTAAAGAATAATTGAAAAACAGGGAACTTATAAGATGCCAAAACATCACTTTACAGATTGCCAGCAAATTCAGGTGGTGGGGCTGGTGAAAGTACATTTACAAAGGCAGTCACTACCTTAACCAGCTGATAAATTCTAGCACCAGTAAGTGGGAACTGGTCATTTTATGTGTGTCCCGGTATGATATAATATGTAGAATGCAGTATTTTACCTATGTGGAGTTCACCAGGGATGTTTAACTTAAATTTAGTTACATTTTTTAGAAACAGTCAGACAAATCCAAAGTGTAGAAAAATCTACAGAAAACTAGCCTGATCCCTTCAATGAGGCAATGTAATTCAAACATGTAATTATTTTCTTAAATGGTGAGACTGTTAGGTTAAATAGCTTAACAACAAAATGGAATGTGTGAAATGTCTGTATTTAAAGCTGAGAGTAGGAAAAGAAATGAGCACAGAGAGAAAAATGTATACAGTAAATTGATTAAGTTCCTGCTGCTCACACTAGTTTTACTAAATTCATAACTTGTTCATATCTCCAACAAAGCACCGAAGGGAGCAATGAAAATTAAATTCATAATGTCTGCCAATTTCATGGGAATAGAGGGGATTGGACATAAGCTTTACACAAGCTTTACAATTATGCCAAATCTCTTTGAATTTTTACCTTTAGCAAAGAAATTATATTTCATGCTCTTGCATGCTGTGTGGCCCATAATTTTACTTTGATTGGCATTACCATTATTAGTTAAATTTAACTGAACCGAACATTAAAAATGTTAAAACTTTGGTGTACTGTAAATATATATATTGCATATAATAACTTTATAAATAAAGATAATATTAAAGGTAAAGAATAATTTCATTACTATTATTTCTGGATTTATTAAATTCATGCTTTAGTCTTAAGTATACACACATATATTTGTATTTAATATACATTAATATTCATATATACTCACATTTATATTTGATATATAAATATTCATATATATTTATATATATTATCAAGATCTAATTTATTGATCCTTGTTTCTGTATCATGCTTGACCTTAAAATCTAATCTTCATGCATGGGTTCAATTACATGTTTCTGTAATGCCCCACATTGATTCTTAAGTATGATCCAGTATGTAGAATCTAGCAATTTTGCTGATTCATGGCTATATTTGGGATAGTAAGTTATCCCATAGAAGGAAATATATTTAGAGATTCAACAGTCCTGCGAAAATAATATCCAGTCTCACCACTTACTATTTACTGTATAGCTGCTAGATGTAATTCATGGTCACCTGAATCTTTAAGATATTATTAATTATGCTAATTTTGTGTAATCCTAGAGATTACAAAGCTTATTACTTAAGTAGAACATGGAGGTTACTGAAAATTAACTATCTCTATCTCGCTTCTCTTGATGGCCCAAAGTTGTATCTCTGCTTGCTGTTATTTCCTTTCCCATGATTACCAACATGGCTAATACTTCTTCCCTGTGTATATAATTTTATATTTTCTGCTTTATTAGATACCATTTACATACTCTTCTTCATATAAATTGAATTTTCACTTTTTTCCACTGCTTCCTTTCTTTCAGCCTAAATAGAATAATAAAGTTTCTATCAGCCCTACCGTATTACAGATAACTTCATTTTTATCACATATTTACTTATATATGTGTTCCTCCAACTAACCTGTGTGTTATTGAGTATTAGAAAATTTGTATTATTTATTTACTTATTTCACTCATATATTTTAAAATAGTGTCTCCCAATAAATTATAATCTTGAGTGAAAATCATTTATTATGAATTTTTCCCTCTTTTTGTAGTTACTGGCCCAACACTTGAAATGTAGGAGGTACATATATATGCATTTATGTAACAAAGTATAGATGTCAATATTTATATGTTCAAATATATGTATGTGACTTATATGTGTGTACATGCATATATTCTACAAATGTGTGTGTTCAAAAACATATCTGACATTTAGAGAAAATGTCCCTAATTCTAACTTTTAAATTAAACAGATTTTATTTTTATAAAGAGAAGCATACAAAACTCCTATAGTTTAGAAAAGATATCCTATTATAAACTGTATTCATGTATCTTTAAGCATCATCCTGCTTTAAGTTAAGCTGGGCTCTACATTGCAGACTCTGCTTCTGCTGTGGCACTGTTGAATTGTAGGTGTATATACACCAACTACCCCATTTAACTCTCAGATTATTAGATGATAATACCCAGTTTTCCTTGTTGTCATCATTCACAAGTGACTGAATCACACCCTCTCGTTTCTTAGAGATTTTAGTCACAGGGGAAATATTACTCTTTCCACCATTTTCGTCATAGATCTTATCTACTTCAGAATCCACTAAATCATCCTTTATGACTTCTCACTCAATGTCCCTTTCAATCTTCCATAAACCCTTTACACCTCTGACATCAAAACTAGACTTTTTCATTGTTAATACCTTCAATCTCCTCTTAATTGCAAGTATAGCAGCCTCCCACCACTACCTTCTTTCGCCAGCTCATCCTCCTTTGACATTGCTAATCCAACAATCAAAGCAATATTGACTTTATTGTTAAAATATTTACATTCATATATTTTGGGAAGTAAATTCTGTGTTTATATGCTCCCACATATCTTCTACTATTGTGGATAAACTGTTTTTGCTCTTGTTCAAAGCTACTCCTCCCCTTTGCACTAGATACCATTATCATTGTCCTACTCTATGAAGTAAAGGATTTCAACCCGCTCTCTCCGGCATCTGTAAATTTCCTTCTCTATTCAATATATGCATAAGCATATCAATGAACTATATTTTTTTCAACATTAGGAAAAAGAAAAAAAATGTTATGATAGTTTACCCTCAAAATATCAACCTATTTTATGCTCTACTTTATAATAAATTTCTATTAGACAATAACTATTCATTCTGATTTTAAATCTCTGCTTTCATTCCTGAGTGTGCTTTCTTCAGACTTTCCTACCCAGTTCCTAAAATAAATCAATGTGTTATGGTCAGCAACGAGTGTCATATTGCTAAATCTAAGGTTTGATTTTCAGTTTTCAGCTTATTTGATCATTCTGTCTTAGAATATTTTTAATATGATTTCCAAAATATCACACACTGATGGTTTTCCAGTCTCCTTTCTGGTCACTTCTGCTTTTCTTATTTTTACTCTTCTTGATTACATCTAAATGTTGAGGGACTAGGAAGCACTGGAGATCTATCAATGCTATTATTCTTAGACCTAATTCATTACTTTAATAGATGTATAGTACGTGAAAGTGTAATGTTACACTTACTAAACCATTCCTCTATTGTTGGTCAAATATTACATTTCCTATTGTCTAATATTGCAAACAATATAATAATAAACAATCATCTGTATGTTTCTATTTGTAATGTTTCATGATTTTTCAAGCTTAAATATCAAAAAAAGATTTCCCTCTTTAACAGAAGTAACTTTTTTTTACTTACACTATCAAATAAATGATACAGGATATGTACTGATTCCCCCACTTACTAGTCAACACTCCATTATTAAATTTACTGTCTCAATATAATATCATCAAGGTTTATCCAGGTTATCACAAATGACAGGATTTTCTTCTTTTGTTATGGCTGAATAGTGTTCTATTATGTATATATAATAGGTTTGCTTTATTCATAAATTGATTCCATATCTTGGCATTTGTAAATAATGCTGCAATGAACATGAGAGTACAAATATATCTTTGATGTACTGATTTTATTTCCTTTGGGTACATAGTAGTAGGCTTGCTGCATCATATAGTCATTCTATTATTTTTTTGAGGAAGCTCCATACTACTTTCTATAATGCTTATACTAATTTCTATCACAACCAACCGGTGCAAGAGTTCCCTTTACATCACACCCTTGCCAAAACTTACCTGTGGCTTATTTACAATAGTCATTCTAACAACTGTGAGGTAATTCTAACAACTGTTAATATAATTGAGAGAGGAAGCAGTTAGATGTTGGTTAGGCAAATAAGGAAGGTCTTGGGAGTGGAAAAATACCCATGGGACCACACCTGCACTGCCCCTGTAGCTAACAGGAAGAAATGGGTTAAAAATTTTTCCTTATGTCAGGATTTGCTCAGAAGGGGTGATCCCAACTTAGGCACAGGTACAATAAGTCAGCCTAAATGTTCTTAACTTGACCCAACTCATTAAAATATTATTAATATGACATGAACGTTGTGATTGTTAGCCCCACCTACCATGGGTTTCACTTAGGCACTCATTGGTATTAACCAAGATGAAGTCACTCTAGCCAACCCCAGGCATGTGCAGATGCAACACCTTTGGGGGAAACTTTACCCCTCCCATATTGGGCAGAACCAACAGAAGACTTGCTTCTGCTTGCCACATAAAACACCCAGAATTTAGCCCCATCTCTGGCAACTTGCTCTCAAGCACCCTCTCTTTGCTGAAAGATTTCTTATTTCTTAAGTAATCCTACTCTACTCATTCTCTGATGCCTATGTGCCTTATTCTTGGTCATGACACAAGAACTCAGACACAGCTGAACTAAGGACTAAGCCAGCTGAACTAAGGACTAAGGCGACTACAACATTTTGGGATCTCATCTGGGATCATTGGAAGGGTGAGTAGGAGCAGACTTCTAATTTTTTATTTTCATTTCCGAGGATTCTTGTCCTCAGATTTTTTTCAAGATCAAATAAAATGCTGAGCCTCTATCGGCCACTTTAGAGCAAACAGCACATCTGCCAGACTAAAGACTCAGAGGACAGGCTTGCTAGAGAGGACTTTGTCAATCCACCATTGCCCTCGGGTGTTGAGAATGTTTGCTGCGTTCCAGTCCAGTTTCTCTTTATGGAGGTCTAGCCATCCCATGGAACTGGAAGGAGGTCCTGTGGCAACTGAGGGTATCAGGATGAGGCTACCACACAGTCTTACCCAAATGCCCCTAGACTAACTTCAGTACCCATCAGCCCATTACAGTGTCAGCACCAGGACTTCCAGGCTTTTTGTATCATATTTTCTCTGTTTTTTTTTTTAATTTTGCAGCTGTTATGGCTTCAATTTCTTCTTTGTATGCAAAGTTGCATGTGCTTTTGCAGCCTGGAGATATAATTTTGTTCGGTAAAATCAGCAGGTGCCTTAGCAAACAGAAATGCAGCTCAAAGGGTTTTTTTTGTGTGTATGTGATTTCCTTGAGACAGGGGGATTTCAAGGTTTCAGTCTAAGGACTTCTTTTTCTACCTATGATGTCTATAGATGACACAGTATAGAAAGATATTTCACCCCAAATAGACACCCTCCTCTCCATTTGGCCTGTTTCTTTCCCCATGTGAGAAATCAGCACAATCCAATGAATTTAAGCAGCCCCTCTGTGAAACAAATTAATTTTCTTCTGCTGGGAAGCATATTGTGGGACAGCCTATCAAGCCCCAAACCTCTCTTTCCAAATTCTGCATTAAAAGAATGGCCGGGCACAGTGGGTCATGCCTATAATCCCAGCACTTTGGCAGGCCAAGGCAGGTGGATATCTTGAGGTCAGGAATTTGAGACAAGCCTGACCAACATGGAGAAACTAAATTTCTACTAAAATTTCTACTAAATTTACAAAAATTACAAAATTTACAAAATTACTAAATTCTACTAAAATTACAAAATTACTAAAATCACAAAAATTAGTCAGGCATGGTGGTGCATGGCTGTAATCCCAGCTACTCGGGAGGTTGCAGTGAGCCGAGATCACACCATTGCACTCCAGCCTGGGCAATAAGAGTGAAACTCCATCTCAAAAAAAAAGGTATTTGGAGACAAAGATACAGCTTTACATTTCCATCCCTATTAAGCCACCTGATGAGATGGGACTTCTTTCCTTAGGGAGCCCAATCAGTCTTCTGCCCAAAACTCTTAGTTTTCCAATTACATACCTCCCTCTGGCCACTCAGCAGAGGCCATGTCCCTTGCCCCATTTGAAAATAAAAAAAAAAAATTACCTTATGATAGGGAGGAAGAAGAAAGCCTAGGCAGACAGATGTTTGCTTCTATGCTGTCTCCACAGAAGGAAAGGAACCAGCCTGACATGTAGGTTCTTTAGAAGCATCTCTTTCGTCTCCAGGTGCAATAGCACTTAGACAAAAATGAGGAACTATATTTGGAGATTAATCATTCCCATTTTCTGGCATGTCTTATTCTGGCCCAATCTCTGAACTGCATAATGAAGAAAGAATTTAGGGACTGCCTTAGAAGGTCCCCTCCATTGAGGCTTTTGGCCCAAATTCAGCTATCCCAGTGTCTCTTTGGGGGCCCAAGATGGAAATCTAGAAAGGCAACTAGGCTAGGATGGCAAAGAATCCAAAGCGAAGGAATAGGACAGGTAAGCATGATTACACATGGCAACTAGCCCCCAGAATCCATGGATGAAGGTAATGCTTCCATCCATTGGTGGCACCTATGAAGGTCACTGGGACCCAGAGGATACAGAGAGGGTCACAGCAGAAAGAAAAAAAAAAAGTGTTTTTTATTTGGGTTTTTTGTTTTTTGTTGGGGTTACAGGAACGCAGCAGGGAATGGGGACTAGTCCAAGACCTCTGCTTCATTAATTAGCCTATGGTTCCAATTCATCTTGTGGTTCCCAAACCCTATAGTTTGCTAACTCAAATACCTGAGGAAACTAAATGGTTCACAGTCCTGGACTTGAAGGAGGTCTTTTTCCACATACCATTACACTCTGACTCCCAATACCTGTTTGCATTTGAGGATATCTCCCACCAAGCCATTCAGTTAACCTGGATGGTGCTGCCTCAGGGATTCTGAGACAGCTCGTACTTGCTTGGGCAGGTCTTGTTAAGAGATCTCTGAGTTTTTTCATCCTCAGGTTAAAGTTTTGCAATATGTAGATGACATTCTCCTCTGTGCCCCAACCAAGGAACCCTCTCAGGAGGGCACTAAGGCTCTTCTCAAATTTCTAGCTGACAGTGGATATAAGGTTTCAAAATATAAGACTCAGTTCTGTCAAACTGTAGTGAACTACCTTGGTCTATCCTTCTCAGAAGTTATCAGAGCACTCAACAAAGAAAGTATTAAGCCCATCTCTTCTTTTCTCCTCCCCCAAATCCTCAAACAGCTGAGGGGATCCATAATTTGCAGATTATGGATACCTGGGTATGGTGAGATGGCTTACCTTGTATATCACCTCATAAAGGAGACTCAGGCAGCTAAGACTCACTCAATACTTTGGAGATCAGAGGCTAAAGGGATCTTTAACCAATCAAAGCAAGCCTTGCTTAAGGCACCAGACCTTAGTCTTCCCTTAGAAAAGACATTCAAGCTTTATGTATCAGAAAGGAAGGGAACGACCCTGGGAGTTCTAACGCAGGCCCAAGATCCAGCCAAGTAGTCCATAGGCTACCTAAGCAAGGAGCTTGATTTGGTAGCTAAAGCATGGCTGTCCTGTCTCTGAGTAGTTGCCGCAGTAGCCTTGCTGGTGCCGGAGGCTACTAAGTTAACCACAGGGAATAACTTAACAGTTTATATTCCCCATAATGTGGCAGGACTGATGTTCTCTAAAGGGAATCTCTGACTAACAGACAACCACCTCTTCAAATTTGAGGCTCTGCTGTTAGAGGGATGTACAGTCTAGTTAAGAACCTGTCTCTGTGTAAACCCAGCCACCTACCTCCCAGAGGAAGCTGGAGAGCCTGAGCATGACAGTGAAAAGATAGTGGTATAAACCTATGTGGCCAGGAAGAAGCTCAAAGAAATTGCCTTAGAAAACCTAGAATGTGTGTCTGGAATTGGTTCCTTCCAGTGGATTCTTGGTCTCTCTGACTTCAAGAATGAAGCCACGGAACCTCGCAGTGTTACAGTTCTTAAATTTGGTGTGTCCAGAGTTTGTTCCTTCAGATGTTCAGATGTGTCCGGAGTTTCTTCCTTCCAGTGGGTTTGTGGTCTTGCCTACTTCAGGAGTGAAGCTGCAGACCTTCGCAGTGAGTGTTACAGCTCATAAAGGTAATGCAGACCCAAAGAGTGAGCAGCAGCAGGACTTATTGCAAAGAGTGAAAGAACAAAGCTTCCACAGCGCGGAAGGGGACCCAAGCGGGTTGCCGCTGCTGGCTCAGGTGGCCAGCTTTTATCCCCTTATTTGACCCCACCCACATCCTGCTGATACGTCCATTTTACAGAATGCTGGTTGGTCCATTTTTACAGAGTGCTGATTGGTGCACTTACAAACCTTTAGCTAGACACAGAGCGCTGATTTTTGTGTTTTTACACAGTGCTGATTGGTGTGTTTACAAACCTTTAGCTAGACACAGAGCGCTGATTGGTGCATTTACAATCCTTTAGCTAGACAGAAAAGTTCTCCAGGTCCCCATCCAATTAGCTAGACACAGAGCACTGATTGGTGTGTTTTTACAGAATGCTGATTGGTGTGTTTACAAACCTTTAGCTAGACACAGAGCGCTGATTGGTGCATTTACAATCCTTTAGCTAGACAGAAAAGTTCTCCAGGTCCCCATATGACCCAGAAGCCCAACCAGCTTCACCTCTCAAATGGATTCTATTTATGGACAAAAGTTATTTTGTAGAAAAAAGAATCCATAAAACAGGATATGCAGTAGTCACCATGAGTGACATTATTGAGGGTGTGATTCTCTCCCCAGGCACAAGTGCTCAACTAGCTGAGCTGATCACTCTCACAAGGGTGTTTGAATTAAGTAAAGGGAAATCACTTAATATTTATACTGATTCTACATATGCTGTCCTATTCCTCTGTACCCATGTCAATATCTGGAAAGAAAGATATTTCCTCACAGCTAATGGGTCTCCCATTAAATACCATCAGGAAATTGACAAAGTATTGTCTTCAGTTTCCTTCTATGTGAAGTAACACTTTACATTGTAAAGGTCACCAAAAGGGGATAGATGAAATAGCCAAGGGAAATAGATTGGAAGACCAAATATCTAAGTCAGCAGCAAAAAGGGTCCAGAGTTTCAATACACTTGAGGTCCCTTGAATCTGGAAGGATGCCATAAGAGAAATAAAACCTCAGTATTCTTCTGCAGAGAGAGAATGGGCCACTTTTTAAGGATATGCTTTTTAGCCCTTGGAATCGCTACAATTGGAGGACAGCAAACTTCATTTGCCAGACACCAGACAATGGACAGCTCTTAAAAATCTTTCACCAATCCTTTTACCTAGGAAAAGATAGAACTTTTCAATCGGCTCAAAGACTGTTAGCAAAAAAATGAAGGGTATATGCTATAGTAAACACTTCTTGTTGCTTCTATGTTAACTCTTCAGGAAAGGTTGAATTTAGGGCTAACCATCTACTTCATAGAGCTACATGGTTAAGAGATGCTAAGAGCTCTATGGACGGAAAAATATGGAATACCATTCAAGGATATCTTCTCTCAATGGCATGCTTTCTCCCCTTGTTAGGAACCCTGGTAATGGTTATCTTGGTCCTGCTTTTTGGACCCTGCGTATTAAACCTCCTTGTAAAATGTGTTTCTTCTCACCTTGAGGCCATCAAAATTCAAATGGTGACGCAGATGGAATCCCATGGGAAACAGTCCTTTTTCCAAGGCCCACTAGACCTCCCTCTGGAGGACCCCTGACTGCCACACAAATGACAATCCCTCACAGTTTAAAGAAGCCAGAGTGGTCATCTCCCCTTTTTCCCTAACAGCAGTTAGAGTTACTGCTTCAGAGGGTGCGTCTGCACTGCACCTGTAGCTAATGGGAAGAAATGTTAAGAACTTTCCCTTATGCCAGCATTTTGCTCAGAAAGGACTGTTAAGGAATTATCTTGATCACAAATTATGAATTTGTGATAACAGGACACTAGCATTGTGGTTTTAGACCCTCCCATGGGTTTCACTTAGGCACTCATGGGTAATAACCAGATAGAGTCACTCTGGCCAATCCCAGGCATGTGCAGAGGCAACACCCTTAAAAGGGAACATTACCACCCCCCCACCATTTTGAGCATAACCCACAGAAGAATCCCTTGTTCTTGCCACATAAATCACCCAGAATTTAGCCCCATCTCTGGCAACCCTATTTCAGGTCCCCTTTCTTTGCTGAAAGCTATCATTTCGCTTAACAAATCCTACTCTAATCACTCTCCAGTGTCCATGTCCCTTATTCTTCTTGGCCATAGAACAAGAACTCAGACCTAGCTAGCTGAACCAGGGACTAAGCTGACTACAATATAATTTTCTTATAAATATTGTTTATGTTGATATATTGCTTCCCAGACTGTTACCTGCTAAAAATTATGAGTTTTTATTGTTACATAAAATTTTACAAATTGCTGGAAAAATATTTTAACATGTTCTTTATGATTTTCATTTTTAATATTATTAAAATGTTGCTAGATATTATTCCATTTTATTTATATTTTATTCTAGTACTTACAAATTTTTGTTTTCTGGAGTTTTTTCTAGGTTTATTTTATATGTTCTGGTCTTTAGTTCATCTGAAATTTTTATTTTACATATCAAAAAAAAGAGTTCTATCTAATTTGTGAATATTATTTTCCTACTAATTTTGGATGACACCACTATTATTTATCAAATTTAAATATATAAATAGAATTGTTTCATAATTCACTTTCCAGTTTCTATAATATGGTAATCTATTTCAGCATGAATAGATAACTTTTTAAATTGACTGTACACTACTGAAATATTTTATTATTTAATTATCATATTGTGAAGTGTAAATATTTTGAAATGTTAACCATTCTTGAATATTTAAACAAATCACCTTAGGTAATATATAAATTCAGTGTATAATTCGATTTCATTTTATATTATTCTGAATTTTTGTATTTATCTATATGTGTTAAATTACCACATAATTTACTTTTATTGAATTTTATTTGGCATGTTATCATGGTAATTCTTATTTTTTAGGATTATTTGGTAATTTCTGACCTTCAATTAAATGAAGTAATTTATACAAAATTAAAATTATCTTCTAGGAAACATTTTATGTATACAGAAGTGTAATTAACTATCTCTTATAGCACATCAGAAACATATAGTATACTTTCAATATTGAAGGAATAAGAATGAAATAAAGGTTGTTGGGGCTCTGAACCATTTTTTCAGTTCACATAACATGGCTGTACCGTGGGCACAATTAATATTATACAAAATGTTTTGAAAAATATCTACTCATGTTAAAACATATTTTATTAATTTGTGATGCCATGAGCAAATATGAGAAAACCAATGCATATAATGATAAAATCATAGGGCATATTTTAAATAAAGGTAATTTATGGAAAAATGTGATAAGCATTTGTATAAGTGTTTAATTATGCAAAAAATAATTAGCAACTTATGAATTTATAAAAATTATAAAATTATTGTGACTAATAGCTGTCTTAGGAAAAAGCACGGATTGTTTCTGGTTCTGATTTATTATATTTACACTTTGTTTTATTTCTCATCACCAAACCTTGGTAGAGGTTTTTCATCATGGTATTCTGATACACAACTAACAATATAAAGCAATGCAAAAAGGAATGAGAGGATCAGAACACATCAAAATGAGTGCCCCTTCTCATATAATTTAGTACTATATGAAGAATTACGGTTGATTCTATGTCACTTCAGGTACAAAATATTCTAATTCTGTAATAAATTAAAGTTTTTATTAATTACTATACCTGAAAATAAATTTCACTAACGTCATTCATAGAAATGTTAATTACAATTTTATTTGTCTCACTAATTTCATTAAAATTATTTCTCCAGATTTTGCTTACAAATTCATTAAAATGGAGACATTTAAATGAATTAATTAACAGATACATTTATCTTAAAGAAAACTAACAGATGTGGCAGATAAAACACCATAGTTATAGTCCACGCACCGAAAAGCAAAAATGAACAATATATTTAAGTTAGTCATACAAATTAATGTAAGCTTATACATTCTGGGACTGAAATAAATATTTCCTGTAAAAACTTACATTTCAGTTACAACCTGCGGTTTAAATACTATAATTATTTGAAGAACTAATTATTAATAGCAAAACTTAAATTATTTTAATAATTTTTCATATAGTGTTGAAAAGTTTGGAGGAAAGTGTTTAGATGTACAGAATAGTTTAGTGACTATTTTATAAAAAGAAATAGAAATGTAATACCAGCTCAGTTTTATTAACGACTATATTTATTGAAATTGAGAGTAGGAAAGTAGCATAGTTGTCAAAGCTTGGACACTTGATTTAAAATATGAGAAAAATAAAACCCATAAGGGTTAGTTAGCCTCAAACACAAGCCAAGCCTATAATTCAGAATTTCCTTATTTCTTAGCCAAGTTCTCATTCTCTGAGTAGCTTCTAGAAGCAGAAAATGACAATAATCTAAAAGAGTAGGCTGTCTGTGTCATCCTCATGTTTACATAATTTATTAAAACTAAATTTAACAATAATAGAATATTTCTAAGTAGAAATGGAATTTTAATAATTAAATTAAGAATCAATATAATTGGTATGAGATTATTCAATTAGATTACTATTTGTTAAGGTTGCTATTGAAAGAAGCATCAATATTGGGAATTTGATAACATGGTTTTAATGACTTCTTTCATTTTTAATATTGAATGATCCTATGAAAACACAAGGTGGATATCATAATATCTTATCTCTGATTTTCCTTCTAAGATCACTTTTGTAAGTTGTAAGGTTTTTTCCTTAATTTTTCTAGTTTCAAGTCTACTTATTGAGTAGATTTTCAAATTTGGTACAATTCATTTACTAAAATGTTCAGAAGGACTTTTTGTAATGATATACATTTTTATGTTGAGGTAAAGATTATGTGCTTATCTGATAAAACACCAGCATCTTGCAGCATCTTAAAATGAGTAAACCTACTTTTGCCTATTAATATGCATTTATTTCTGCAGTTGATAGAGTGATATTTTCCACTGAAACAAAAATATGAATGTTCATAAATTGAACATTAGTAGAAGATAAATTTTTCCACTGCTTTTGGAAAATATACTGACAATAAACAGTAGGTGGTAAATCCATCTCAATTTTAATTATAAATAACACACAAGCGTTCTTTTCACCTATTGTTTGAATAATGAGAAGTTAAATAAGTTACAGTGAAAACAAAACAATTATAAAATTGAATACCACAGAATTTTTGTGGTTTATTTTTTTCTTTTTAAATTTTGTGGTGTAACCCTATGGAAACTCAGTAATGATATTTTCAAATATTATTCTCAAATTCATTGATAAAAATAACATATTTATTCAAGTTGTTTATTTAAAACTTATTTTTTCAGCTTTGTAGCTTTGTTCTCTTTGCTTAGGATTGTCTTGGCTATGCAGGCTCTTTTTTGGTTTCATATGAAATTTAAAGTAGTTTTTTCTAATTCTGTGAAGAAAGTCAATGGTAGCTTGATGGGGATAGCATTGAAACTATAAATTACTTTTGGTAGTATGGCCATTTTCATGATATTGATTCTTCCCATCCATGAGCATGGAATGTTTTTCTATTTGTTTGTGTCCTTTCTTATTTCCTTGAGCAGTGGTTTGTAGTTCTCATTGAAGAGGTCCTTCACATCCCTTGTAAATTGTATTCCTAGGTATTTTATTCTCTTTTTAGCAATTATGAATCAGAGTTCACTAATGATTTTGTATGCTACCTGTCTTCAAACTATACTACAAAGCTACAGTAACCAAAACAGCATGGTACTGGTACCAAAACAGATATATAGAACAATGGAACAGAACAGAGGCCTCAGAAATAACACATACATCTACAACCATCTGATCTTTGACAAGCCTGACAAAAACAAGCAATGGGGAAAGTATTCCCTATTTAATAAATGGTGTTGGGAAAAATGGCTAGTCATATGCAGAAAACAGAACTTGGACCCCTTCCTTACACCTTATACAAAAATTAATTCAAGATGGATTAAATACTTAAACACAAGACCTAAAGCCATAAAAACCCTAGAAGAAAACCTGGGCAATGCCATTCAGGACACAGGCATAGGCAAAGATTTCATGACTAAATACCCAAAGCAATGGCAACAGAAGCCAAAATTGACAAATGGGATCTAATTAAACTAAAGAGCTTCTGCACAGCAAAAGAAATTATCATCAGAGTGAACAGGCAACCTACAGAATGGGAGAAAATTTTTGCAACCTACCAATCTGACAAAGGGCTAATATTCAGAATCTACAAAGAACTTAAACAAATTTGCAAGAAAAAAACAAGCAACCCCATCAAAAAATGGGCAAAGGATATGAACAGACACTTCTCAAAAGAAGACATTTACGCAGACAAGAAACATATGAGAAAAAGCTCATCATCACTGGTCATTAGAGAAATGCAAATAAAATCATAAGGAGATAACATCTCATGCCAGTCAGTATGGTAATCATTAGAAAGTCAGGAAACAACAGAATGGTAATCATTAGAAAGTCAGGAAACAGCAACAGGAGAGGATGTGGAGAAATAAAAAAGCTTTTACACTGTTGGTGGGAATGTAAATTAGTTCAGCCATTGTGGAAGACAGTGTGGCGATTCCTCAAGGATCTAGAACCAGAAATACCATTTGACCCAGCAATCCCATTACTGAATATATACCCAAAGGATTATAAATCATTATACTATAAAGACACATGCACACATATGTTTATTGTGACACTGTTAACAATAGATTAATAAAATAAAAAAGACTTGGAACTAGCCCAAATGCCCATCAATGATAGACTGGATAAAGAAAATGTGGCACATATACACCATGGAATACTATGCAGCCATCAAAAAGGATGAGTTCATGTTCTTTGCAGGGACATGGTTGAAGCTGGAAACCATCATTCTCAGCAAACTAATACAAGAACAGAAATTCAAACACTGCATGTTCCCACTCATAATTGGGAGTTGAACAATGAGAACATACAGACACAGGGAAGGGAACATCACACACCAGGGCCTGTCAGGTGGTGCGGGGGTAGGGAAGGGATAGCATTAGGAGAAGTAACTAATGTAGATGATGGGTTGATGGGTACGGCAAACCACCAGAGCATGTGTATACCTATGTAACAAACCTGCACGTTCTACACAAGTATCCCAGAACTTAAAGTATAATAAAAAAAATTAAAAACAAAAACAAAAAAAAAAGTATTTTTAGGGTAGCAGATCCAATTTAATCATATAAATTTAAGTTCAAATAATCAATTAATTTATGTACCTTACTCCACATAATACTATTTAATTTGAATGAAACAAATTTTAGAAAGATAGAGATGGAATTGTTTTGAAAAGGAAAACCGGCCACATTTTAGGCTAATACGAAAATAAAAGCCAAAGATAATCTCTAAACTCAAACATAAAACATAAATATGTAATCACATGATGTTTGTCTTAGTGTCTTAGGGTAAACTGTAGTTTAATCTTATACAATATTTGATTCCATATTAAATAAATATATCATTAAAAATCACTTATAATAATTATTTATTTAATTTGTTGCAGGAGACGAAAGACAAATACTTGGTTGGTTGTTCTACAGTGAGCAGGTATATGCAAACCTACCTCAAAAGTGGGGAGGGAAATAAGAGGCCAAAGAAAGAGACTGACAAATTGTTTCTCAAAACGAAACATTTACTGGGGAATTACAAACAGAAGCAATGACTTGGGCAGCTATGAGAACGTGAATCCCCACACCAGCCCTCCAGAAAGTATTCTTTATATAGCAAGCTTTTAGAGTAAAATGTGCAGCAGAATGTCTTAAGATTTTCTTGTCAAGATATGTAATCACTGGGAAGGTTTGATAAGGATCTTTATGAGGGGTTATCCATGTTGTTGGCATTATTTAAGGATCTTATTTTAGAACACCTTGGTATGTATGGAGCAAACTAGTCCTCATTGCAGTTTTGCTTGAAAATGGCTTCACTCTTGCCACACAACTGGCGGTTTTGCTTCATTGGTAAACTTGTTAAGTTTACAACTAAATAGCATGTTTTCATTAAATATCTCAGAAACAAAATGTATAGATTCTTTTCTTTAGGTACATTAAATATTATAACAAATTGAGGCAAACTGGCGAAGAATACTCGCTTTGGATTCAGAAGTCCTGAGTTTGCCTTTGGCCTTACCCTAAATTTGGCTACAATTAAAGTATGTAATGAGAAATAATCTTCTTCAAACAAGCAGATAAAACTTCATGTAGGCCATTGAAACACAGTGATTTTGGAATCTCTACTGAGATGCTTCAAGGAAAATGTAAAATAATCAGTATTGTGTTTTGGGAGTATTATTCTAATTGTAGTGAAGCATTGGATTGAAAAAAACTTAAAAAGGAATGGGGTGTTTTTGAAAAAAAAATTCAATATTCAAATTAGAAATGACAGCTATCTAAACTAATACAGACTGATGATGGCAAAGAAAAGAACAAATAAGAATAACATTAGATATTGTGAATATGGACAATAGCAAACATTTGCATATAATTTTACTGATGTGGGTATCAAGGCACTGGGATTTTAACTTTTCCAAAGTTATTCAGGTAATGAAAGAATGTGATTTGAAACTGGATGTTTTACCTCCAGAATCCATGTACTTAATAGACATCGCTTCATAACAATATCAACTGCACAGGGTAAGTAAAGAACAGAGAGGTGAAAGATAATTTCCACATTTCAGGTTTAGGTAACTGAGTGTGTGGTCGTAGCATTCACTGTAATAAAAATTATACATTGAAGAACAAAACGATTTGTCAATAAGGAAACAAATAATTACAGAACTGTTACTGCATGCCAGTCATGTTCTAAGAACACAGTTTCGTGTGTGTGTGTGTGTGTGTGTGTGTGTGTGTGTTTTACTTCAGGACTCAGATGAAAAAGTAGTTTCCAACAAGGACTGTGAAGTCTCAAATCAGTAAAAATAAATAATTGAATAAATAAATGAATAAATACATGTAGCAGAGTCATACAATGGTTCTTACATAATCTGTCAGATTTGGTATATACCATTTCATTTGCCAGAGAAAGTAACATGGGCTAGATTAATATGAATGAGTGGAAAGAAGTATCCTCCCACAGGAAGAGGCACCAGGGTGAAGTCCTGTAAGTGCAGCTAGATAATTTTTTAAGAGTTTGTTAGAACAAAAGCACAATATCCCAAATAGAGGTAAAAAAATTTCACCATCAGGACAGGAAATTTGAAGTGAAAAGGTACTTGACAGGAATGACCTGAGTATGTACACGTGTCATGGTGTAAAGAAAAAAAATAAATTTAGTTGATGCATATTGAGTTTGAGACTATAAGTCTCCTTTGTTGATTTACATTCAGCATTTGTTTCTAATTTTTAGAAATGACATTGAAGAGTAGAGAAGTAGTTTTTGAAAAAAAAAAGTTCAGAGAGGAGTGAGCAATAAAAAGGGAAATTAAATTATTATCTAGAACATAAAACACAGTGATTTCAAGGATGGTAAGAGATAACTGGTGATTAATCTTCAATCATGAAGTAGTAAAACAAAGATTTTCTCCTAATGTGCATCACATATGTTTGCAATCTTTAGTATGACTAGAACAAAACTTAAGCTTTGCGTGCTATTTAGAAAAATCACAAAGAATACTAATTATTGGAATGATTTTCATGTCTGATAGTTTCAGTTATCTGACACTGGTATTCTAGTACTTAAAATAATCCCCTTTTCCACTATGTGCCTAAAAAATTGCCTTTTATTGATGTACACTGGAGTAAATAATGGTATAGTCAAAATTAACCATGTGTCTTTCCAAAAAAAAGAATAAATCTGCTCTCAGTGAGGATCTATGGTTTCTCTGAAGAATAAAGGATGTTCAAATTAGTATATGGAAAGTAAAGACAGGAACCTTAAAAAAGGTATTTAAAATTTCATTAGAATTAGCAGCAGAAGAATGTATTGGAGGAGGAGCAAACAGAAATGAAGAAAAAATAATTTGTGCAGCTAATGTGTTAAGGGAGAGGCTAGGTAAGGATGACAGCTAGTAAGAGCTATCTTGGAAAGGTTTCTAGTATTTTTAATTAAAAAATTTCAAACATTTTACAGACTTAAGTTTGAAAAACATGGAAATACCAACATCCCCCCCAAAAAGTAGTGGAGATGTAATGAAGCAGTTCTCTAAAAATGAATTAAGCAATGAGATGTCGAGAACAAATGAATAAATCAGAGAAAACCATGTGTATGTATTCATTTAAATGGAAAAGGTAAACTTGAGTCTAGATAAGATACAAAAAGAAAAGAACAGACATGAAATTCTATAATGATGCTTTCTATTTTCTCATTGAAGTATTATGTATATTCATGTGACAAGAGTAAATGGAATTAATGCATAAGTTACATTTGGAGAGTGAAAACATTTTAGAATAGCCAGTGTGGGAAATATTAATGAGTAATATTATCTAATAGAGATTGGGTGTTATAAACAACATCCAGGATTTCATTTAATCTACATTTTAATATTATTTTATTACGAATTCTCAGGTGAAGACTGAGGTCCCCAGATAATACCACTGATAACTAAAAGAGATAAACTTCTATTGCATGCACTTCTGACTCCAAATCTTATTCTCTTATTTATAACCTATAATATGATATCAAACGGTCCTGTTCTATGCTATTAGTCATGTATAGAAAAGGTCAGAGAGTTAATTTGAATTGAAGAGAATAAATTTTTGTTGGCACTGGTTTGTGCACTTCAGGTTAATTCTCAGAACTGCTCAATATTCTTCTTGAAATAGAAGAGAGTAAAATATCCCATGGTTGGTGTGCAATAGGTCAGTTCTGTAATAGAATAAGTTGGGGAGATAGCTGAGAGTACTAAAAGGAGATCAATTATAATTATGAATCATTAGGACAATATTAAGTGGCTGGAAGTAAAAGAATTGATTGATAACTTGACAAAAATAAAGAATACAATTTTGTTTAAATGAACTTAAAGCACAAGTGTAATAGCAATTGAGTAAAAAGGAGAAAAAGATTAGATGTTGAAATTAAGCTTGGTCTAAACTGCTCATGATTATGAGAGTTACTGAGAATCACTTGAAATCATTTGTGGAATGATGTAGGAAATAGAAATACATGTTACTAATTGTTTATATTTTTAGAACTTTTATAGATAATGGCATTTTTGAAACATTTAGATGATATTAATATTTTTTAAAGGTGAAAAAGAGAATTAAGTTTTGCATGTATCTGTGAAATGTAGGCTATTTTTATCCAAACTATTAGTGTAGATTTTCCTATACCTACAGTTTTTCTGGTCATATCTGTGATTCACATTTTTAATAGTATCATACTGGCATCTAATTTGCAGAGATTAACTGAAGATAATATTTAAAGACTATGAAAAATAAAAAAAAACAGTAAAATTTTACATACCAAAAACATAAAATAGATTGACTGTCCCTGAATAAAACTGTTATTTCTCTGCCATAATTGGATTTTCTTCAGTTTTCTGCTTTGTGAATTTCTACTCAACTTTTAAAAACAGAGTCAAATTTCTTCCTCTATAAAGAAATCCAGGAAGATTTCCAAACACTTTATTTACTGTATCCCAAAGATGGGTTTAACCCTTGCTGCCCACTGCCTCATAGAAATCTCTGCCATTTCAATTGTCATATTGAATTGTTATCCATTTGTTCGTAGGGTGTTTTATTTCACTATATGTATTTAACCAACATTTGGTAAATTCTTTGGCATCAGTGATGGTATTTTATTTTGTTTTGTGTCCTCTGCACATCTTAAGCATTTGGTAAGCATGATGTAACTCAGGAGATTAAATAAAGAGAACAGAAACAGACAAGGCAATGCATGTACCAGGAGGAGTGTGAAGATGGCAAAACTACCTGTCAGGCACCGTGCTCACTACGTGGGTGACAAAACCATTTGTACACCATACCCCAGCAACATACAATTTACCCTTGTAACACGTATGCCCATGTGCCCCCAAACCTGAAAGAAAAGTTGAAAGAAAAAAAATAAAATGAGATTTAAATATATATATATATCGAAATTTCAGTCCTATATGAGAATGTAAAAATGTTTTGCCTAATGTTCTTTGTTCTTTCAAATGATTTAAAAACAATAATTAAATGTAGAAAAGAGTAACAGTTACTTAGTGGAGCCACAAAAGATGAATCAGGCCCCATCACCTAGTGAATACATCAGGTCAAGGAAGGGAAGAAGAGGAAGCTTCCAATTATTTTAGCACAATTTTATTGACTTGAATTTGCCATAAAACATGAATTTTTAGAAAAGAATAGATTTTAGTTTTCTTGATAAAAGCTTAATGGATACATTTAGTTGAATCATGTAATCTTTTATATTATATAATCACATAATCTCCCTTTAGAAGAAGATGATATGTTTTCTTTTTACAAAAAAAAAATGCCAGAAACATGTAAGAAACTTTAAGAAATGTTATGATTTGATAGACCCTCAGGGTGACATCTTGCAAAGTTTAAAAGACATGAGTTAATTATTTTATAATTGCCAAAATTTTAAAAAATGTTTTAATGAGCAATAAAGGAATCTGGACAAATAAAAAAGAAAGAACAATTTTTATGTACAATTATAAGGGATGCTCACTAAAAGCCTAATGGATCTTTATTCCAAATCCAGGGGCTAGGTTGTTTACCAAAGCTGGGATATAAATAAAACACAGGAAATAAAGGCAGAAAGCCTTTCTCATGCCTGCCGAATATGCCTCATAGCTTCCACCTGGGGCTTTTCTGTTGACACTTTGGTATGAGACAATGGGTCCATAATCAGGGGCCACACATACACATTCTGGAAGGGTAGGGGTAATTTAAAATCTCATGGAATTAACCCTTGAAGAGTAGGAAAATAGAATCCATAGATTAATACATATATTAACCTATAAACAATAGGAAACATGAACCTATACTCTGGCTTTCCCTTTTCTCCCCAGACTGTCTTTCCTGCGACATAGTTAACTGGCTTCTCTCAAGACATACCTGCAGGATCCAGCACTCACATTTAGTTGGGGCTACTTTAAAAATATATCTTCAAATAGTCTCAACTTTATTCCTTCCCTGAATTGCTTTGTCCCTTACTCGCATTTTATGAGAGCATATTACCTAAAAAATAGTAGGACATAGAAGTACCTGAGACAGGAAAGTTGAATGTTGGACAACGTTGGAGAAAGTTAAAGATAAAATCTACCATTTTCTATATAGTAACCTCTTCTGTCATGGAAAGAGTCATCTATAGGAAGTACATATTTTCTCTGTTGCTCCAATTCATTAGAGTGTTACCTCAAACCCCACTCCATGTATAGAAAAACGCACTAGGAGACAAGGGCCAGTGATTGATGGGTAAGTGTATTAAGTTAAAGAGTTAAGAATTTAAACCACACTTGCTGGTATTGATATTTATTATTAATATATTCAGCACCTCGACCCCCGCCCCCTGCCCCGTTCTGGCCGCGCATGGTTGATGTACAAAAGCATAAATTGTCAGCCTCAAAAACGGAGTAAAAATGTCACCCTCCTCCTCTGGAAATGTCTGTGCAGTCTGAGACCAGCCAGTGAGAAAATACTATCAAATCAGAAAACAGCTTCGGACAAAAGGAAAACAATGAACGCTCTAAAATCGTGGGGTTTTTTGTTTGTTTGTTTTGTTTTTTAAAGATCACCCTGGATGGGAGGGGTGTCTAAAAAAAAAAAAAAAAGTGCAAGCGGACCTTTCCTCTCTGGTTTATTGTAACCTGACCACTCAATACTGTTATTGAGGGACTGAGGCGCCACAGGGTTGCGGGGTCTCAGTCTCCACGCCTGGTACAGCAGTTAAATCTCATCTGTAAACACAGGCCTCCGCCCCCCTCCTTCTGTTAACTATTAATCCCCTTTCTACCGCGGTTTCTGTTGTCGTTTTTTTTTAATTTTTTTTATTTTTTTTACTCTTGTGTATATGTAGGGAATTTATAGGGAAATATGTACTTTATGAAACAAATTTTAAGAACTAAAATATATTTTATTTTAAATAAAGTAATGGACCTTTAATCTTACACAACTAAATTACTGATTATATATTTGCTGAGCTGATTCAAGGGTTAAAAAATTGGATCAAACGTTTTACTTTTTCACTTCAAAGCCTTCTTAATAAAGCCTCTTTTCTGCATGTAAAAAAATATATTCAGCAAATAGGATGATATTTTGTACTTGCTGGTTACTCTTTATCATCTACTTAGAATGGATCAGAAGCTAAAACTTAAAGAGAATTATTTTTATTCTTTCTGAAATTCTAACATGCCCATGGAGCACCCTTTGCATCAGTGTGCCCTGGATGTGAGACATGAAGTCAAAGGAGACTATTTTGGAGCTTTAAGATTTAATGACTGCCCTGCTGAATTTCAGACTTGCGTAGGGCCAGTAGCTCCTTCGTTTTAGCCAACTTCTCCCATTTGGAGCACCCAATGCCTGTACCCGCATTGTATCTTGGAAGTAACTAACTTGCTTTTGATTTTACAGGCTCATGGGCAGAAGGGACTTGCTTCGTCTCAGATGAGACTTTGGACTTTTGGGTTAATGCTAAAATGAGTTAAGACTTTGAAGACTATTGGGAAGGAATGATTGCATTTTGAAATGTGAAGACATGAGATTTGGGAGGGGCCAGGGGAGGAATGATATGGTTTGGTTCTGTGTCCCCACCCAAATCTCCTCTTGAATTTTAATCCTCATGTGTCAAGGGAGGGACCTAGTGGAAGCTTACTGGATCACGGAAGCAGTTTCTCCCATGTTGTTCTCATGATAGTGAGTGAGTTCTCATGAGATCTGGTGGTTTTATAAGGGACTCTTCTCCCTTTGCTCCTCTCTTTCATGCCACCATGTGAAGAAGTTACCCGCTTCTTCTTCACCTTCTGCCATGATTGTAAGTTTCCTGAGACCTCCCAGGCCATATGGAATTGTGAGTAAATTAAACCTCTTCTCTTTATAAATTACCCAGTCTCAGGTAGTGTTCTTTATAGCAGTGTCAAAACAGACTGATACACAACACTAATATGAATGAACACATCGCTTAATTCTTCGCATATTACTGTCTAATTGCTTATAAGTTTAAGTGCACAGAGTGAAAGAAAGAAACGTGTTTCCTTAAAACAAATTTCCCTATTTTTAAACTTGAAAGATTACAGTTACATAGTTAAACAAACAATTTTCTAGGCAATTGTTTTTAAGACACACTAATAAATAATAATAGAAGAGAATCTTATCTTAGAAGACTGTTATTTAGACTTTTTTTTTTTTTGCAAAAATCAAATCACATATCCTTTTGTGAGGCAATAGCCAGTCCCCAAGATGACTGCCAATGACCCCTTCTCCCCATTCTTCCTACAATTCACATCCTTTTGTCCTCTCCTTTTGTAGTTTCTTCAAATACTTTGAGGGGATACAGCCTCTGTCCGTATCAGTAGTGTAAAATGTCTTATCGAGTGCAAGAAAAGATAACAATATTTATGACAGTACTTTCTACCACACTACCACTTCGTTCCGCTGCTTCTTTTAATCTATAAGAGTCACATACACAAATTTTAATATTTTGTATGAATTGTGACAACAGAACATAAGTCTTTTATTATGTTTCCTTTTTACTATTTCCTAATTTTTAATCAAAATACATATGTATCTGGGTATTTCTTTAACTCATTCAGCAACCCACTGTATCTCTTTTTTATCATTGCTTTCGGGGAAGTCATGTTGTAAACAGCCCTATAGAAAGGCCAAAGTGGTGAGGAATTAAACCTTTTGTCAATTATTACGAGTAAGCTTGGGAGCAGATTCTTCAATCCTAGTATAAACCTCACAGATGATAACCCCAGCCAACAGCTTGATTTTAGCCTCCTAAGAGACTCTGAGCTAGAACCACTCAGCTCAGTCACTCCTGGATACCTGGCTCACACAAACTGAGATAGTAAATTTTTCAAGATAAATTGTGAGACAATTATTGTACAGCAATGCATAATTAATATATAAATTTAGTATTTAAATATGAAAAAAGAAAATATTATTTTCCATACAATACTAAAGGAAATTGTGTCATAGATTGTCATATATATTCATTGCTTTCAGGTTAGAGATAGGAAGTGTTCTTTGAGAAAGTCTTAATTTTGTTAAATCTTTGACATATACACTTTAAAATCAGGTGATCAACTTGGATAAAATATGTAGCAGTTATTATTATTGAAGTTATGTTTCATTGATAGTTTAATTTAGTAAAAAGGATATTCTTACACTGTCCAGTGTTTTGATCTATGGAAATAGTGCTTTTTTACTTTTTGCATGAGTTTTCAGCAATTCATGCAGAAAAACCTACCTCAAACTTCTCCATGCTTTTTAATTTTCTACATAAAGTGCTTGTACATTTTTATTGAATTTATTCTTAAATATATAATATTTTGTGCTATAATATATTTTTTATGTATTTATTATTTGTATTGATGAATGTCATTTGTTTTTACATGTATCTGGTAAATAGTAAATTAATTATATTATTAATTATAATAAAACCTTGATATCCTTTTGGGGGGATTCTACATAAAAAACACAAATCTTCAAAAATAATTAGAAAATTAGTAGATTATCTTTTCTTATTTTTGATATTGTCACAGGATCTTTTGGGTGTTGCTTCACCAGCTGGAAACCTCTGTGGCAGGTGGTACCTTCTGCCTGGGTATTGTTCCTGCCCACTGGGCATGTTCCACCCACTCAGCCTTGCAGGCTGTTCTCAGCATGCTATTGACCTGGATGTCACATCTGTCAAGAGTGAGCCAGGCACAGAGTGGTGAGGGGTGTGTATACAAGTGAGTATAGAGTCAGGCCGCTGCACAAAGCCAGGCACAACAGCTGCTGTGGTGGAGCAGTTAGCTCCAGGCACTGGCACAGGTGCTGGCTTCATGCGAGGTTACAGCTGGATCAGATGTACCACACACAGCTTCTGCTGTCTGCACCCATGTCTGGACAAGGGGAATGTGGTGGTGCCAAGAAACTTAGAGATGCCAGGAACTATACAGCCCCAAAGAGAGTTTCACAGGTCTGGGTTGGGGAGCTCCCAGGTCTTGGCTCCCTGAACGGCTGCAGGTCTTCTTCTCATTGCCCACAATATGGTCAGAAGGGAGGACTGTTTCAGCCCTTTTTGCATGACAGCTCTTTCAGTCCTGCCATTAGATGGGTCCCAAGTTCTTGTCCCATGTCCAGGAAGAATGGGCTATGCAGACAATTGGAGGGTGAGCAAGGTGGAGAGGAGCTTCATTGAGCGACAGAACAGCTCTCATAAGACCCAAACTGGGTAGAGCTCCTTTCTGCAGGCAGGTCGTCCTGATAGTGTCCAACTGTCAGTGGAAAGGGGACCTGCAGTAGGTAGCTCCTTTCTGCTATTGGTAGTTCTTACATCTGTTTGAGTCTGGCTCGGTCTGGGGTTTTTATGGGGTCAGAAAGGAGGAAGTGTGAGCTGATTGGTCCGGGGCAGCCATGGGTAGGCCTGGAAAAAGCAACGTAAGTTCTCACACTAGGCCATGGACTCCATCTGGAGCTGACAGCCCTGACCCCAAGCTTCAGGCCATCCCTCTTGAAAGTGGGGTTTCACCAGGGACCTTCCTCTTTCCACCCAGGAGCCTGTCTGCCTCCTGTCATCATCAACATGTTGTCCATGGAGCCCAGGTTGTTTGTGCTGAGGGGCACCTGCAGACCCATGCTGAGCCTCCCTCAACCTCCCCTTGGCTTCCCTCTTATGATCGTTGGTGCCCAAAGTTGGAAGGGGGCCAAGGCAACTGGGGTCTGGCATGTCAGCAATGCCCCAAGCACACACACACCTGGCCAGGTTGCAACAGCACTCAGGCTGGGCCACAACTTTGCTCCAAAATCAGAGTGGGTGCTAGGAACGAGGAGAGGCCAGGGACAGGAGCAGGCACTTCCAAACCTAGTGGGGAGAGGGCCTTCCTGGGCCTATGAGAGTGAAGAGATCCCTGGGGTCGGAGCAGTGGCTGGGTGACTGCAGCTGCACCCCTGATTGTGGGGCTCCCACCCTGCTAACTCAATAAAGGCCGGGGCTCCTGCCTGTCCCTGGTTCCCACCAGCCCCAGGAAGCACAAAACCCCAGCAACTCCAACCCCGCCGCAGCCAGTGTCTTCACAGCAGTGGCTCCAGATGGGCCATCACTGCCATCAATACTATATATTTTAGGTCTGGCATCTATCTATTATCTTTCTAATTTATCTATTTTTATCTTACTGCATTCACTAAAGACTCCAGGATTCTTCATGTAAGTTCATAGAAAGATGATGAGAGTGAGCATTATTTCCTGTCTCTTATTTTAAAATATTGATTTATATTTATTTTGTAGAAAACAACTATTCTTACTAGTTTCTTTGGAGGTTTTTTCTTTTATAAAAAATAACATATTTATTCTACTATTAAAGGAGATATACCTATTAATTCAACTTCATTTTTTTACTATTACAAATAATGCTGCAATAAATATTCTCTTGCATGTTTATATATCCAATTATAAATGTAATTTTGGAAAAGACAACTGGATAATTAATAAACTACAAAGAATGTGTTTGTTATTTTCATGTTTGAGAGGAGAGAACTACAAATGAGGAAAATTAAATACCTTGCCCAAAGTCATGTGTTAGAAAGTGGCAGATGCATGGCATAAAAAAAAACATATATTTGATGTAAAAATTCCAATTTAAATCAGTTTGTAGGTCCACATAAACCTGATGCTGCTTCTTTTATGAAATATTCTAAACTCTCTCCCCCATGCTTCAAAAGTGATTGTATACAATGACACATCAAATTTTCTGATACTATTTTAAAAGTTTTATAAGAGCTCAGCAATGTAGATAAATCACTAATATAGGAATTCATAGAAATAAATTACCAATGTCCAAATCTCATTAAGTAGAGAGAAAAATTTCTCCCATGAAAAGTGATTTTACATAAATAAAAAGAAATGTGGATTTTAATATTTTATTAGCCATAGACTTTGAATAAGTTATCATTTCAATAATCATGAAATTGCTTATTTGTAAAATGTGATAGTAATCTCTGTCTTATACAAGCTGTAATAGTAGTAGTAATAATAATAATGGCTTACATTTATATAGTGCACACTTTTTTCCTAGGCATATTTCTAAGCACAGTTTGTTCTGTTCTCACAGTATCACTATTTGAGCACAATTATTTTTCTTTTTTTGGTAAAGAATCTGGGGCATACAAAAGTAAAAAAATATGTTGAATGCCTCACAGATAGCAAATGGTAGAAGAAGGCTTTGAACTTAGGCAATCTGCTTCTGAATCTGTCCCTTTAGCCAATACAACATAAAACCTCATATTCTGGTTTATGTTGCAGATTCAAAGTTTTTGTAAGTATCTTTCAAAACAACCTGAACCTATAAATGTTCTGCATTTCTCAAATATTTTTGTTTCATTTAATATTTGTATATGTTCCTTTGCCAATTTTATCAAGATATAATTAGAACCCAATAAAGTTTTTTTTTAATAAATAGATATTAACAAAGCAGTTTTTAGTATTTCAGTATAGGTTTAAAATATTTTGATAAGAAAATTCTAATATAATCACCTTGCAAAAAATGCATACTAGGAAATGAGAAATATTCATGAGCTATGAAGCCATCAAGGTAATAAAAAAACATGTTTAGAAAAGCATGTTACCATTTTATTTATGTTTAAGCATGGAATTGAGCATGGCCACCTGCATACTACAAAAATGTTATAATACTATAAACTGAAAAGCATAATAAAGTATGCAAAAATCCCCACCGTCAGGATAAAATCTTGTAAATTTACTGCTGCAATCTTGAAAATGATTGTGTGTTATAGAATGTTTAAAAATATATACAAACTAGCAAATAATCATTATGTTGAGACTTTATGGCAGAGCTGAAACTACTCTACTTTCAAAGTTTTATTACAAATAACTTAGCACCTTTAGTAGCACCTGGCATGCTGAAAAAACTTCAGAGGTAGAGGCTCTGTTATATTTACAATGATTACGATGGTAACTATGCTGCTAACACTATACCATCATCATCATCCAACTCCCTCAAAACTTAAACAAACTATGCTGTGTTGTCTTGAATATCGAAGAACAGCATGGTGAATTAGGACCAAGTGGGTACATTTAAATGGCTGGAAAAGTCAGGGTCAAGACAATATAGCAGAATGGTGGAGTGCTAGACAGTTCTCAAAGCATAGTGCAGTTTTATTCAGAGACAGCTGATCCATTGCCTTGTGTTACTGACAAAGATTACAAAAATCTCTGCAGATGCCACAGATTGGGATCCCTTCAGCTCTCATTGTGTCCTATCTGCCCAAAACAGCCTTTGAAGGCATATATAATGAAGCCTTTTCATTATATATGAAAAACAAATCTGTATAAAATAAAATTTATGAAATATCTTTCTCATCTGATTAGATGAAGATACAGGGTCTAGAAGCTCATCAAAATCATTACTGAACTTTTGCTTCAGGGTTGTTTTTAAATAGAAACGATTTTATTTGGGATAATTCAATGTGTGGCTGTTCAACTATTTGCAAGTGAAACAAATTTTTTTAAAAAGATATTTGATAATATTTAACTATTCATGAATTGAACTGACATTAAAATAAGTCCACATTGTTTTTCAGGCAGATAAATTTTAACTTTCTTCCTATTGCAGTAGTATTTTCTGCTAAAAAAAAAGATGTATTTTCACAATATTTAACTTTTACTTCAATTTTACATGTTCAACTCCACAAAATTACATGGGGTGAAGGAAGCCCATATATAAATATATTATCACTGTAGGAAATTTTGTAAAATCCTACCAGCCAGCATGTTACCTAAGGAACAATAACGACAGGCCAGAACATAAAGTTTTTAAATATATTACATTGTGAAATATAATTATAATTTTAAGTAAGTTTAAAGACTTTTTTGTTTTCATTAGGTCTTAAACAAAAATCAATGTGACTAATTTTATTTTATTCTAATGAAGTAATTGGTCTGAATTTAGGCAAAGAGTAATTATTTATTTGTTCAAAATAATTTCATGTTTATTGACCTTATCCACCTAAAAATAATAGATTGTCAGCAGGTTTTATTCATTTATTAATTCATCCAACAAGCATTTATTGAGCACTTTTCTAAATTCTTTGTTCTAAAGAAGTAACTCTTGCTTTCATGGATCTTATTTTCTGGTAGATAACAATTAACAGGTGAAAGTGATCTGTATAAGTTCAGGTAGTGATGATTGCTTTAGAGAAAAATACTGCATACTTTAAGAGTAAAGTAGGAACACAGCTCTTGAAAGGGTGGGCAGGAAAGTCTGCAAGGATGATAGCTGATCACAATCCTAAATATACTGCAAAGTGAGGGAGAACATTTCAGAAATAATTAAAAAAAAAAAAACAGAAAGTGAAACGAGTGAATTAGAATTGAGCTTGTCCTATTCAAGGGAACTGAAAGAAATACCTTGTTTCAGAAGACAGAAAAAGTAAACTAGAGAGAACGATGAAAGATAAGATCATGGATAGGAGTAGGAAACCTAACATGTCTTTCAGGGTATATTGAGGGGGTTGGATTTTAATTTAAGACTATGAAAAACCAGTGAAGATTTTTATACATTTGGCATACAATATGATCTACATTGTATTTTTTATTAAGTTTTTCCAGGTATACTGAGGTGTAATTGACAAAAATTTATATATTTAATTGTAAAACATTTAAAAAATAAAGATTCAAGCTCAGGGTAGAATTGACTTTACAGAATTTTGATATAAATGAAGCAGGGAGATCAAGTAGGAAACTATTACAGTAGTCTAAGGCAAATATGACTAGAAGTGGTTGAATTTGGGATACATTAAAAAGGAAATATAGAGATTACTGATGTTGCAAATATGAAAATTGTTTCACTGAAACCAATCAATAATTACTCAAGAATTTTGGGCTAAACCACTAGGTAAATTATATTCCTATTCACCATTGATTAAGGTAGAGAGGAAGAACCATATTTCTATTTGATGTTTTAGAAATGTAAAATGAGATAAATTTTCCAGAACAATTCACGAATAACCCTCATTTATCTGTTAAAACCATCATTGTAAGGTCTTCGTATAATTCTTCCCAAAATGACCACCATTAATCTGAGGCATCTGGAAGTCAAGAGTCACACTTTTATTACCTATTTGCATTCGGTATAGTGCCTTATACAAAATAAAACATGCTGGTGCTCTAAAAATTACTGTTATTGTATTTTAAATCTCTGAATATACTAATTATGTTTACCTAAATATAATAATCCCCTATTAAATTTATCAAAAATGCTCAATTTTAACTAAAATTATAGCTAATGATTTACTATTTTATCTGTGAAGGTTTGCTATGGCAATAATATAGTTTTATTTGCCAACTTTACTTACTTACTACAAGCTAAAATTAATATTGAGTGAAGGGTAAAAATTGATAGTATGCATAATTCCATTGCCTTCTATTTCCAGGTTAAAATGTAATATTTCTTTTAGTAGAATTTCAGGTAGACTATATTTTTTCTTCTATAGAAAATCATTAGTGAAATAATTTAAAAGATAAGAATTGTATTGTCTATATATTACAGTGATTGTTGTAAGTATTGATATTTATGCGAGTTTATATTTTCTTTACTCTTACTACTAATGTATATTTGTTTCCAATTCAACATTATATTTTAATAGACACTGTTCCTGGTCCTTATAAATATTTTTATTTTTGATCAAATTATATGGCATACAAGATGGTAAAATTTTGAATAATTAGAATAATTTTCATTTGAATATTTTTGGGCATGATTATTATATTGTGTTAACTGTGAAATATTAAAGTACAATGACAACATAAAATTATGCTTTTTTTATTGATTCTTTCATACATTTATTTGAATGTAGCTATTATGTAAGAATTTTAATTTTTTAATGAACTCCAAATGCAATTGTTAAGGCATCCTTACTACAAGCAAGGAGTGGGAACACAGTCATAATATGAATGCAAAATTGTAGAGAGAAAAGTAATTGACATGATTTTTATTAATTTAAAAAGTTGAAAATATATTAAGTATTCCAAGTTAATTTTACATCTCAAGCACTTTATAAATCATTAAAAGCAGATGGTATACATGTGCAACATAAATTATGCATACAAATGATAGCAGATGCTAAGAATTAGTATGCTCACTATAATAATAAAAATGGAAAATTAATAAACACAAATAGTGTATTCAAATAATGGCTAATACACAAAATTTATTATTATGTCACTATGGAATAGGAAGATGTGTTTATTTAGTTCCAGAAGTTTTGATTCTTCTCCATCTGTCAACTTTATAGTCATTTCATCATCTTAATAATCTATTCATTTATTATAGTATATCCCAATCTCTCAATTCCTCTAATTCAAGATGATATAATCTCTGGGATAGATTCTCATAGTTTTTAATTGATTTCCTTGAATTGATTCATTCTTCAATTCTGTCTCCACATTTAAACATCAGTATTTTTTATAAATTAAAACTATCAAGTCATTCCTTTTCTACAACTTTTTTTTTTCAGACAGTGTCTCACACTGTAGCCCAGGCTGGAGGGCAGTGATACAATCAAGGCTCACTACAGCCTCGGTCTTTGGGTCTCAAGCAACTATCCCACCCTCAAGCAACTATCCCACCTTAGCCTCAAAATTAGCTGAAACCACAAGCGTGTAGCACTACACCCAGCTAATTTTTATTTTATTTTTTTAGGAAATGGCGTCTCACTATGTTGCCCAGGCTGGTCACCAACTCCTAGGTTCCAGCATTCTCCCACCTCAGCATCCCAAAGAGCTGAGATTACAGTGATGAGCCACTAAGCTTGGCATCTATAAACTTTTAATGTAAATCTTTCTGAAATTTTTTCACTTGCCATAGGATTCTTTCCAGGTTTCTGCATAGTTGAAAATGTCTGGAAACCATCATTTGCAGCAAACTATCGCAAGGACAAAAAACCAAACACCGCAGGTTCTCACTCATAGGTGGGAATTAAACAACGAGAACACATAGACACAGGAAGGGGAACATCACACACCGGGACCTGTTCTGGGGTGGGGGGAGGGGGAGGGATAGCATTTGGAGACATACCTAACATTAAATGACGAGTTACTGGGTGCAGCACACCAACATGGCACATGTATACATATGTAACTAACCTGCACGTTGTGCACATGTACCCTAAAATTTAAAGTATAATTAAAAAAAAAAAAAGAAAATGTCTCCAATGCCATATCTGGGCTTAACTACTAGCCACTTTCTCCAAATGACAATGTTTGTTTTTGTTTCTGTTTTCCCATAATCCTTGTTTTCTCTTGAATCAAGGACAATTCGCAGGCTTTCCCTTAGACATAGCCATTTCTCATTGCCACTACCCTCCTCAACTATAAGCATAGAGAAGATTATTTCATTTTTAATCATTTAGATTTTCTGGGAAATCTTCAATGTCTCCTTATTGCCTGTTGAAGGTAATATTTCTCTGCAGTCACATGCCAACCTCTATTCAGTTTAATCCAGCACCTACTACAAAATTACCTGGTCAATTCTGAGTTGGAGGAAAGTCTAAAAATTTCATTTCCTTTTTATGTTTAATTATCTATATTTTCTAATAAACTTTTTAATCCATGGAATAGGTATGTAACAAAATTTAAGAATAGTTTTAAAATAACACAAATGGAAGTCATAATGATGATTATGAAGTGTTCATAGTAATGACAGAAAAAATAGTAATAAAAAGTTAGGAAGCCATCATATTTGGAATCCAATAAACCTAAGTTTAAGCTTACATCTATTATTTAGTAGCCCTTTATTATATTTATTATGAGTTTTATATTATTCCTCTAAAATGGAAATAATAATGCCTAACTTTCTGAGTTAAGGGGCATTAAATTATATAATATATAATGCAGAAATGCAGCTAAGCCAATATATTCATTCATTTTAAAATATTTATTTATAGTCTACTAAGTTGGGCAGTATAGTAATTACATTGCAAAACTCTCAAGGGACTCAACAGCCAAGCGCAGAAAAAGTATCATTTTGTCTCTTCTCCTTTCTTCACTTTAACTTTGAGCTTAATCTTTAGGAGGAGAATTAGCTAATGTTTGGAGTCTTGACAATTTAATAAACTAAAACCACTTATTCTTTCTCTTTATGTTTAAGCTGATTCTCTCTCTCTCTCTCCCTCTCTCTGTCTTTGTAATCTTTTCATCACCTCTCACCTTTCTTCATTTCTTTCATCTTTTTTAACTTATTCTTATTTGTCTTCCCTACCATATGCGTCCAAAAATTTTAAGCATTGCTTCACGTTTGTATGCTCACATTTGTATACTATAAAACAACAAAAATATAGGCAAAATATATAGACCCATGCCTAATAGAAAGTACTAACTCATCTTTAGCTCTACTAATAATATAAAAATCATCCCCTCCAAATTTTTCATCGTTTTGTGTCAAAATGTTTGAGTGGAATAATAAAGAAGGACATTCACCATCATTTGCTCCTGTTCCATGTAGACATTGCTTTGTTTGTAAACTCACATGGGACAGTTGTATTTGGGAGAGTAGGAAAGTTGGAATTAAAACATTATTCTAATCAAATATCAATGATTATCGACTTGGTTTTAACCCCTTATGCCTCAAACTGAAATCAGTTACATTAGGAGGCTTTCCAAAGCTGTATAATCTTTGACTGCTGTGCTCTAATACTCCAGTTGTAATAGAAATTAATTCAATAATTATTATTGTTTGAAATGAATTCAATTCTTAATGTATGTCTACATGAAGTTGATATTTTACAATATGTTTTTAAGAAAATGATGTTTGTTACATATTTAATTATTTAGTTCTTCTGAGAAATCTTCAATGTCTCTTTATTGCCTGTTGGAGGTAATATTTATCAGAGAGCATTTTTCAACTAGTCGCTCTGCGCTCATGTTCCATGTGTCAAATATGTTATCTCAAACAAAAACTTATTCTGGGAAATAAATTTTGCCGTTAAGTTGTACATTTTTCTGAAGACAATAGCCAAGAAACAGTTACCATTAAATTCAACTTTTATTGTCCCAAATTCTATGTATTGGTGAAGAAATGCTTGAAACTTGTGGGGATGAAGCATGTAGGCATCTGGAGTGTTGTGAAGCAGAGAAAATCGAATAGTGTATTTACTTGACTTCAAATAAATAAACCTCACAATTATCTTTCTCAGAAAGAAAGCTAATTTTTACATTTGGGTGGAGAATCACAGCATGATGAAAAATACAGGTGAGGTGTCCAAGAAACACTTATTATTATTTAAATTGTATTGTTACTACAAATAACTTCCTAGCTCAACTCTTTCTTGGGAGTCAAGTAAATCAAGACACATGCACACATATGTTTATTGTGGCACTATTCACAATAGCAAAGACTTGGAACCAACCCAAATGTCCAACAATGATAGATTGGATTAAGAAAATGTGGCACATATACACCATGGAATACTATGCAGCCATAAAAAAGGATGAGTTCATGTCATTTGTAGGGACATGGATGAAATTGGAAATCATCATTCTCAGTAAACTATCGCAAGAACAAAAAACCAAACACCGCATATTCTCACTCATAGGTGGGAATTGAACAATGAGAACACATGGACACAGGAAGGGGAACATCACACTCTGGGGACTGTTGTGGGGTGGGGAGAGGGGGGAGGGATAGCTTTAGGAGATATACCTAATGCTAAATGACGAGTTAATGGGTGCAGCACACCAGCATGGCACATGTATACATATGTAACTAACCTGCACATTGTGCACATGTACCCTAAATCTTAAAGTATAATAATAATAAAATTTTTAAAAAAGTTGGAAATAAAAAAAAACAAAAAGTAAATCATTAGCAACATGTTATTAGCAATATTGCCATTATTTAACAATAAATCCACACTGCAGCTTTAGAAGGTCTCCACTGAAATTTGGCAGGCAACATATACTTGGATGCAGTGAGTCCAAGGAATGTGGAAGAATTAGTGCAGTCATGAGAATACTTAAGGTTCTCTGTGTGGCTTGCACACATGGACTAATTTCCAAATGCTGTGAACATACTCATGTGTGATAATAGCAATTGTGTCTCCTTACTATACACAGAGTAACTACAGGTAGGGTCAAATATTAATTTTATGCCTTGAAATATATAAAATGTATACCCATAGGTCCTTGATAATTCATTTTATACAATTATTTAGTGCACTACTCTTTCTTATAGCAATCATCTACAGGCTTTCTTTAAGACTTTAGGGAACCGTTACTCACTACGCTGCAATTGCTTTCATAAATCTTTTTGATACTAATTACCACACAAATGATTCTTATAATTTCTGCCCTTTTGTCTCCTTGCTTTTGTCTACCACAGCCACCCATTATGATGGTCATGTTCAGGACTATTACCAATATCTATTTCTTTCTAAGATTTTAATTTTAAGCATGATCTTTCAACCACCACCATGTCTCCAATAATTTTTTACACATATTTACCTACTATTATTTGATTGTACTACATTCTCACTATCTATTATATAACCCATGTTTTTAATCATATGACATTAAAATCCCTGAACATTAATATTAGGTGGTTCTCTCATGATACATGGGTAATCACTTTGTTTGTCCCTTGTCTATTTATTCTCTCACAGGCTTAGGTGGTTGTTGTATAAGTTTTCTGCTCCCCTGAAACCTAAAACTCCCCCTCCTTCTTTTTCACTCCCACTGAGAAAACTGAAGAATTCAGATAAGAACTTCCACTAGTTCTTACCTCCGTATCTACTAGCCTACCTCAATCTGTACACACATGCTTCATTATTGCCTTATATTATAATTGATAGACTATACTGTATCTAATCTAGCTCTATGCCTTCCACTTTGCAGGCTACATGTTATAAAACAAGGATCAGTAAACTATGGCTCATTGGCCAAGTCTAGTCCACAGCCTAGAGCTAGAAATGGTTTTTAAATTTGTTAAGAGATTTCTTTTTCCAGAAAGGAAGAATGTGCAACAATGACTATATGTGACCCAAAAAGCATAATACATTTACTATCTGGCCTTTTACAGATAATGATTGGTTACATCTGCAGAGAATATTGCCTATTCATGTATTTAAATGCAATCTATAATCTAAAGACTAAATATTTATATTTTAGAACTGAGTAAGTCCCTGTAATCCAGATTTCTTTCACTAATTGTCTTCTCAACATTACCTGGATTTAAAGAATGATCACTAGGTCTTCATTTAAAAATGTTTCAAAAAACACTTATTTTGTTCTCTCTCTGTTCCCTTAATTTGATCCAGAGAGGTTAGGTATTTATGGGCCCTGGAGGCATGAGCAGAAAGGAGATTCTGAAAGCAGCATAGCACTTGACGATACAGAAGTTTTATGAGCATCTCAAGAATTTCATTGACACACAAAGAAAGGCCACATATATGTGAAGAGCTATTCTAACCTAAGAGTAAGAGTTTGTCTAGACTCATTATAATAAAGTTTTTAAAAGTTTAGAAAAGACCAGAGATGAGATTGTAAATTAATTGCTTGCCAGAACCAAATTCACGACTTTCAGAAGAAAGCAAAATGTCTTGAAGTGTTTGGTGATTTTTATTAAATATTCATCATCTTAAATTTAGTGCTGAGTAATTTTTATTCTATACTAATAATTTTGAAGTTCACAACTTCAAATTTAGAAAGTTCAAAATTTAAATTTATAATTTTTCTTATATACTCATAATTTTAAAACTTACTATATGCTCATAATTTTAAAATTTAAAATTATGAGTATATAATAAAAATTACTGAACACATCAAGAATCATATAATTATGAACAAATGTGAACACTTATAAGAAGAAAATTAGAAAAGAAGAAAGGTAGAAAAAAGGTAGATCAAAATATATGCTGGTCAAAATGAATGCACTTCAAAAATAAAAATAGAGACAGGTTGAAAGGAAAAGATGTAAAAAGATACATCAAGCAAACAGTGAGCATAAGAAATCTGGAGGGGTTTTATTAACAACAGACAAAATAGACTTTAAAACAAGGGCTTTTATAAGATTTTTTAAAAGAAACCTTTAGAGTGATACATGTTTTTAATGATAAATTTAATTAATCAAAATGATATAACTGTCTTACAAATGTATAAATATAGTACCAGAACTGTAAAGGATATAATTTAAGTATGTCAGAGATAAGGAGAAAAGTAGTCAAGCCTACAGTCAGCATTGAAAGTTACATTATCTCTTTCTTAATATGTCACAGAAAAATTGAACTACATGTAAGATATAGAAAATTTAAACACTGTCATCCAAATTGGCTTACTCATATTGGTTTACTTATATTCCTCAATATGATTAATGACTTTTATAAGAAAACTTATGGCTACAACTAACAACAAAATACACTTCTTTGTAAGTGTACATGGAGCACTAAGCAAGGTGGACCATATGTTGGAATTTATAATAAGTTTTAATAATGTTGAAAAATACTACAGAATATTTTCTCTGGCCAAGTTGGAAATAAATTAGAAATCAATAATATGAAAAAGCAAAAATACAAAAATTTTAGGAAAATGAACAATAACTTCCAAATAGCACAAATCAAATTAGAAAATTTTGTGATGTGACTGATAAGGAACATATAAGATATCAAAATTATTAAGTACTGTTTTTAGAAGGAAATTCATGGAATTAGCTTCTGTATTGAAAAATACATGAATGGTTTAAACTTCTACTTTTAAAAACTATTAAACAAGGAGAAAATTAAACTCAAGGTAATTAAAAAGAGAAAAAGAAATAATTAAGCTATAAGAAATAAATGAGTAAGATAAAACCAGAAATGAATATGAATTGAAAGCAGGCGAGTGATATAGAAAACGGATAGTGCTTTTTATCCTTTGCAAATAAAATTGTATTTTGAGAATAAAATACAAGAATCAAGATGGCGGATAGGAGGCAGGGCTAGCTTGCAGCCCTCACTTGGATGGACTGAGCTATGTGTAGAGGCACACATTGAGAACTTTTGTTCCAAGAACTAAAGCAGGAACATACCAGGAAAGTTGAAAGAATCCATATACAGTTTGAAGGAACTGGATCACCACTACAGGCTCCCAGAGACGTGGAAAAACTGTTACTTGGCTTGTTTTCTCAAAAGAGAGGCTCATGGTCTGGGGCTAGTTCTGTCTTGGTCACCGGCTGCCTGGAAATACACTTGGTGCTGTTGGGGGCGTGGCATGGTGGGAGTGAGGCCATCTTTTAGGACTGAGTGGGGAGAGGCCTGTGACTGCCATTCTCCCCCACCTCCCTGGTTACCTGTATGACTCAGCAGAGGCAGCCAGATTCCCCCTGGGAATATAAGTCCATTGCACTGGAAACCACACCTCCATCCCCCACAGCAGCTGCAACAAGCCCTGTCCCAGGAGAGGCTGAGCTCAGATATGCCTATCCCTGCCCAACCTGGTGGTCTTTCTCTACTTACCCTGGAAGCCAAAAACAAAGGTCATAATGTCTTGGGAGCTCTATGGCCCTGCCCACCACCTGAGAAACCTGAATACTTAACCAGGTGTCCCTAGGGCAAGTTTGCATCCTCTCTATAGGACTACAGCTGATGCTGCCTGGAGGCCAACCAACACAAAACCAGAGCACTAAACAAAAACACAATCAAGAGCCCTCACAGAGTCCACTTCACTCCCTTGCTACCTCCATCAGAGCAGGTGCTGATATCCATGGCTGCAAGCCCTGAGACGGATGACATCACATGATTCTCTGCAGACACTCCCCATTACCAGCCTGGAGCCTGGTAGCTCTGCTGGGTGGCTAGACCCAGAAGAGCAAAAGCAATCACTACAGTTCAGCTCTCAGGAAGCCTCATTCCTAGGGGAAGGTGGAGAACACCACATTAAGGGAGCACCCCATGAGACAAAAAGGGTGGAGAACAGCAGCCCTTCAATCCCAGATCTTCTCTCTGACATAGTCTACCCAAATGAGGCGAAACAAGAAAAGCAATTCTGGTAATATGACAAAACAAGGGTCTTAACACCCTAAAAAAATCATACCAGCTCACCAGCAATAGATCCAAATCAAGATGAAATACCAGAAAAAGAATTCAGTTAGATTATTAAGCTAATTAAGGAAGCACCAGAGAAAAGTGAAGTCCAACTTAAAGAAATCAAATACATGATACAGGATATGAAAGGGAAATTCTTCGGTGAAATAGATACTACAAATAAGAAAAAAACAATCGCAACTTCTAGAAATCAAGAAGATGCCACAGAAAAATGCAAAATGCACTGTAAAGTCTTAGCAATAGAATTGAAGAAGCAGAAGAAAGAACTATAGAGCTCAAAGACAAGGCTTTCAAATTAACCCAATCCATTAAAAGGCAAAAAATTAATAATAATTAACAAAGCCTCCAAGAAGTTTGGGAGCATGTTAAATGTCCAAACCTAAGAATAGTTGGTGTTCTCAAGGAAGAAGATAAATCTAAAAGTTTGGAAAACATATTTGGGGGAATAATTGAGGAAAGCTTCCTCATCCTTCCTAGAGATCTAGACATCCAAATACAAGAAGCTTAAAGAACACCTGGGAAATTCATCACAAAAAGATCATCACTTAGGCACATAGTAATCAGGTTATTTAAAGTCAAGGTGAAGGAAAGAATCTTAACAACTGTGATGCAAAATCATCAGGTAACCTATAAAGGAAAACCTATCAGAGTAACAACAGGTTTCTGAGCAGAAACCCTACAAGCTAGAAGGGATCGAGGTCCTATTTTTAGCCTCCTTAAACAGAATAATTATCAGCCAAGGATTTTGTATCTAGCAAAACTAAGCTTCATAAATGAAGAAAAGGTGCATTATTTTCCAGACAAACAAACGTTGAGATAATTCACCACTACCGATCCAGAACTACAAGAACTGCTAAAAGGAGCTCTAAATCTTGAAACAAATTCTTAAAATAAAACAAATAGAGCCCCCTTAAAGCATAAATCTCACAGGACCTATTTAATAATAACAAAATGAAAAAAAAAGTGTATTCAGGAAAAAAAATAGCATGATGAATAAAATAGTACCTCACATCTCAATACAAGCACTGAATGTAAATGGCCTAAATACTTCACTTAAAAGATACAGAATGGCAAAATAGATGAGAATTCACCAGCCAAGTTTCTGCTGTCTTCAGGAGATTCATCTAACACTTATGGACTCACATAAACTTGAGGTAAAGTTGTGTAAAAAGATATTCCATGCAATGGACACCAAAAACAAGCAGGAGTAGCTATTCTTATGTCAGACAAAACAAACTTTAAAGCAACAACAATTAAGAAAGACAACGAGGGACATTATATAATGATAACAAAAGACCAGTCTGACAGGAAAATATCACAATTTTAAATATATATGCACCCAACACTAGAGCTCCAAAATGTATAAAACAATTACTATCAGACCCAATAAATGAGATACACAGCAACACAATAATAGTGGGGGACTTTAATACTCCATTGACTGCACTTGACAGGTCATCAAGACAGAAAGCCAACAAAGAAACAATAGACTTAATTAAACTATACACTACATCAAATGGACATAACAGATATTTAAAGAACATTCTAACCAACAACTGCAGAACATACATTCTATTTATCAACACATAGAACATTCTCCAAGATAGACCGTATGATAGGCCAGAAAACAAGTCTCAGTAAATTTAAGAAAATCTAAGTTATAGATTTTCAGACCGCAGTGAAATAAAATTGGAAATCAACTACGAAAGGAACTCTCAAAACCATGCAAATACATGGAAATTACATAACCTGCTCCTGAATGATTGTTGGGTCAATAATGAAATCAAGATGAAAATTTAAAAAATTATTTGAACTGAATGATAATAGTGACACAACCTATCAAAATCCCTGGGATAAAGCAAAGGTGGTGCTAAGAGGAAAGTTCACAGGATTAAATGCCTACATCAAAAAGTCTGACAGCGCACAAATAGAAAATCTAAGATCATACCTCACTCAACTGGAGAAGCAAGAACAATCAAAACCCAAACCCAGCAAAAGAAAAGAAATAACAAAGATCAGACCAGAACTAAATAAAATTGAAACAAACAACAAGAACAAAAGATACATGAAAGAAAAAGTTTGTTCTTCAAAAAGATAAATAAAATTGATAGACCATTAGTGAGATTAACCAAGTAAAGAAAAGAGAAGATCCAAATAAGCTCAATTAGAAACAAAACAGGGGATATTACGACTGATACCACAGGAACACAAAATATTATTTAAGGCTAGTATATGAACACCTTTATGCACATAAACAAGAAAATCTGGAAGAGATGGATAAATTCCTGGAAATATACAACCATCCTAGATTAAACCAGGAAGATGTAGAATCTCTGCAAAGACCAATAACAAGGAGTGAGATTGAAATTGTAATGAAAAAATTGCCAACAAAAAAAGTCCAGGACCACACAGATACACAGGTGAATTCTATCAGATATTCAAAGCATTGGTACTAATCCTACTGACATTATTCCAAAAGATAAAGAGGGAATCCTCCCTAAATCGTTATATGAAGCTAGTATCACCCTAATATGAAAACTAGGGAAGGACATAACAAAAAAAGAAAACTACAAAGCAATATCTCTGATAAACATAGATGCAAAAATTATCAATAAAATACTAGCAAACCAAATCCAACAGCATATCAAAAAGACAATCCACCATGATCAAGTGGGTTTCATACCAGGGATGCAGGATTGGTTTAACATACCTAAGTCAATAAATGTGATATACTACATAAACATGATTAAAAATGAAAACACATTATCATCTCAATAGACCAAGAAAAAGCATCACTTTATGATTAAAAACCTCAGCAAAATTGGCACAGAAGGCATATACCTTAAGTTAATAAAATCCATCTATGTCAAACCAACTGCCAACATTATACTGAATGAGGAGAAGTTGAAAGCATTCCCCCTGAGAACTGGAACAAGACCAGGATGCCCACTTTCACCATTTCTATTTAACGTAGTACTGGAAGTTCTAGCTAGGGAAATCAGACAAGAGAAAGAAATAAATGGCATCCAAATCAGTAAAGAGGAACTAAAACTGTCACTGTTTGCTGATGATATAATCTATACCGAGAAAACCCTAAAGGACTCATCCCCAAAGTTCCTAGAACTAGTACATGAATTCGACAAAGTTTCAGGATACAAAATTAAGGTACACAAATCAGTAGTTCTGCTATACATCAACAGCGACCAAACTGAGACTCAAATCAAGTGCTCAATCCCTTTACAATAGCTACAAAAAATAAAAATAAAATACTTAGGAATATACCTAACCAAGGACATGAAAGACCTCTACAAGGAAAACTACAAAACAATGCTGAAAGAAATCATAGATGACACAAACAAATGGAAACACATCCCATGCTCATTGATAGGTAGAATCATTATTGTGTAAATGACCACACTGCCAAAAGCAATCTACAAATTCAATGCAATTCCCATCAAAATACCACCATCATTCTTCACAGAACTAGAAAATATAATCCTAAAATTCACAAGGAACCAAAAAAGAGACCCACACAGTGAAAGCAAGACGAAGCAAGAACAAATCTGGAGGCATCACATTTCTTGACTTCAAACTATTCTACATGGCCATAGTCACTAAAACAGCAAGGTACTGGTGTAAAACTAGGCACATAGACTAATGCTACAGAATAGAGGACACAGAAATAACCCATATACTTACAGCCAACTGATCTTCAACAAAGAAAACAAAAACATAAAGTGGGAAAATCATGACCAAGAACCCAAAATGCAACAAAACAACAAATGCAACAAAATGCAAGCAAATGCAACAAAAACAAAGATAAATAAGTGGGACTTAATTAAACTGAAAAGCTCCTACACAGCATAAGAATATGCAGCATAGTTAACAGACAAACCACAGAGTGGGAGAAAATCTTCACAATCTACACATCTGACAAAGGACTAATATACAGAATCTACAAAGAATTCAAACAAATAAGCATGAAGAAAATAAAATCCCATAAAAATGTGGGTTAAGAACATGAATAGATAATCCCAAAAGAAGCTATACAAATGGCCAAGAAGCATATGGAAAAACGCTCAACATCGCTATAATGATCAGGGAAATGCAAATTGAAACCACAATGGGATACCACCTCACTCACACAAGAATGGCCATAATCAAAAAATCAAAAAATAATAGATGTTGATGTAGATGTGGTGAAAAGGGACACTTTCACATCGCTGATGGGAATGTAAACTAGTAAAACCACTATGGAAAACAGTGTGGAGATTCCTTAAAGAACTAAAAGTAGATCTACTATTTGATCCAGTAATCCCACTACTTGATATCTACCCAGAGGAAAAGAAGTCATTATACAAAAAAGATACTTGCACAAGTATGTTTATAGCTGTACAAATTTCAATTGCAAAAATATGGAACCAGCCCAAACGCCCATCAATCAACCAGTGGATAAAGAAAATATTGTGTGTATATATAGTGTGTATATACATATATACACATATATGTATATGTATGTGCATATATACACATATATATGTGTATATATATATATACACACACATATATATGTAATAGCATAAATTTCAACTGCAAAAATATGGAAACGGCCCAAATGCCTGTCAATCAACCAGTGGATAAAGAAAATTTTTTTTTGTGTGTGTGGGTGTATGTGTGCGTATATATGTGTGTATATATATACACACATATATACGCACACATACACCATACACTACTCAGCCATAAAAAAGAATAAAATAATGCTTTGTAGCAACTTGGGTGGAGTTGGAGATTATTATTCTAAATGAAGTAACTTAGCGAATACTGTATGTTCTCACTCACATGTGGGAGCTAAGCTATGAGGACACAAAGACATAAGAATGATACATTGGACTATGGGGACTCACAGGAAAGGGTGGGGTGTGATGAGAGATAAAAGACTACACATTGGGTACAGTGTACATTGCTCACGTGATGGGTGCAGGAAAATCTCAGGAATTACCACTGAAGATATCCATGTAACCAACTATCACCTGTTCTTAAAAAATCTACTAAAATAAAAAATTTTAAAAATGCCTCCCAAAAATGAAATAAAAGATACAACTTTCCAATGTTAAAAATGGAAGATGTACAGAATCAAAATCCTAGAGACAATAAAATCACAATAAGAAAATATTATGAAAAAGGGTATAATAAATTTAAAAACTCAAAATGCATAAAATGTTTGCAAGTCTAATATAATAAATAAAATAGAGCATCTTAATAGTTATAAATCTATCAAAAATTGAATTTATCAACAACAGAATAAAAGAACTAGGCCTAGATATTAGAAAATGAAAAAACTGTTCCCTACTCATTTTATGAGGCTTAAAAATTTCTGATCTCTAACTCTGACAAGAAAATAATATTGCTGTCTAATATTTATGAGAGACATAAATGTAAATGTTCTCAAAAGTATCAGAAAACAAAATAAACAATTGAAATATAAAACATCAAATTTGATTCATAATTTAAAATTTAACTTACCAATGTAACCAAATTTACCGAATATAGGAGATAAACCATATGATCTTTTTAATATAAACATTTTTCAAATAAAAGTTATTTGACAAAACAGAACACTAATTTTATATTTTAAAAAATTGCAATGTAAGAGTCAAGGGAATGTCCTCAATATGACTAATGACATTTATATAATAAAAAATTTACAGCTAACTTCATACTTATTAAGCAATTTATCTGTAAGATAAATCAAACAATTTTTTTTCTATAGGAATAGAAATTATAGATGTCTATTTTTTACACTTTTTATTCATTATTTCCAAGAGGTCCCAACTAGTAAATTAAGGTAGAAAAAAGAAATAAAATACATAAATATTGAAAATGAAGTATTTTAAATCTTTCTAATCCTAGACTTTATGATTTTCTTTGTAGAAAATTCTAAGAAAGGTTGAAAGCTATTAAAATTTAGTAAATTTTGCAATGCAGCAAAATACATGTTCAATATACAACAGAGTTATTTGTACAGTAACAAATATTATGATTTTAAAAATATATTTTTAATGCGTCCAAAACCCTTAAATGTGTGGAAATAAATTTAATGAAGAATATCCTAGAGCTTGTTTCTTTGTCACTTTTACAATTATACAATTAATATTATCACAAAATAAAATATATCCTTTTTGGTTTCCTGAATTTGATCACACTTGCTTTTCTTGTTCTCACTGTCTGTACTAGTATCCTCAAACAATTAGAAGCACAATTACAATATTATCTTGATGCATCTTTCTAAATAACCACATTTTCATACTGAAATGGATGAGGTTGAGGTTATCACATGGAAAAAAAAATTGAAAGAAGAAAGTCAATGTCATGTAGCTGAATTGGCTCCTTTCTGTTTCAAGAGGGATATTTACATATACAGTTAGAAACAAACAAACAAAAAAACAGAATTAAAGCAAAGTAGGTTTTGCTCCATGGGGAACAGACAATGAATAAATTAATGAATTAAACAAAAATAAACTAAAAATATCACTATAAAATAACTATTGGATATTTTTCTAAAAATAATTCATTTTAGTTCATATTAACTTCTCTTTTTAAACACTTCAACTTAGCATATGAGCAGTCATGTATTATTTAACAATGGGGATACATGCTGAGAAATACATCATTAGGTGAGTTGATCTTTTTGTGACTAGCATAGAGTGCATTTACACAAACCCATATAGCCTACTACGTAGCTAGGTTATATGGCATAGCCTATTGCTACTAGGCTACAAACCTGTATAGCATGCTACTGTACCAAATACTGTAGGCAACTGTAACACAATAGTATTTGTGTATCAAAACATAGAAAAGGTAGGCTGGGCGCGGTGACTCACGTCTGTAATCCCAGCACTTTGGGAGGCTGAGGCAGGTGAATCACTTCAGGTCAGGAGTTCGAGACCAGCCTGGTCAATATGGTGAAACCCAATCTCTACCAAAAATATAAAAAATTAGCCAGGTGTGATGGTGCACACCTGTAATCCCAGCTACTCAGGAGGCTGAGGCAGGAGGATCACTTGAACCCAGGATGCAGAGGTTGCAGTGAGCCGAGATCGTGCCACTGCACTCCAGCCTGGAAGACAGAGTGAGACTCCAATTCAATTAAAAAAAAAATAGAAAGAAAGAAAAGAATTATCAAAAAGGCAATGCATTGTGCTATGACATCACTAAGCAATAGGAATATTTCTGCTCCATTATTTGATGGAACCACCTTCATGTATGCAGTCCAATATTGACTGAAATGACTTTATGAGTGCATTACTGTATTGAAACTATTTATTATTTTGAATGGTTTAATTTCTATCACTTAAAATTAGCTAATATCATATTTATACTCTCAACTTTAGAGCATCTCATCTTAGTTTAATACATAAATCTAGTCCACAGTTCAAAAATGTTGAAATATTAGTAGCAAAAAACATTTATGGCCAGGGGTGGTGACTCACATCTGTAATCCCAGCACTTTGGGAGGCCGAGAGGGGCAAGTCACGAGGTCAGGAGATCGAGACCATCCTGGCTACAGTGAAACCCCGTCTCTACCAAAAATACAAAAAATTAGCCAGGCGTGGTGGCGGGCGCCTGTAGTCCCAGCTACTTGGGAGGCTGAGGCAGGAGAATGGCGTGAACCTGGAAGGCGGAGCTTGCAATGAGCCAAGACCATGCTACTGCACTCCAGCCTGGGCGACAAAGTGAGACTCTGTCTCAATAAAAATTAAAAAAAAATTTAAAAAATCATTTAAAAATATTTTCCACTAAATAATATAAGGCAAAACACTAATGTGTTTCTTATTTTTTAACACACTGACTAATTTCTGTCTAACTTGAATACCATATAGACTATTATATGGCAGGGTTGCATAGTCACAATAATATTAAAAGTAAAATTAAGGTATAATTTTTAATAATTAGTACATGTATTCCTTCTTCAAAAAGGCAGCATAAATGATTGATTTTCTTAAATTACCTTAACATTTGCAATTGATGTCTAGTAAAATTATATGAATACTATAGTTTCAGGAGGTCCAATTGTCAAAGCATGTTGTAGAATTTGAAGTCTTTCAAATTTCATTGCTGTTTAATGTATATGCTAGAAATATTATAATCCCACCTGTTAAAGTATTATCTATTGCTTATAACAATATATTTCAGGATTTTTATTATTGTATAATGAGGACATTAATAATGTATGTTTACTGATAATAAATTCAACCTTTTACTGTCTAAGAATATATTACTTTTGACATTCATCAATACTTATGATAATTTAAATATGAACATGCAGATTTTGGCATTTTGATTGATTTTCTTTCTACTTGAATTCTCGACATTTGGTATTTAAAGAATGATAGGAATTATAATAAATGTTTGAGATATACAAAATATATTAAACAATTTAAGCTTGTTTATAATCCTAGGTGGTATTTGCATACATTATAACAGATGATCCAAAAAATATTTACATCATTATGTATGCTATCTTTACTAGTTCAAATCATAGCAGTGAGGACTGCTCTAAAATTAAGATTTAGAGATACTGCTTGACCTTTTATGCCTAAGCATAATAAACATGATTTGCATAATGTTGTGACTTACATAATTACTTTATATACTTTAGAATTATTTTATCTAGTTGTATTTATGGTAATATATTTATACTGACAACTACTAAAGTTCTTAATTTTTTTTATAAAACCATTCTCTGTGTGATATTCTAAGAAAATTTATAGACGAAGATTTGTTACAGGATAAGAAAAAAACGTAAAGCAGGTAAGTCTTAAACTAGTTTAGTCAAGATAATATGAAAAAGTACACAGAATTAAGGTTGAATTAAATAAATAAAAATGTTACGAATTGCATCGCTTTTTAGCCAAGCACTATTCTAAGTACTTTACATACATTTTAATACTTTAATTATTACATTAAGCTTTTCACCCTAAAACAATTATTAAGCACTTAAACAATTTGCATAAAACCAAAGAGCAAATAAGTAGAGTAGTGAAACATTTTTAAACATCTTTATAGAGGTGTAATTGATACACAAAAAGCTACAGATATCCATGTATGCAATTTGTTTGGTTTGATCATATGCATACATTAATGAAACCATCACCAGAATCAAGATAATAAACACAATCACCTCAAAATGACCTCTTCTTTTTTGTGGTAAGAACATTTAACTTGTAATTTACTCTCTTGACCAATTTTTCTATGCACAACACAGTATTTTTAGCCATAGGCACTATGCTGTACAACAGATACCTAGAATTTCCTGTTGCATACCTGAAATTTACACCCATTGGAAAAAAACTCCTTATATCCCCTTTTCCCTAGTCCCTGTTAACCATTATTCTACTGCCCACCTTTACGAGTTTGACAATCTTAAATACCTAATATAAGCAGGATGATGCAATATCTGCCCCTCTGTATGGATGTACTTCACTTAGCCAAATTTATAAATGGCAATTTTTTTTTTTTTTCAAACAATTGAAATTTATTTCTCACTGTTCTGGAGGCTGGAAATCCTAGACCAGGGTGCCAGTATGGTCAGGTTCTGGTTAGTAGCCTCTTCAGGATTGCAGACTGCTGACTTATTACTGTGTACTCACATGGTGGAAAGAGGATGCTAGAGCTCTCTAGGGTCCTTTTTTTTTCAGTATTTATTGATCATTCTTGGGTGTTTCTCGGAGAGGGGGATTTGGCAGGGTCATAGGACAATAGTGGAGGGAAGGTCAGCAGATAAACATGTGAACAAAGGTCTCTGGTTTTCCTAGGCAGAGGGTCCTGCCGCCTTCCGCAGTGTTTGTGTCCCTGGGTAGTTGAGATTAGGGAGTGGTGATGACTCTTAAGGAATATGCTGCCTTCAAGCATCTGTTTAATAAAGCACAACTTGCACCGCCCTTAATCCATTTAACCCTTAGTGGACACAGCACATGCTTCAGAGAGCACAGGGTTGGGGGTAAGGTTATAGATTAATAGCATCCCAAGGCAGAAGAATTTTTCCTAGTACAGAACAAAATGGAGTCTCCTATGTCTACTTCTTTCTACACAGGCACAATAACAATCTGATCTCTTTCTTTTCCCCACATTTCCCCCTTTTCTATTCGACAAAACCGCCATTGTCATCATGGCCTGTTCTCAATGAGCTGTTGGGTACACCTCCCAGACGGGGTGGTGGCCAGGCAGAGGGGCTCCTCACTTCCCAGATGGGGCAGCCGGGCAGAGGCGCCCCCCACCTCCCACACCGGGTGGCGGCCGGGCAGAGGGGCTCCTCACTTCCCAGACGGGGAGGCAGGGCAGAGGGCCCCCCCCCACCTCCCAGACGGGGTGGTGGCTGGGCAGAGGGGCTCCCCACTTCCCAGACCGGGCGGCCGGGCAGAGGCGCCCCCACCTCCCAGACGGGGCGGCTGGCCGGGCGGGGGCTGCCCCCAACCTCCCGGACGGGGCGGCTGCCGGGCGGAGGGGCTCCCCACTTCTCAGACGGGGCAGCCGGTCAGAGACGCTCCTCACCTCCCAGACGGGGTGGCGGCGGGGCAGAGATACTCCTCAGTTCCCAGACGGGGTCGCGGCCGGGCAGAGGCACTCTTCATATCTCAGACGGGGCGGCGGGGCAGAGGCGCTCCCCACATCCCAGATGATGGGCGGCCGGGCAGAGACGCTCCTCACTTCCTAGACGGGATGACGGCCGGGAAGAGGTGCTCCTCACTTCCCAGACTGGGCGGCCGGGCATAGGGACTCCTCACATCCCAGACGATGGGCGGCCAGACAGAGATGCTCCTCACTTCCTAGACGGGGTGGCGGCCAGGAAGAGGTGCTCCTCACTTCCCGGATTGGGCGGCCAGGCAGAGGGGCTACTCACATCCCAGACGATGGGCGGCCAGGCAGAGACGCTCCTCACTTCCTATACGGGGTGTAGGCCGGGCAGAGGCTGTAATCTCAGCACTTTGGGAGGCCAAGGTAGGCGGCTGGGAGGTGGAGGTTGTAGCGATCCGAGATCACACCACTGCACTCCAGCCTGGGCAACATTGAGCACTGAGTGAGCGAGACTCCATCTGCAATCCCGGTACCTCGGGAGGCCGAGGCTGGCAGACCACTCGCGGTCAGGAGCTGGAGACCAGCCCAGCCAACACGGCGAAACCCCGTCTCCACCAAAAAATACGAAAACCAGTCAGGTGTGGCGGCGCGCACCTGCAATCCCAGGCACTCGGCAGGCTGAGGCAGGAGAATCAGGCAGGGAGGCTGCAGTGAGCCGAGATGGCGGCAGTACAGTCCAGCCTCGGCTGGGCATCAGAGGGAGACCGTGCAAAGGGGAGACGAGGACCGTGCAAAGGGGAGAGGGAGACGAGAGGGAGAGAGGGAGAGAGGGAGAGAGAGGGAGAAAGGAAGAGAGGGAGAGAGGGAGAGGGAGAAGGAGAGGGACTTTTTTTTTTTTTTTAAGACAGAGTCTCACTCTGTCACTAGGCTGGAGTGCAGTGGTGCAATCTCAGCTCACTGCAACCTCTGCTTCCCAGGTTCAAGCAATTATCCTGCCTCAGCCTCCCAAGTAGCTGGGACTACAGGCATGCGCCACCATGCCCAGCTAATTTTTGTAATTTTAGTAGAGACAGGGTTTCACCATGTTGGCCGGGATGGTCTTGATCTCTTGACCTCGTGATCCGCCCGCCTCGGCCTCCCAAAGTGCTGGGATTACAGGCGTGAGCCACCATGCCTGGCCGAAAAATTTCCTTTTTAAGCATAAATTATATTTCATTGCATGTGTGTGTCACATTTTCTTTATTCATCTGTCTATGATAATAGGTTGATATGATAATAAGCTGTTTTCATATCTTGGCTATTGTCAATAATACCACAGTGAGCATGGGAACACATTTATCTCTTTGACATTCTGATTTCAATTCTTTTAGATATGTTTGCAGAAGTGCTGCTGGGTCACATGGTAAATGTACTTTAAATGTTTATTTTAAATAAAATAAAATTTTTATTTTATTTTTGTTTTTTGGATAATAGCTTTCCTAATTGGCATGGGGGTTTGAATATGCACTTCTTTGATAATTAATGATTTTGAACACTTTTCCATATACTTGTAGGCCATTTGTATGTCTTCTTTGCAGAAATGTCTATTCAGATCCTTTGTCTATCTTTTAATTGAATTATATGCATCTTTTTCTTGTTCAAATTTTAGGAATTCTTTGTATATTTTTGATATTAACCCCTTACCAGATATATCATTTCCAAATTTTTCTCCCAAGTCATAGATTGCATTTTCACTCTGATTATTGTATAATTTGACACTATCCTTGTTTTGCCAAGTCTTCTCTAAGTTTGAAATTATTTCCAAATATAAATATTTTTGTAAAGTAAAAAATAAATTGACCATTAATGAGTTAGGAGAACGAATCATTAATCAGAAACTTTCCAACAAATAAAAGCCCAGGACCTGATGGCTTCATTAGTTAATTCTACTAAACATTTGAATAATTAACACAAATAATTCTCAAAGTTTTCATAAAATTGAGAAGTAAGGAACATCTCTAAATTCATTTTTTGAGGCCTATATTAAAAATACAAAAGTTAAGAGACTATAGGAACAAGAGAAACCAAACAAAACAAAAAAAATTACAGGCCATTATTTTTGGTAAGCATAGCCTATTTTAATATGTCCCATTTCCTTGTTTTTATTATTTAGTGTAATATGCCCTAGAATTCTAAATCACCCCTCAGCATCCAAGGTACACAAGGCTCTTTGGTCTTCTCCCTATTCCTTCCTAACTACTAAGCCATTCCAGTGTTACACCTGGGAACTTATTTTCATCATTAACTGAATCACCTGTATCCCCAACCTCTCTTCCGAATATTTTGCACACTGTTCTGTACAAACAGATATTTACCAGAATCCCGAAGACATCGCCTATTGCTCCTGTGTCTTGACTTAAGCATGGAGAAAATCTCCCAGCATGTGGAATATTTTTCTTTCATTATGTGTTGTTGTTTCTTCCTACAGCCCACTTGTCACTGGTTCTAGAAGTATGGCTAATGTAGTATTTGTTTCTTGTTATTCTCTCTAAACCATCTTTAAAAATTATATCAAATTACTTTACGCATTGCTCATTGTTGCTGTCATCTATTGACAGCTGAATAATTTTTCAACACCTTCATTTCTCCACAATTATGGCTCTTGTGTTTTTTTCCTCCAGTTCTATGTCTTTATCTTTTACTATTTCTATGTAATTCCTCAAGTACAATCTTTCCAATGCTCTGTTTTGCATTTCCTTCAACTTCTCTCTTCCAATGATTTGATTATTTATTATTTACCCTATTTCAACCTCTTATTCTATGGTTTTACCCAATATATTGTTATTTCTCTTAGATACAAGCTGTTCATATTCTAAGGTACAATTTGATTCTAAGGTACAATTACTCCTTCCCCAACTCAGTCTGATTGGCCCTACAGCCTTTACCTAATTCTCATGTTACTGGCGGCCATTCCACTCTCATAACAAACTTAAGTTTCACAGTTAATCATTATAAACACCCTTTTCCTTACATTCATTATTCCCTGTTTTTCTCTCAAATTTCTGTTCTCACAGGGCTAACCTACAAGCCTGCTTATATTAAACTTTCCTCTTCCTCCATTGCTGTACTTCTGCAACTGAATAAAGCTGGTTTAAAAAAAAAAAGCAGTTCACAATGGGCTGAATGCTTTCACTGTAAATCATGTGGGCTCCTATATATTTTTATAATTGTCATTGTTAGTATTCTAGGTCAGTCAGTCTTCCTCTGTCCTGGATGACAACTTCAAACAAGTCTTCTTCCTCAAATCTCCCAAACCATATTCTTGTCCATACTCTCAGCTCATGACTTTCCTTCTTACCTCAGTGACCTTTCTGATGCTATCAGACAGATCATTAATAGAATTGTCAAAACACACTTGTTCTACATTATGCATCTATATACAGTATTTTTGATGTATTATTACAGAATGAAGGCTAAGCTTATCCTTTTCTGTGCTGTCAACTATTTTTGCATAAGGACCTTGTCACTATTTTCATTGGCACATATTCACCCTTAAAAGTGTCAACATATTCACCCTTAAAAGTGTCAACATTGTACCTATCTGACTGATGAGAGGTACTCTCATCAGTACTCTTTGTGGCTAAAATGAAACGCTCTAAAGAAAACTAAGCAGCTACAGCAGGGAGAAAGGTTTGGTCAGGTACCCCTACATTGTTAACTACTATAAGGTTTGTTAATTGCCATAAAGTTTTCCTCCTGCAATTAGGTATTACAGAAATCCATTCTAGAGAAAGACTACGCAACTAACCTCAGTGGACTAACTGACTCCAACCAATTGTGACACCCCTTCCTTGATTGTGCCCGCAGCACCTGTTGGATAGGAGGCCAACCTTATAAACATTCTTTCCTGATAAGAAGCTACAGATCATAAGCTTGCAGAAACTGTACACAAAACGTCTTTGTGCCATATAGTGCACCTTCTGATGTAAAGAGCCGAATTCCACTTTATCTTAACATAAAACCCTACCCCAAAGTGAACGTAAGATGTATGTTGCATATATGTTAATGCACTGACCATGCACTAGACTTTCTTAATTCACATACATAGACATCCCTCAAACTTGATGAATAGGCATGTCAAACAAACCCTGGAAGGTTTAAATGCCTCAGTTTCCTCCCCTTTCCTGGAGTGTGTTCTTGGAGTTTCTCCAGAGTTTACACTCAAATTTGCAAATTGTTACTATGAAAATAGTTTCCTCTGTACATCTCACAGTTATTTTGTTAATGAAACAACAACAACAAAGGAGAATATAGTCTTCTTATTCCAGAAGCTTTTATTAATATATTCTTATCTTAACAAATTATTTTGTTCTAACAGATACACATTCAGAAATACCTGTTCCTCTAAAAAAGTGTCTAAAATGAATGAGCAACACTATCATTCCCTCACTCTTTAGTGCATATGTGTTATAACTTTTAATAACTCTTCTCTAAAATTAACTGAGTTATTGCACCTAAGGTCAAAAAGTACTACTCCTTAACAATAGGTGCAAGTTTTTCCAAGGCTTTCAGGAGAATAGTTTCCATGTTTGAGAAAACCAGTTGAATTGCTTACTTATTTCTCATCATTATTGACATAATGAATCCTAATGCCATTCTTAGCAAATATCATTTACTTAGCATTGAAAATATTTAGTATATGTTTCTTTTTTTTCATTGACAGGATCATTTTTATAAAAACTGAAAGTCTGTTTATTAAACTAGTAGTGATCACTGCAAAACTTTCTTATGGATGCAGAGTTTAAAAAGTTCTAATTGCATTAAGAAAGACTTGGTACTAGAGAAAACCATGCATGCAGGAAACAAGAACAATAAAACATAATATTTCTCCCCCCTGCAAAGTCTCTCTAGCACCCTCTAGAGTCAAAATTTTAGGGTCATTGGCAAAAGAAAAGGAAAAAATATATATATTACGAACCCAGATCCATTTTCACATAGCAGTTTTGAAAAATTGGATTTGGAAATGGAGACAATAAGTAGATAACCAGCACAATAATCAGTGTTCCTTAACATTCTATGGTGGTCAATATTCAGTCCTGCAGAATTCCCACATTCAGTACTTCAGAGAATGTTTTAGCTCACCTTCAAAATATATTTTGAAACCTTTCTTACAGTTTCCATAAATAAAACCCTATACTAATCCCACTTTCTCAACTATAATAATGCTAACTAATCTCTTTGCCACACAGCATCCTATTAATTATTTTAGGACATTGGATAGATTATGATATTCCTATATTGGAAACTCTCCAGTGGCTTCTTATCTTATTCAGTCTATAAATGCAAATGTTATGACCCTAAGGCCATACAGGGTCTGACTTTTTTTATAGTAGGTAGTTAGACCAACATGAGCAGGGCAGGAGAGCTTTCCCCCACAACCAGGAATGTCAGGCAACCATCAGGTGATGGTCAGGCAGTTGTTAAGATATCTCCTAAAATAATAAATAGTCACAACCATGCCAGGGAAAGGTAGTCTCCCAATAGAGACAATTTGAAACTGGTGATCAGCAGCTTCCCAATAAGATCTCAGGAGCTGAATGAGAAGGCTCAAGCATACTCACTAACAGTCAAGATGGTGGAGTTTAGCTGGTATATGATCTTTCTCTAGAAACACTCCACTGGGAAGAATGCCTCAAATAAGCTCAGCATGTGCACAATTTTTGTAAACACACTGAGCATATGGCCCCTCCCAACTGCTGGCAGGCCACTGTGCATGTGAATAGCCCACTCCAAGGGAAGGATCAGGGCAGAAGGGATGCAGCCCCCATAAGTATGCCAACATATAGGATCCCAAGTCAAAGTTCAAACCATGTACTTGAATCTCTCAAGTCACTCACATAGCCCTTTTCCAAGTTTACTTCCTTTCATTCCAGCTCTAAACTTTTTAATAAACTTTCACTCCTTCTCTAAAACTTGCCTTGGCTTCTCACTCTGCCTTATACCCCTTTGTTGAATTTTTTCTTTTGAGGAGGCAAGAATTGAGGTTGATGCAGACCGTTAAGGATTCCCTTCCAGTAACAACTTTATCTCCACTCAGTTCCCCTCTCTCACTCTGATTTGGTAAATGCCACCCTTGCTCCTACCTGGGCTTTGTGCCTACAGGTTCCTGTGCCTGAACTGCTCTTCCTACAGATATCCACATAACTCTCTCCATCCGCTTCAAGTTTTTATTCAAGTATCATCTTAGTGCTATCTCTTCTGAACATACAAAATTCCCCATAGCTTTTCTTACTTTTCTCTATATCTCATTTGGCTACCTAAAATTTTATATATTTTAACTTTTTGTTTTTATATATTTTAACTATATGTTTTGTCCCCTCTTGCTACAATGTAAGTTCCATGACAGGAAAAATATGTGCACATTCTGTTCATTATTCTAATCCCTATTTCATGCATAATTCTTGGCTTAGTATCACTCTGAGTTTTTGGATAAATAAATGCATACCCAGAACCCATATGTAATTATGTACATTTACCTAAAGTAAACAAAATATCCAATTATGGTAATGAGTCTATCAAAATACTTTTCAATATCCAAATTTTTATTTCACTGGCTGCAACTTTTTTAACATCTTACATTTAAAATATAAATTTACTTACAAATACCTAATTTCTTAAAAATTGGCAAAATCAATGGTACATTACCAGCTAAATGAATAAATTAATAACTACATAAAGAAATACATAACAATGGTCTGCAAATATCTGGAGTTTGTTTAATTCTCACCAATAATCATAAATGTAAATTAAAATAGGTATTATTCTAAAGTCATCAAAATAAAAAAAGAAAATCACAAAGATCAATATGAGCTGCCAAGAAGGTACACCATTTGCAAATATTGCAAATTTTCCCAATCTGTTTCGAAGATATGTTGATGTTATTCTTTAAGAAGCTTAAAATATGTTCATAAATTTTGATTTATCAATTATTATTCTAAGGCTCAAAATGAGAAAAGTGGACAGAAATATATATTTGTACACTGTCATCACAAAGATAAACTTCATATATTTAAATTAGCAACACAAAATATCCAACAATAGATGTATATTCATAACACATTAGTATGCAATCATTAAAAATAGTATGTTCTGCAGTGTTCAATAAAATGGAAAATGCAAATGAAATAATTTAGAAGCAATATATCCAGGCATTTATTAATGTATACATGTGTCTTGATTCATGTTTTGAAAATGCATGATCATGATCTCACTTACATGTAGACTCTAAAAAAGTCCAATATATAGAAGCAGGATTAAATGGTGGTTACTAGGGGCAGGGAGGTGGGAGAAAAGGAATCTATTGGTCAAAGAGTACAAAGTTGCAGTTATGCAGAAAGAATGAGTCTAGAGATCTAATATCTACAGCATGGTTACTGTAGTTAATGATATTGTATTGTATTACCAGAAATTTTTGAAGAGAGTAGATTTCAAGTGCTCCCATCTAAACTATGTGAGAAGATGGTTATGTTAATTAGCTTGACTGTATTAATCATTTCACTATGTATATGTATGTGTATATAAAAAAATCAGGTTGTACACTTAAATATATGCAATTTTTATTAAAAAATAAAAATATAGAACAGAAAAAATGTATGCACATAATTGTAAACTCAATTATGTATATAAGTGTACTGCTAATAAAAAGTGAATTAAATATCACTTATATTTGTTTATATAACTTTTTCTATCATTTTTGTACATATATTGCATTCATAACTATACAAATTATTTAATGATTACAAAATGCAACTGTATGTTAAATATCCTCAACATATTTTGGAAATGACAAATGTTACAAATTGTAGGTCATAGTCACTATTAAGAATGTCTCCTTGATAAGTGTTATTTTCTGTTAGTTTTGGTTTAAAACATTCACCACTATTGGGAGATAGCCCAGATTTTTCTAATCTTTACCCACTGTAAATAATGTTGCAGTGAACACCTCTGAGCATATATCACCATGGGCAATTAAGCATACTTCTGACAGATAGCTTCCCAGAATTGGAATTGCTGATCCAAAGTAAATGGGCATGATAAAATATGATCTAGTTTCACACTGCCCTCAGATATGATGTTAAAAATCATATTTTCATTAATTTTATGTAATAGTACCATTACCAATTTTCCCACACCTTACAGTACAATTGGGCACTATGAATTCAATTAATTCTTATCTATATGATAGGCAATAAAAGCATCTCAATGCTCTTTCAACTTGAATTTTCTGATTACTGTAATTCAAAACACTCTGTCATATTTGCACAGTTTATATTACTATTTTTGTGCACTCTATTTTCAATATCCTTTAATCACTACAGGACATGGTATGTGTGGAAATAAAATTTGTTTTGTATAAGAGTATCTCTTCCTTTTCTAAAATTTGTTTGAATTAGGAAGGAACAAATTACATATTCATCCAAACAGTACATTGTCTCTTCACAATAGCAATACAATGTGAACAGAATTACACTCATAAATATCTCCCATGACAAAACAAACGCATTATGTACAACAATCATTCATCTTGCATTGACAAATCTTTTTTTACCAGCTACATATGGTCAATTTCTCTTTTTTTATGTTGTATATTTTTCAATCGCACCTAGGAGTCATTTTAATACAGATAATTGAATTGCAGTTAATTCTCCATCTGGTGTTCCAGATTGGTTACTTACTACTGCTGATTTGAGGCTGATATTTTTCATTTATATTACTTGATCATTTTATTCACTGTCACATCTCTAACAGTATGTGACATTTACAAAGCATGTCATGTGAACACAGTTTAAAATTCTCAAAGTGTAATTCTTTATTGAAGCATTTGGAAGTCTTATACAAGCCTAATGTTATCCATGTTTTGGCTTTTAAATTACCATGTCTTATATTTTACTTTTATTTACTTCTATTTTTTTGTGAAGTATATTATACAAACTGTGTAAGTATACTTTAGGAAACTATCACATGGTCTATTATTTTTAGTGCATTATTTTAATATTTCAAATACATTTATGACATGGCAAATTTTGATAAATTAAAACAAATTTTAATTATTTAAGAAAACTGACATTATTTTATTAGAAAAATATATGTTGAAAATGTTGTGTCACTATAAACACACTCAGTAGCATGGATCCAACTTTGTATATATAAATTATCTTTGTAATGTTTGAACAGTAGATTATACTTTTCAAGTGCTTTCACTTCCTTTGATTTTGTTAGGTTAGTAAGAAATCTTGTTTGTTGGTGAAATAATTAGTTTGGCTCAAGAAAGAAGGTATATTTATTATTAGAACTTTTAATAAGTTAACAAATTAGATACTGTTTTCAAATCTCAGTTTCAAAATTTTCCTAACAATATTCCTGTTTAAAAATTTCTATGAGGACTAAGTGAGATAATTTATTACCAATAAATTACATTAAATATGTGTTTGTTATGTCATCATCTCCTTTTTACTCACTTAGGGTTTATGAATCAAGTCTCATAGAAGTTTAAATTACTTGCCCAATATTTCAGAATCACCAAGAACCCATGCTTTTTATCCAAAATCTTTTAATAAAATGTGTAATAAACGAACAGTGGCATTATCCAATCCAATTTGCTTATTTTACATCAGAAAACTCTGAGTCATAGTGGGTTTACTGGATCAGCCCTGGCTCTGGCCATTAGATTTTGAGCAGTTCAGAAATTGTGATGATACCTAGTTTTTGTACTTTGAGATGTATTGATTTGCGATTATAAAATTTTGCTATTATAATCACAAAACTTTTGTGAAAATAAATTTTGTGAGTATAAAAGGTGTTTTTTTTAATAACAGCAGAGTGTGTAGTATCCTAGAAAAATACATTAGGTTTTGAAATAATGAGGAATATCATCCATTTTGCATTTGTATTTTGTTTTGTTTCAATTTATGAGAAAGGTTGCATTTCACATTTGCTTTATTTTAAAATGTATATATATATATGGTATACACATTTTGTATAATATATAATACTAATATTAAATATTTCCATCACTATTTCTATTAAATCACAATAAAAAGCTAGCTCCTTTCTGCTCCTTTAAATTTGTAGGAGAAAGCCTTTGAAAATGTTTATATCACAGCATATGTTACATTAAGTATCTCTAAATCAGTTATATGAGAATTCTTTTCACACCTTCAGAACTTATATACATGTATAAACATATACACACATACACACAGAGTCATGTGTCACTTAAAGATGAAGATACACACACACACACGAAGTCATGCGTCACTTAAAAATGTAATTTACTCTGAGACATGTATTAGGCAACTTTCTTATTGTGCAAACATCATAGAGTGCACTTACACAAATCTAGATTGTATAGCTTACTACACACCTAGGCTATAAAGTGTAGCCTACTACTCATATGTTACAAACCTGTACAACATGCAATTGTACTGAATATTGTAGGCAGTTGTAACATAATGGTATTTGTATATCAACAAATCAAAACATAGTAAGTATAATAAAATATGGTATAAAAAATACGGTACACTTTTATAGAGCACTTACCATGAATGGAGTTTTTAGGACTAGAAGTTGCTTTGAGTGTGTCAGAATGAGTGGCAAGTGATGTGAAGGCCTAGGACATTACTATACACCACTGTAGACTTCATAAGCTCTGTACACTTAGGCTATACTAGATTTATTAAAAATATTTCTTTTTTAATAATCTTAAACTTTTTTTACTTTATCAACTTTATTTTTTTAAACTCTTGTAATAACACTTAGTTTAAACACTCTACAACTGTGCATATTTTCTATCTTTATATCCTTATTCTATAAGGTTTTTTCTGTTTTTAAAAATATTTACTTTATTATTAGTTTTAAACTTTTTTGTTAAAGACTAAGAATTTATGCTAGGCCTAAACAGGGTCAAGATCACCAATATCACTGTCTCCCCCCTCCACATCTTGTCCCATTGGAAGGTCTTCAGGGGCAATAACAAGCATGGAACTGTCATTGCTCATAATAACAATACCTTCTTCTGGAATGCCTCCTGAAAGACCTGCCTGAGCTGTTTTACCGTTTTTTTTTTCTTTTTCCATAAGTACAAGTACATTCTAAAATAATGATTAAAAATACAGGATAATAAATACTAGGCCATAGGAATTTTTCGGCCTCATTATAACCCATATGGGACAGCTCTCATATATGTGGTTTGTCCCCCATGAACTGGAACACTGTTATGCAACACATATTTGCTTATTTTTAAACCAATTGTCATCAAATTTTCACTGATTTTACTGCCAGTTTTCCGGGTACAACTATAGCTATCCAATGTTTCTGAGTAACATACAAATTGTATCCTGTTAAAAAGCTACCTGTGAAAAATCACAAGATCTAACAGACAATTAGATAGTGTTTTATATATCTCACCAGAATTTTAAAAATTTATTCATGTTTTAATTATATAAAAAATAGTTTGTTTTCTGTGTTTACAGAATTTGTAAAAATAAATATTGTAATTATCTTCTAGGAGCTCATTTCAATACACAGTAGCTTGAAATTTAGGTACTTTAAATATTGGCATAAATATGAAACACTTCTTATGGAAACCACACTACTAATTAAAAATAAAATCCTCAGGCCTTAGAGATAGCCTGTTTTACAACATCAAAAATCAGTAAAAATGGCTTTAATACATTCCATGAAAAACAAGTTATGAATTATCCATATGATCCTAGGTAACTCAGATATTCTTTAATATTTAGCTTGCTTTCCTTAAAATGTAGTATTCAGCAAAGTTATTTTATTTAATCTTCCTGCTATTTGTAAATGTTGTAGAAAGTCAAGTGTATTTTAACCTAATTTCTTATTTTTAGCCTTAAATTTACCTCACGATAGTCCCAAAATGTCTGCTATCATAATGTATTATGTAAAATATCTAAACATACTTATTTCCCAAATTTGTTTTTAATATATAAATAAATTATATAAAGTTTATAAATCATATAAATAGTTTCCATTTCCATGTTTTTTATCTGAAATCAATGTGGCAACCAAGATACACATTTATCTTCAACAAATCTTCAACATGCACACACACATGGATGTTCAAGCATGAAAATATTGCTACATTAGCTATTATTGAAAAAAGCAAATAATTATCAGGAACTTTACACTTCCCAGGCTTTTTTTTTTCCTCAACCAAGGACTGAAAACACTTTAGATTTGTTGTAAAAAATGTCACCTCAGCACTGTGGATCACTGAAGGAAGCTTTATACATTGATATAGAAAATATTAGATGTGTCAGACTTTAAAAGTACTAATGTTTTCTTCTTTTCAAATCTATCTTTTCTACATGAATCCTGCAAGCTCGTTACTCTGAGTGTTGCCTCCTGTCTTCATGAAACTTGAGGCAGATGGGTGTAATCTCCCTGAGATGTGGCTATAAACACATGTGTACAAACACATTCAAGAAAACAACAAATACACAGAAAAATTTTATAAGTAAGAATTGAGGAAGGTCATGTGAATTAATTGTTCAAAAGCAAAGGGGGGCAATGATTCTGAAAATATGACTTCCAAGTATTGCATTGTAATATACCATCCCACTGAAGCATACCTGACCTTCACTTTCAGCTGTCCTTACTTTTAATTCTATATTAACTAATATATGTTCATTTTTCTCAAATAAACAATTTTACTATTTAGTTATATAAATCTTTAATTGCAGAATTGGGGATATTATGTTTAAAACATAAGCTATTATCTTGCAAATTATTCTCTTTCTAAAGCTCACATAGTTGTAATTTAGAATGGCAGTTGTGGGTTCATAGTGTGACAATGTACCTATGCTGGAACTGCATTTCCTGGAATTCAGTTCTGCTGTTAGCAGTGACCAGAAAAATAATTTGCATAAGTTTTGAAATATGGCACTGAAGCATCAGAAATATTCTTTTGACATCAGGAAGTTCAGTCTAGTTCACATTTGTTCTCACTGATTTTCTGGCTTATCTTGCTGGCATGCGCAAGATCTTCAGCTCCTCCAGCTGCCCCTGGAACTTTTCATTATCTTTTTTCTTCTTCTGGGAGAGAAACATGTTAGTTTCATGATAAAGTGAATGGCACTAGGTTCTCTTGTAGGTCGCATACATATTGAAGTTAAAATCTTGGAAGCAGCAAGTGGCCAAAATGGTTCTCAGCTCATTCTCATTAGCTCTAATTTTTTGAACCCCACCACCCAATATTTCTCTCTCTACAGTCTACCCTGCTGATTTAGGCCAAGCACCAAATTCAAAAGTAACAGCTGTATATAAGTGGTATAACCAGCTCCCACAATTGCATAAAATTCAGTTCGTATAATAAACTTAAATACATGTAGATTTACCTGCATACAAATATCTATCATCTATCTATCTATCTATCTATCTATCTATCTATCTATCTATCTATCTATCATCTATTTGTCTATCTATTGATCGTGGTCTGATGGTTTTGCCCAGGATCTCTGATTGAACCTGAAATGACACAGTAGTCTCAACATAACAGAATAAAAATTCCAGCTATTTTTCTTTTTGGTGCCTTTCCATAGATAACACCAGAGACTGAATTTTAGAAAGCTAACTATGTTTTCATTTTATTGATAGAGCTGATTTTGATATTAAGACATATGGCAAGGAATATGCATTATTCTTGAACATGGCTGATATCATGTGAGGTGGATACTATTGATGTCCCACCCAGATTCTCTCAGATCACTTTAAAGACTGCATGCACCAATCCCCCAGTTTCGCCATGGTTTGCATCAAACTCGCATCCACAATATGCTTTTGAAGACTGCCTTTGGGCTACTAGAACTGCTTAAATTGTAGGCAAAGAGAGATGAAATCGCCAGGAACTTTACATTCCATTGTATCTGCTCATACCCAATTACTCATTGGCTATGAAAATTCAGTTGCCTCCTCTCAAGATAGGTCAAATTTTAAGATGTAATTTATGCTCCAGAGCAGCATCTCTTCATAACATCAGTTTTTAGATGGTACTTTGACTAAATTTTGCACTCTTGTTTGGATTCTTCCCTGTCCTGCTTCCCACACAACCTTACCAGTCTCATTATAGAAAAGTTTTTTAATAAATTTATTTTATGTGAATTCTCATTCCTTGTTCATATTCTGGTGAATCCAGCTTAAGATATCACAGAATGGACAAATAAATAATTGATGTTCATTCTTAAAGAAGAACTCACGGAAACAGGCTATTGTAATAAATCTGAATACATTTTATTTCCTTCTTCTGCCTGATTGCCCTGGCCAGAACTTCCAACACTATGTTGAACAGGAGTGGTGAGAGAGGGCATCCCTGTCTTGTGCCAGTTTTCAAAGGGAATGCTTCCTGTTTTTGCCCATTCAGTATGATATTGGCTGTGGGTTTCTCATAGATAGCTCTTATTATTTTGAGATATGTCCCATCAATACTTAATTTATTGAGAGTTTTTAGCATGAAGGGTTGTTGAATTTTGTCAAAGGCCTTTTCTGCATCTATTGAGATAATCATATGGTTTTTGTCCTTGGTTCTGTTTATATGCTGGATTATGTTTATTGATTTGCGTATGTTGAACCAGCCTTGCATCTCAGGGATGAAGCCCACTTGATCATGGTGGATAAGCTTTTTGATGCGCGCTGGATTCGGTTTGCCAGTATTTCATTGAGGATTTTTGCATCAGTGTTCATCAGGGATATTGGTCTCAAATTCTCTTTGTTTGTTGTGTCTCTGTCCGGCTTTGGTATCAGGATGATGCTGGCCTCATAAAATGAGTTAGGGAGGATTCCCTCTTTTTCTATTGACTGGAATAATTTCAGAAGGACTGGTACCAGCTCCTCCCTGTACCTCTGGGAGAATTCGGCTGTGAATCCATCTGGTCCTGGACTTTTTTTGGTTGGTAAGCTATTAATTATTGCCTCAATTTCAGAGCCTGTTATTGGTCTATTCAGAGATTCAACTTCTTCCTGGTTTAGTCTTGGGAGGGTGTCTGTGTCGAGGAATTTATCCATTTCTTCTAGATTTGCTAGTTTATTTCCATAGAGGTGTTTATAGTATTCTCTGATGATACCTTCTATTTCTGTGGGATTGGTGGTGATATCCCCTTTATCATTTTTTATTGCGTCTATTTGATTCTTCTCTCTTTTCTTCTTTATTAGTCTTGCTAGCGGTCTATCGATTTTGTTGATCTTTTCAAAAAATCAGCTCCTGGATTCATTGATTTTTTGAAGGGCTTTTTGTGTCTCTATTTCCTTCAGTTCTGCTCTGATCTTAGTTATTTCTTGCCTTCTCTAGCTTTTGAATGTGTTTGCTCTTGCTTCTCTAGTTCTTTTAATTGTGATGTTAGGGTGTCAATTTTAGTATTCAATTAGGAAAAGAGGAAGTCAAATTGTCCATCTTTGCAGATGACATGATTCTATATCTAAAAATCCCCATCATCTCAGCCCAAAATCTCCTTAAGCTGATAGGCAACTTCAGCAAAGTCTCAGGATACAAAATCAATGTGCAAAAATCACAAGCATTCTTACACACCAATAACAGACAAACAGAGAGCCAAATCTTGAGTGAACTCCCATTCACAATTGCTTCAAAGAGAATAAAATACCTAGGAATCCAACTTACAAGGGATGTGAAGGACCTCTTCAAGGAGAACTACAAACCACTGCTCAATGAAATAAAAGAGGATACAAACAAATGGAAGAACATTCCATGCTCATGGGTAGGAAGAATCAATATCGTGAAAATGGCCATACTGTCCAGGGTAATTTATAGATTCAATGCCATGCCCATCAAGCTACCAATGACTTTCTTCACAGAATTGGAAAAAACTACTTTAAAGTTCATATGGAACCAAAAAAGAGCCTGCATTGCCAAGTCAATCCTAAGCCAAAAGAACAAAGCTGGAGGCATCACGCTACCTGACTTCAAACTATACTACAAGGCTACAGTAACCAAAACAGTATGGTACTGGTACCAAAACAGAGATATAGACCAATGGAACAGAACAGAGCCCTCAGAAATACTGTCACATATCTACAACCATATGATCTTTGACAAACCTGAGAAAAACAAGCAATGGGGAAACGATTCACTATTTAATAAATGGTGCTGGGAAAACTTGCTAGCTATATGTAGAAAGCTGAAACTGGATCCCTTCCTTACACCTTATACAAAAATCAATTCAAGATGGATTAAAGACTTAAATGTCAGACCTAAAACCACAAAAACCCTAGAAGAAAACCTAGGCAATACCATTCAGGACATAGGCATGGGCAAGGACTTCATGTCTAAAACACCAAAAGCAATGGCAACAAAAGCCAAAATTGACAAATGGGATCTAATTAAACTAAAGAGCTTCTGCACAGCAAAAGAAAATACCATCAGAGTGAACAGGCAACCTACAGAATGGGAGAAAATGTTTGCAATCTACTCTTCTGACAAAGGGCTAACAACCAGAATCTACAATGAACTCAAACAAATTTACGAGAAAAACACAAACAACCCCATCAAAAAGTGGGCAAAGGATATGAACAGACACTTCTCAAAAGAAGACATTTATACAGCCAAAAGACACATGAAAAAATGCTCATCATTACTGGCCATCAGAGAAATGCAAATCAAAAGCACAATTAGATACCATCTCACACCAGTTAGAATGGTGATCATTAAAAAGTCAGGAAACAACAGGTGCTGGAGAGGATGTGGAGAAATGGCAACACTTTTACAGTGTTGGTGGGACCGTAAACTAGTTCAACCATTGTGGAAGACAGTGTGGCGTTTCCTCAAGGATCTAGAACTAGAAATTCCATTTGACCCAGCCATCCCATTACTGGGTATATACCTAAAGGATTATAAATCATGCTGCAATAAAGACGCATGCACATGTATGTTTATTGCAGCACTACTCACAATAGCAAAGACTTGGAACTAAGCCAAATGTCCAACAATGATAGACTGGATTAAGAAAATGTGGCACATATACACCATGGATTACTATGCAGCCATAAAAAAGGATGAGTTCATGTCCTTTTTAGGGACATGGATGAAGCTGGAAACCATCATTCTCAGCAAACTATTGCAAGGACAGAAAACCAAACACCGCATGTTCTCATTCATAGGTGGGAATTGAAAAATGAGAACACGTGGACACACGAAGGGGAACATCACACACTGGGGCTTGTCATGGGGTAGGGGGAAGGGGGAGGGATCGCATTAGGAGATATACCTCATGTTAAATGATGAGTTAATGGGTGCAGCACACCAACATGGCACATGTATACATATGTAACTAACCTGCACGTTGTGCTCATGTACCCTAAAACTTAAAGTATAATTTAAAAATGGAGATTTGATTTTATTGTTTAAATGAAGATTTTTTTTAATGGACAAGGTTACCCAGAATGTTCATGTGGACAGGTTTTCATCATAGGTTTTTAAAGTTGTAATTTGTGAAGCTTTATTACATGTATACAATGGTAGTGTTAGTCAATTGATATAATCAGCCCTCATATCTGTACACATCTTTAAATCATCAACTATATTTGTTTCTCTGGTTATAAAAGGAATAATTGTTCATATTTGGAAGATGCAGAAAAGTACATGGTGAAAAATAAAAATCATAATACCATCAAAAAAAATCTGAAATAACTATAGATAATGGGGTTCTACTGTTTTAACTTAAAAGAATTCTGACAAGCAGCACATCTTTATCATATTCTTTAGAAAATATTTTTAAAGTGCCCATTTAAAAAACTGAATGAATATAATTATGGAAAAGTTTTTTTACAAAGTCAATGACATTAAAATCTAATTACATTACTTAATAAAACCATATCACTGTATTATTAAATATTGACAATGGCAATGGCATTGAAACAAAAACAATTTCTTAGTGGCTGCCACATGCAAAATCCATTACCAATATGTATTATAAAGTTATTGCTTATTGTTTTTGGAGATAGGGTCTTGCTCTGTCGCTTAGTTTGTAGTGCAGTGGTGCGTTCATAGCTCACTGCAACTACAGCCTCCTGGGCTCAAACTATCCTCCAACCTCCATCCCCCAAGTCATTGGGAATACAACTGTGCACCACCATGCCCAGCTAGTTTTGTTTCTTTTTGAAGAAAAAAAAATTCGAATAATACATAAAATATAGTTTCCGTTTGCAAATATCAAATTCACCTTATTAACAAATATTATATCTATTGGAAAGTCTTTATATTCCTCTCCTAGTCCTTTGTTCTATAGTTTTATAAGAATAATGACTTAGTTTATCCAGAAATGCCTTAATTTCTATGAGCACACATATATTCATTATTTGTTTGCTTCAGGTTACTTGTTTAAATGTAATAATTTCATTTAAAAATTTCTTCTTATTATTAATCGATCAATGTACTTCATTATTAATGCTTTTTTATTCAGTACATTTGTTAAAAGCCCTTTTATTACATGCTCACTTTGGACAGCATTAACTTATTTGAAATGCAAACATGATTCAGTCTTTCATAGGACAAGGATATGAGGTGACAGCTAATCAATGATTGACTTTGTCCTTAAGTTTCTCAACTGTCAAGGATAAAGCATGTCAATCAGTAAGAACTAATGCACCGCCCATCATAATTACTTCAGCAAAAAAAGTTACATGTGTCCCATCAGCTTCCAAATATTAAAGATAAGTAAGAATTAGCACAACTGAGTGTTAAATTCCATTGTCCTATATTTTACCTTAATTTAAAAGAAGAAATACTGAGTTAATTATATCTCTCAGACCCATCCATTGATTTTTATATAAGCATTTTCTTGTCTTTGACTTGGTAATCAAGAGATGTTTAGCCTTTAATTATATCTATAGATTTTAAAAACATATACCAATCTAAAGGTATGATGTGAATTAAAATGGTCATGAAGCTTGGAATTAGAAAACACTGCCACTTACTACTTGTATGCCCTGGGCAAGTTACTTTAGTTTCTAAGTATGTGTTTGCATTTCTACTGTGATGACTAATAATTCAAGGAATAGTTAGTAGTATAAAGGCAAAAATATATATGAGAGCATCTAACACATAAGCTACTCAGAAAAAAAATAAATGTTTGAGTGAATGAATGCTTTTACAAGATTAATATTTTAATATAATTCTTCAAATTAAAGAAAAAGGTGTTACATAATCTAGTTTAACCCATACTTTTCATAACAATTAAAACAAAACAAAGTAAAAACTGTTCATTTGTATTATATTTAACATAAACAGGCACATATGCATGTACACACACACACAAACACACACATACACACAGGGAAGATGGAGCTGCCAATAGGTAATGGAATGCATATCACTTTTCTTTTGGAAGATAAATGAAATCCTTTATGAATACGATGAATATTATGACCTCAAATTATTGCTACTCTATAAACTTTAAATGCTTTGAATTTTAAATTGCTTTTTTAATTTTTGTTTTCTATAGACATTTTTAAACAATTCTTAAAATATTCCTTTTAACAAAAGTTTCAAGGTTGACATATTAATCAAATGTAGATATCAACTTTTTTTGTGTGTGTGTAGCTTCTTGAAGTAACTCGTTGAGCAATTTGCAACCTTGAAATGTATAATTCATCATGTCAAAGTTCCAGGCATTCAGTCTCCCATGAGCCACTAGTTCAAGGTTGTGAGGATGTGAGGTTTTCAGTATCATTGAGAGCCAAAGGATTACAGAAACAGCTAGGCACTCTCCATCCTTGCTTCTGGACAGAAAACACATATGGTTCCTGTCACAAGGCAATTTTTAGTGACCACTGGAGTCTTTTAAATGGAAATCCAATAACCCTGAGCATAGGCAATCTGGGAACATCAGTCCTTGTTCAGAAAAATCTTCGAGTAATTTCAAAGTGACTCAACACACTGTAATCTGAGGCAAGTTTTTATCCATGAATCAACTCAGGAGGCAATAATTAAATATTAATAAAAAGAAATGAATTAGCAGTTATTAAGGAAGATTGGGATAACACATCTCCTTGCTACAGATGAAATTAAAAATTATACCCTACAGGTAGAAAAAAAGATGACAGGAAGAATTGATTTGTGCTACATGCCATCAATTGGTTATAAGCCTTTGTTTTTTTCCTTTTTTTCTGAAAACCAACATGCAGAAACTTTCTTTGTAATGAAAGAGCCAGGTCTGGAGTTAGGAGAACAACCAAGCTAATCTTAGAGGTCAGTAGAGTTATTATTTCCAGGATCTCCTGTCTTCTACTTTCCCTTCCCTCCAACTTCTTTTTTAGCTGTTACCTTCATAGAGTCTAATGTCAATGAATAAAAATGAAAGTAAGTCTACACTGTAGAAACTCAAAAACAGAGAAACCAACACAAACCAATATTCTGCAGCTCCACATTTGCCAGTATCATCCAGTGCTAAATTTCAAGCCATGTGTAGAGCAAATTTTAAATATGTTTCTTTTCTGCCTCTTTTCTATGTTAAAAATATTTCGTAGAGTCCTTCTAATCATGGCTTTCCCGTTGTCATAAAAGTTCACACCACATAATAAGGAATGGTGGAGTTATTTAGAAGACCATGGATGAGGGCCCTATAATACAGCTTTTGCTTTCTATTAAGAAATATTTATACTACATATTCCACTTTCAAGTAGACTCATAGCGTCAATGTGCATAGTTACAACCCATTAGCACTGGGTAATTTCCCAATAGAAATGTGCCCTGAAGTCCAGGAACTAAAGGATAAAGCCTAGATAACCTATGTTTCTGCTTTATCACTAGGCATGACTAGAAAAAAAAATATTCAAAAGTAGTGTGCTTTATATTTTAAATGAGAATAATGAGAATTCCTGTGTATACTTACAACCTAAAAATAAAAAAGGAGATATATTAACATATCTTTGGATGGAAATTAATCAAAAGGAAAACTATTAAATGAAGGAAAATAAGGAGCTATCCGAAGAAGGAAAATGAGGAACAGAGACACTAGAACAAAGTGTCAACTGGCTTTATATCTCTTTACTTAAATAAATGAATTTGAATGGATTATTCTAGCTTAACACTTTTTCCTTTAAATGTTTAATTCCTAACAAATTTGAAGAATAGGCAAAATTTGCAGACTCCTATTGTCACTATACAAAACAAGAGTCTGCAAGGGAAGAAGAGAGGACAACATTTCATGGACACATTCTACAATATTTTACTTTCATGATGAGAAAGACAACACTATGGAATTTTATTGGACCAGTAGGTATAATTTCCCTAAGTGATCTTACAGACTGTTCACTTAAATGCTGACACAGATGAGGCACTATGTTCAGAAAAATGAAACCATAAAATAGCACAAGTGCTGTTACTTTTTTTTTTTTTTTTTTTTTTTTGCTGTGGTCACAATAAAGTTACCGTCAGCTACACTACACACATTTTAACTAAACATATTTCAAGATAAGTGAATGTAGCAAAGCTTTGCAGAATCTTCTGTATTGCCAGTATTGAAAATTCATTCCTGCAATATATTACTTATCACTTCAATCTAAGTGCTAGATGCATTTTCTAGCATGTGTTGACATTATCTTCTTATATAAATTCTTATGGGATAAACCGAGAGAGCCTATTAATGCACAAAAGTGATGTCTCCTGCCTGTAAGAAAGAACCAAAATATGCAGTTATGTGAGAAGTAAATAACTGAATACATGTTTACCGAAAAAGTATTCTTAGAGAAAATGTTGTATTAAATTAAAAATAAATTTTTGAAGGATCCATTAGTTTTCAAATGCTTTAAACAATAAATAATTAATTAGCATTGTTTTTTGTTTACAAGTCAACAAATAATCATGGATAAGATTTGTAGAAAGTACCTTAATTAAATAGACCAACAATTATATAGTGATATTAAATGTATTTTACAATATGTATTTGATAGTCAAAAGATTGACTTATTACTTAATTATTCCAAAATTAATTTGAACAATAAATCAAATTTAGTGGAACTTTATTCAGGTCAGAAGAGGTCTCAAAGTAATTTTCATAGGAATTATTGGGGAGATTTTTAAAAATTATTAATAATTGTGTTAAAATACTCATAAAATAAAAATTATCATATTAACAATTTTTAAATGTACAGTTAAGTAGTGTAAATATAAATAGCTATTGACACTACTCCAATCTACAAAACTCTTTTTATCTTGCAAAACTGAAACTCAGCTCATTGTATACAACTTTCTATTTCTCTCCTACCCTTAGCTCCTAACAACCTCCCTTCTTCTGTCTCTGTGAATTAAATTATTCTAGGTACCTCATATAAGCGGAATCATATAATATGTGTTTTTTTGTGACCAATGTATTTCATTTAGCATAATGTTTTCCATATTGCAGCATGTGTCAGAATTTTCTTTCTTTGTAAGGCTGAATAATATTCCATTGTATGTATATATTATATTTTGCTTATTCGTTCATCCATTGGTGGTTACTTAGTTGTTTTCACCTTTTGGCCATTGTGAATGCTATTGCTATTAACATGAGTGTACAAATGTCTCTGAGACCGCTTTCAACTCATGCATATATTCCCAGAAGTGGAATTGCTGGAATATATGGTAATTCTATATTTAATTTTTTGAGAAACTGCCATACTATTTTCCACAGTGGATGCACCATTTTATGTTTCCAACTAGAGTGTACAAAGATTCAAATTTCTCCACACTTTTACCAACATATGTTGTTTTGTTTTTATTGATAGTTGCAGTGGGTGTGGGGTAGTATTTCATTGTGGTTTTGATTTACATTTTTTCTGAAGATTAGTGCTGTTGCATATCTTTTCACATGGTTGTTAGCCATTTGAATGTCTTATTTGAAGATATGTTCATTCAAGTTCTTTGCTCATTTTTAAATTAGGCTATTTGTTTTTCTGTTTTAAGTTATGATTCTTTATATATTCTAAATATTAACCCCTTATTGGAAATATGATTTAGCAAGATTTCTTTCATTCCATAGCTTTTATTTTTACTCTGTAATTGTGTCTTATGTTGTACAGACTTTTAAAAATGTTGATATCCTTCCAGTTTTCCATTTTTATTTTTTACCTCTATTTTCCGTGTCACATACAATATTTTATTGTCAAATCCAATGTCAAGATTTTCCCCTATGTTTGCTTCCAGGGGTTTTTAAGTTTTAGCTCTTACATTCAGGTCTTTGACCTACTTATGTTAATTTTTGTATGTGTCATAAGGTAAGGATTCCATTTCATTTTTTTGCATGTGGATGTCCAATTTCCCCAACACCACTGATTAAAAAGACTCTCTTTTCCTCCATTGAATGGTTTTGACTCTTTCATTAAAAATCATTTGACCATATATATGAAGGGTTATTTCTGGGCTCACTATTCTATTTGATGGGTGGCTATCTCTGTTTTTATGCCAATCCCACAATACTTTTATTATTACAGCTTTGTAGAAAACATAAATTCACTGATTCTGTCATTGTTTAATAAGTTCCAAGGTTTTCATTAAGTTTTGAAATTGGTAAGTGTGAAATGTCTTTTTTTTGAGAATTTTTTAGCTATTTGGGGTTTCCTAAGATTCTATATGAATTTTAGAATATATTTTTCTGCTTTGGCAAAAAGTGCCATTGTGATTTTGATAGTGATCGCATCAAATCTGTAGACCACCTTTGGGTAATACTGACGTCTTAAAAATATTAACTATTCCAATTCTTGAGCATGAGGTGTCTTTCTATTTATTTTTGTCTTCTTTAATTCCTTACAGCAACATTTAATAGATTTCCATATACAAATCTCTGTGCCTCCTTGATTAAATATTTTATTCTTTTTGATACTATTACAAATAGAATTCTTTTAATTTTCCTTTTACATTTTTTCATTGTTAGAATATGAAAACACAACTGATTTTTGTGTGCTACCTTAGCATATTGCAACTTTTCTCAATTCATTTGTTATAATTTTTGTTTGTTTGTTTATGTCAAATATTTAGGGTTTCAGGAGATTTTTGAAAGAAATTTTAAATAATCTGATGAACTTTGAAAATTCAGCGTATGGACAACTATTCCTATGGTCTTAACTATCTTTTTATCAAAGTCCTATATAACTAGCATTATTCTATATGACTATGCCTTTGAAGGACAAAACTTGCTGGTATCTCGAGACTTCATTTTGTAGCTTTGAATTTTTAATCGTGCACCTTTATTTTCAAATTTTCTCTTCAGCTAGAAAATTACATACAATCTGTAAAGAGAAAATAATAATGACTAAAAAATTTCTACAGTAGTTTGAGGTATATAACCAAAGTATGAACTATCTCTTGCCAGTTTTACAATGTTTACACACATTTATAAGATTTTTCATTTTGTTGCTCAAAAATAATGTTATTAATATATTTCTTAAATATGCATATATTTCTTTTTCTTTGTACTAGCTATACCATGATCTAGTCTATGAAAACATCTGAATTTATTAAACAATAATGCAATTGATTTTTAATTGTTTATAATTTTTTCTACCAGGAACAAGACTAATATGAGTATTCATGTATATATATACTTTATGCACACTTTTATGCACTTATATGATATGGTCAGGATATGAGTACATTTCCAATCTAAGATGGGAGACATGATTTCTCCCCTCTTTGATTATTGTGCAGTCAATGTCACTTCAGATCCTATATCCCTTAAAACAATTTTTTATTTAATATTTTGGTAAATATCCACATATGTTTTTGAGAAAAGAGTGAAGAGAGATGTATTGTATGTAATGGAGTCACAGTCTTTAATTATGGAGACTTGGCCTCCCTTTTAGTGGATAAGATCTTGGCTGGACAATAATATCAGTTTTGAAAACTAGCCAAAAGATTGCGATTTTCTAAGCCAGTGCTTACCTTCTGCTCACCCACTCCTGATTGCTTTGGTTGCATAGGTCAGTATACAGGTAAGAGCAACACCCAATTGCCATTCTCACCTTGTTGCCCACTACAGTGAATACATCCACATTTTCTATCATTTTTGAATCCTATTGTCACAAAGACCAGTCTCATAGCAGAATCTTTATTGCTAAGAAATGACTAACAAATGAAAGCCTACACTGAACTTCTCAGCAATGCTGGAGCACTTTGCATCAGATTGTTACAGCATTAGGGGAGTGTCTCCCTGAGGATCAGAGACAGCTCAGGCATTCCCTATTATGACGAGAACACCCATTCTAAAAGGCTCCAGTCTCTGAGTTCTTTTTCTCTTCCCTCAATACTCTGTCAAGAGAGTTATCACATCTTCTTTCTGTACACATCTATATGTGTACATGTGTATATACCTTTGAATTTTTAGTTGTACACTTTTATTTTCAAATTTCCTTTTGAATTTTTTTTCAAAGCTTGAAGGCACCATTCCAGCAGTGTGAAATTAAGAATATAGGTAAAATGTACACCCCTCACCCACACACACAAATAAAAATTAATTTTTCTATGTGATCACCTGTGATGGTGCTGCTGCTAATTAGAATAAAGGAAATGCAGTCAGGCAGACTGGCAAAGCATCTCTTATAAGAGATTTCATGTTCAAAGAAACTTGAATGATCTTATATAAGTAAGAATGAGGTAGATTACACCAGCAAATTATCTTAATATCGTAGTGTCTTAAATCAACAAAGGTCATTTTCTTCTCATACTCCATGACCATGTTGTGTCAGCTGGGTACTATGTTCCTTGCAGTCCTCAGGATGATCCTTTCATCGCCTCACAAAATCTCAGAGAAGACCCACCCCAATCCCTATCTGGACCTCAGCTGTTGCTAAAAAAGGGAAAGAAAACTATAAATTCAGAGCTAGCTCATATGGACTTCTGCTTGTAGCTTATTGGCTAAGGCAAGTGACATGACCATACCTAATTTAAAGAAGGAGAAGAGATGCAATTCTCCCATGTGTCTGGAAGAAAGATAACATAAATATTAGTGTGAACAGTGATCATGTCTACCGTGTTCTCAGGTAATTGCACAGTCTCATTCCTGATACGTGTTAGGCTTGCAAGGCATTCTAAGAGTTAACTCAATGATTTATACTGAAAATGTTAAGAGTAAAGTTTTTAATATTAATTTTTCCCTGGTTCCAAAAGAGAAAAAAACCTTTTCCTATTTTATTTTCTTGGAGCATTTCATTGAAAAATCTTACAATTTTAAATCCTTTCTACATTTATTTAATATTTAAATAATTGTTTTCAAAAGCTAAACAAAAGGCAAACATCAATAAAACAGCACCCCACATTTTCACTATCTGCTTCTCACAAAGATAGGAGAAGTTTTATTTTCCTTACATAAAGGCAATAAACTAACAAGGATGACCATCCTCATTAATTTCAGGTGAAATTCAGATGAACTTTGCATAGCAAATGATGCTGTCAAGTTATCTCAAAGGAAAACAGTCATCAATTATCTGGAGAACATGCCTGTAACGGGTGGTATCTTTTGGCTGTATGAAGGGGAATTCATTCTGTCTTTTCAATCTCATTAGCCTATTGCCTGTGATGCATGTAACAGCCTGGTTTAGGACTTATTAAATAATAAAACTGGTTTCTCTCTTTTCTACATTTGCAGAGAGGCTTCTGGGTTGGTTACTTGGTTTATTTTTAATTTTCCCCAACATAATGAATACATACATATACACACAAATAATACACATTAACTCCTTTCATGAGATTTGTGGCTATTCAAGGAGGCAGGAGCTAATAGTTTAAAAAATGAAACTGCAGTGTGACTTCTGACAATGACTTGTTGGTAAGAAAATTATTTTCTCTTAATATAAGCAGTCTTTGTTCACACATCATACTAAGTACACAGTAATAACATAACCATCTAAAATATGTCTAAAGTGAATTATAATACTTAATATGTGCCAATATTAATAAATTGTTAAATGTAAGCAGAGAGGAAATAGTAATATTTATAATGATATTTAATAATAAGCACATAACTTGTGCCAAATTCTATGGAAAAGTTACATATGTGAATAAAGCATGCATTGCTTAAGTTACATGAGTATTTGTATACATATCTATTTTACATACTCTAAATATTTGATACTATGTAAGTTGGCACAAATTTATTTGCTAATTGTTATTATAGCTATCATTGTTATTGTCATTACTATTATCTTTGCTGATAACTAAATTTATCATACTAATATATACATGAACATTTACACATACAAATATATGTATATTCATCATACATGTATGTGTGTGTGTGTAGAGAGAGAGAGCGAGTGAGATTTAAAAATAACTTGTTCCTAAATAACACAGGAAATTTATTTTAGAATGAGAATTAAGATACAGGTGACTTTGACTCAATAGTACACTATTTTTCCTCTAAAACATGTCTATTATAGACGCATATGTCTATACTTTCAAACATAGTGCAGTATTCAGAGTAATACCCCCACCAAGGATATACAAGTCTTAAAAGTCTTAATCCCTAGAATCTGTAAATATGTCACTCTGTATCACAAGATGCTTTGGATATGTGATTAAACTAAGGTTCTGGCAATATTATCTGTATTATCCAGGTAGACCCAATAAAATCACAAGAACGTTTATAAGGGAAAGAGGAAGATAGTAGAATCAGAGCCAGTGAAGGAGATGAGATGATGGAAGCAAAGGTAAGACCAGGGGAGAGATTTGAAGATGTGATGCTACCATCATGAAGATGGAGGATGGGGCCACAGCTAGTGAATGGAGGTAGACTCTAGAAACTAGAAAAGGCAAGAAAACAGATTTTTCCCTAGTGATTTTAGAAGGAATCAGACCAACTGAGATCTTTAGTACAGTGAAAGCCATTTCAGACTTCTGACCTCCAGAACTGTAAGGTAACAAATCTGTGTTGTTTTAACCCACTGAGTTTGTGGTAATTTGTTACAGCAGATATAGAAAGCAAGTATATAGAGTGCACTGAATATCGCCCATGTACACTTTCAAAACACTCCTCTCTTCACTAGTGCTCTCCTTGCCCTGAAAGACAATCTCCAGTTCACTTTCCCTTCAAATTCCATTTGGAGAAGTAAATGAGAGATCACCAACAGGAGATTCTGAGCATGAGAGGAGAGTGAGTGTGAAGTGGTTGTTCTATCAGCTCCCTCCTGTCAGTTCACCACGTGCAGGCTGTATTTCTCCACAGAAGGCCACAACCCTTCTCAAGTGGCTTGCTCTTCACACTTCTTTGGGCTTTTTTTACTATCCCCTCTTTGTCTTGTCAGGTCTGTTTTTACAAAGATCCCACTTTTGTGAATATAGCATGCACTGCATTATTCTTTAGATGGTTTTCCTAAGGAATAATTAATCATTGTTTGATTCAATGAAAATATTCCCTTTCTTATGCAGAGTGTGCCATGGGTTTACTGCTGGACCCCTAGTTACACAGTAAAATGGGTTCCTCACTTTGCATTTAAGATCTGAATGTGACGTAATAATAGAAATGCTTAGCCTGGAAATTTCACATTTCTGTTTCTATAGAAACATTAAATTGTACTGAGAAGGGACAACATTTTACCAGCTCTTTATTTGTGATTTAAATGTACTTGGAATTTTTAAAAAAATCACTGAAGATATTTTTATAATAGCAGTTATGTATATGGAGAAAATTCATCTTGGGAGTATAAAACAATGTATCAAACCTTTGAAATGACAGATGATAAGAAGAAAAACTCTGAGAACTGTAGTTTTAAGAAATTTACTGTGGAGTGATACTCCTAACCACACATAAAATTTTCAGAGTAGTCTTTTTTCCCATACTTAATTATGGTTCAAAATTAAACTTGTATTATTTCATGTCTTAAACACCTGTCTAACAACAAATAGATGGTGCTTGCATCAGATAGTCTTTAGGGCCCCAAACAGAAACCAGTATAAACATTTCAAGCAAAAATATATTTTATACAGGAAAATAAATGCTTAAAAATTTGTCGGAAAGACTGGAGGCATAAGAATTGAGAGAAGTCACTGGACTATTAATTTCAAGTTTACCTGCAGTCCAAAAATGTGGATGCCATTTTTGTTTCTTCCATGACAATTAAACATTCATGGAAGTACTGTCTAGATACTGGACCACAGACTCCAGACACTGCAGGTACTCACATCTGTGTGAACTCGCTTGCCAATAATCACAGCACCAGAAAGACCTTCACCTAATTTATGCTTGATAAAATTTGCCCTTGGTTCAAGGGTCAACAAGTTTTTCTTTCGGTAGATGGACAAAAGGTGAGTAGTTTGTTTTGGGGTTCATACAGTCTCTGTCATACTTCTGCTGGTATAGCGCAAAAGCAGCCATAGACAATATGTAAATGAGTGGCCATGCCTGCATTTAAATGAAACTTCATTTGTAAAGATACGTGTTGAACCAGATTTAGATCACAAGTATAATTTTTCACCTTTACGCTGTATATCCAGATTGCATCCCAAACTATATCTGCCAGAAAGTCTGAGAAATATCATTTTTAGTTTTTCAGATGCTCCAAATAGAAGGTGAGAGCCAACAGAAGTAAGTACCAAACCCCTCTACTTATTTTTATTTTTTTTGTGAAAATGTCCACGTTCTTAGTAAAAGAAAAAATATTCATAATAAGTGATTAAAAATAGAAAAGGGAAATAAAAGGGCTTAGGAAATAGAATACTTTTCATGCCCTGCTATCCAGATATAAAGAATGCATTACAGCTTGAGTTTTGTATGCTCCTTTAGTGCAAGTTAGGAAGAGATGAATTAGTTTATTAACCAGTCACATGTCCAGTTAATTCCATTAAGGTGGTTCTGAACTTAACAGACATGTGAGAGCACTTCACTCTCACACTAGCGTATTAACTACATTGTGCTGCTTTGGGATAAACCTAAATATTACCAAATAAATTATATAACTTCTGTAAACAATGTCTTCTGTAATTAAATCAGCTTAAACATAATAAATCAATTTTCAAGAAAAAAGTAATTGCAATACTTGAGCAAACAATTCAAAACAATCACATATGGCAGGGAAATGGAGTAGGAGAGTACAGAGATAAAGCAAATATAAAATTAGCAACATTTTTAATAGTCACATCAATTTCCTTCTCAATATTTTGCTATAACATAAATATGCCAGAATAGCAAAATAAATTTTACAATAAAAACCAATTACTATTAATAACAGTGGGAAAGCATTTATATCAGTTTACTGACTTATTTGGAACCAAGGAGATTTAAGGTAATAAAAATTAAAAATAATGACAACTAATCATTGCAGAAGGCAAAAATCACAAAACAACTATTTCTTATCTTTATTGAGTTTAAATTATTAAAATGAAAATAAATAATGTTAAAATAGTATAATACCCATGTTACATAATTACCTAATATACAATAAAGTAAAGAAACACAAAAGGTTAAAGATTGCATTCACTGTACGCAACTTATAATTACAAAGAAGTCAGCCTTATATTTTTCATGTTTTTCAAATTTAACAGTAAGACAATGTTAGCACAGATATTTCAATGATATTCAAACTCTGTAATTTAATTTGAGTTTTATTAAAATATCTAATATTTGAATTCATATTTTAAATAAGTATACTATTAAATCAAATTAGATTATGTTTCATCTCATTCTTAAAATATACTTATTAATAAGCTCCTTTCAAATTTTTCCATTTAGAAGACATTATGCAATTTTAGTGAAAAACTGGTGGCTGCTTATTTTTCTTAAGAAATACATTTAAAAATAGGCCAGGTACAGTGGCTCATGGCTATAATCCCAGCACTTTGGGAGACCAAGGCAGGTGGATTGCTTGAGCTCATAAGTTCGAGACCAGCCTGGGCAACATGGTGAAAAACAGTTTCTATAAAAAATATAGAAATTAGCCGGGCATGCATGCAGTGGTACGTCTGTAGTCCCAGCTACTCAGGAAGCTGAGCTGGGAGGATCACTTGAGCCTGGAAGGCAGAGGATGCAGTAAGCCAAGATCGTACCCCTAATCTGCAGCCTGAGCAACAGAGTCAGACCTTGTTTTCCCCAATGCCAACCCAAAAATACATTTTAAAATAAAGACAATGTCCATTATATGCACTCTTTGTGTCGATTTTATTACAAGTGTGGTATAAGCTGAATATAATTATTGTTTAAAATTATATATTTAGTTTTATTTTCATACATGCACGCACACACACATACACATACATACAAAGTTAATAGTGGAAGACTGGATAAATTAGCACTCAAAATTTCTGTTTCCTTAATTATTTTACGAACATACACACATGCAATAATTGGTTCATCCTGACTATATTGAGCAAATTCATATTTCAGTCAGTATCCTTGATCTTAATCCTCACTGCCTGCACAGTATCTCCTTTAGATTACATTAGGGGCTCGATTTTTACAAGTCCAAAAAGGTAAGGTCTTGATTCTCCTTTAACGCCTCTTGTCCCATAACCCTCCAAGTCTCCTCTTCCCATTTTCCAGTCTTAGATGTTGGTGCCACCATTTATGCAGTAGCCCTAATAAAAGTTGAAAATTCCTTGATTTATTTCTTTTACAATACCTCTGAAATAACTCAACTATCAGCAAAATAATACTACCTTCAAATTACATTCTAAATTCAACTACTCTTTCCCTGCCTCTCTAACCCAGGGATAAACTTTCATTCGAAAGTACGTTGGAACGCTATAACCCACCCAGGTAATTTTTTTATGTCCACTTTAGTGCTTCTTTAAATTCATTGTCTTAAAAAATAGCTAGATAACTCTTTTACAACCATAAATTAATGTATATCATGCTCTTGCTGAAAGCTCTCACTGCTGGCTATTTTCACTGAGAGAATATCCAAATTGTTTAGCGTGGGTTAAAAGAGTTACCCAATTTGTCCACTTCATATTCAGGAAAAAATACAATTTTTTTCCTTCTTTTTTTTTTTTTTTTTTTTTTGAGGCGGAGTCTCGCTCTGTCACCAAGGCTGGAGTGCAGTGGTGTAATCTTGGCTCACTGTAACCTCCGCCTCCCGGGTTCAAGCAATTCTCCTGCTTCAGCTTCCCGAGTAGCTGGGACTACAGGCACGTGACACCACACTTGGCTAATTTTTTGTATTTTTAGTAGAGACAGGGTTTCACCGTGTTAGCTAGGATGGTCTCAAACTCCTGACTGCGTGATCCGCCCCTCTTGGCCTCCCAAAGTGCTGGTATTACAGGCGTGAGCCACCGCGCCTGGCCTTCCCTTTTTATTATGCTTCCATCACAGTGTCCTTCTATTTTTGTTCTCAAATAGCCAATGTCTCTTCTTGCCTAACATGCTACATATTTGTTTCCTCTGCCTGGAACTTGCTATCACATATTTGGAATATCCTGCCCCCATTAATATTGATAATTTACATTTACATAAGTAAATATTTTCCATATGGGGCTTTATTTCAGGCCAATCTGTATCTTCCTTACAGTGCTAAAACAAGAGAAATGAATTTTATGAGCAGCTCTTCTTCATAAAGTAAAACTGCCATTGTTTTAAAGCAGAATTTTATTTTCCACTTGCTTCATGCCAAGGGAAGTTCTTGGAAAAGTTTATTAGCTTCATTTTTCTATACTCTGCCAAGTAATGAGACTCAAATAACTATGTAAATTCATTAATCTCATAAAGCAATTAGTGTAAAACTCAATGGCTGTTAAATTATTTCAAAATAAATTAGTTACAACATAACATTCAATTTTCATGAAAACCCTCATTTATTTACACAATATAATTCTGATTAAATAAATGCAAAGATGTAATATATTAAACAGAGCAGCCAAAAGCTTGTTCATCTCTTGTAAAAATGCCTTCTATGACCTATGACTAAGTGAATTAATATATAGGAGAGATTTAGTACACTGGCAGACAGTAACAAATCAAGAAGTGTGCATTCCTCCTTCCTTTATCCACTGCAGACAGGCAACATGGTTTGTTAAGAATGAATCGAAATTGTATTCTGATGTACTCTAGAGATGTCTCATTTCATGTAACTCCGGAAAAAAAAAAACTCAAGAAATCTCTCTAATTTTTTAATCTTACTCCCTTTGCTAGTGTACTTTTATAATATGCATACCACTCTAGGATTTAAAATGATGTTGTTGGGTAAAAGGAAGGTATTCATATTTGTATAAGATGTGGAGTAATACAAAATGGATACTAAATTTCCTGAATAATTTGAGAAAATTTTGCATGTCTTAAATCAATGAAAATATTTATTAAGCATTTCCACTCTTATTTACAATATGAGAGATATAGCACCTCAGATTGTAGAAAAAATATGATAACAATTTATGGATAATGTAGGGAAAGAGCAGCATACATTCAAAGAGAAAAGTGGGTATAAGTTTCAGCTTATGACTTATCTAAGTAATTTACACATTTTATGTCTAATTTCCTCCCATACAATATAAATTATGACAAAAATGATGAAAGTGATAATGACTTTCTTAAATTTTATCTAGTGGCTATGATTTATAACTAACATAATTATTATAAAAATCTAATAATCATAAACACCTAACATATGTGGGCCAGACATGGTGGCTCACGCCTGTAATCACAGCACTTTGGGAGGCCGAGGTGGGCAGATCACGAGGTCAGGAGATCGAGACCATCCTGGCTAACACGGTGAAATCCCGTCTCTACTAAAAATACAAAAAAAAAAAAAAAAAAAAAGTTAGCCGGGCGTGATGGTGGGCATCTGTAATCCCAGCTACTCGGGAGGCTGAGGCAGGAGAATGGCGTGAACCTGGGAGGCGGAGCTTTCAGTGAGCCGAGATCCTTCCACTGCCCTCCAGCCTGGATACAGAGCGAGACTCCATCTCAAAAACAAAACAAAACAAAGCAAACAAACAAAAAAACCTAACATATGTGAAAGCACTTTGTAAACCATAGAGTAGTTCATGTGTTAATTATGAATATTGGTTTGCTATTTTTAAGAAACTGTTTATTTCCTTAAACTAAATCTTTAAAATTTTTTTAGATAAGTTTTTATTTTTGCGTGGGGCTATTTTGTATTGGTGTTATTAAAAATGGCTACAGAAAGTGGATGGTAGAATAGATGAGACAAAAATGGGATGCTTTTTCAAATTCCTTTTACAAATAAATGCATTATTTAAAAGTTATATATAGTTCTGTGTCTCACCATGATGAAGAGTATTATCCATACTCTTATCCTGGTAAGCAGTTATAAAAGTGGAGAGTACAGAAGCCATGTTCAAACATTGAAGGGCTTATAGCACAGGACAGATTCTTAAAAGAAGGGAAATACGTGGGATGAGCTCTACCATCACCCCAGATTTCTGTCTAGGGGAAATTTCCAAACCACAGAACGAGGAAATGCACCAAATAAGGGAATAGCAGTTTTGGTTGGTAGATGAAAGAGAAAGCTGGAGAGGATGTGGAAAAATAGGAACACTTTCACACCATTGGTGGGACTGTAAACTAGTTCAACCATTGTGGAAGACAGTGTGGTGATTCCTCACGGATCTAGAACTAGAAATTCCATTTGACCCAGCCATCCCATTACTGGGTATATACCCAAAGGATTATAAATCATGCTGCTATAAAGACACATGCACATGTATGCTTATTGTGGCACTATTCACAAGAGCAAAAACTTGGAACCAACTCAAATGTCCATCAGTGATAGACTGGATTAAGAAAATGTGGCACATATACACCATGGAATACTATGCAGCCATAAAAAGGATGAGTTCATGTCATTTGTAGGGACATGGATGAAGCTGGAAACCATCATTCTCAGCAAACTATCGCAAGAACAACAAAAAAAAAAAACACTACATGTTCTCACTCATAGGTGAGAATTGAACAATGAGAACACCTGGACACAGAAAGCGGAACATGACACGCCCAGGCCTGTCATGGGGTGGGGGGATGGTGGAGGGATAGCATTAGTAGATATACCTAATATAAATGACAAGTTAATGGGTGCAGCACACCAACATGGCTCACATATACATACGTAACAAACCTGCACATTGTGCACATGTACCCTAGAACTTGAAGTATAATAAAAACTTAAAATAAATAAATAAATAAATAAATAAATAAAAAGGAGGCAAAGATTGGAGTGATGTAACCACAAACCAAGAAGCATCAACAGCTAATAGAAATTAGAAGAGGCAAGGAATGGGATCTTCCCTGGAACCTCTGTAGGGACCACCATCCTGCCAATACTTTGATTTCAGAACCCTGGCCTCCAGAACTGTAAGAGAATAAATTTCTATTGTTTTAAGGCAAAAAAAAGAAAAAAGAAAAAAGAAAAAAGCTCAGAGTGGACAAGGCAGCTGGAATCTTCAAGAATGGGTACTATAGAAAGTGAATCTGAAAAAAAAAAGAACTTAAGAAATATGGATAGAGGTCTTCTCGGATTTTCAGTTGAATGCTAAACTGTGTACGCTGAGGTCGGTGAGTTCTGACTGAAAATGGCTACTAATAGCCTGTAAGCTGAGTTATTCTGAGGTCTGTGAGTTCTGACTGAAAACGGCTACTAATAGCCTGTGAGCTGAGTGGAGATGCAGGAAGATTAATGCAGCTAAGATAAGTTAGAATTTTGATTCTAATTGGAGAGAAAAGACCTCCTGAAACACACCAGGCATTTCATTGAAACACAAGGAAGACCATACCTTAGAAGTAGCTTACCCTAACCTCTGAACAGTGGTTCCCAAATTGGGAATATTATGTTCACCAGTGACATTTGGAAATGCATTAGAGACATTTTTGTGCTGTCACAACTTGGGGAATACTATTGACATATAGTGAGTAGCAGCCTAGGATGCTACTAAATACTATGACTAGGACAACCTCCAAAACAAAGAATCTTCCAGACAAAACTTAATGTTAAGGCTGAGAAAAACCACCCTAGTAGAAGGGCTACTCTAGACACAATCAACAAAGTAGCAAAATTCAGACTTCTAACAATATATCATCCCGAATTTCCTATACAATTGAAATACTGGACATGGAAGGAGGAAGGAAAATGCGACCTACTTAATTAGAAAGGACTGACCCTCAGATGATTAAAGAGAATTAACAGATAGACATGTTAAAACTGATGTTATATAAGTAGAGTATAGAGTAGTGGTTACTAGAGGCTAGGAAGGTTCTGGGGGATAGGATACAAAATTACATCTAGGTAGTATAAATAAGTTCTAGTGCTCTATAGCACTGTAATTGTAGCAAATAATAATTAATTGTATATCTTCCAATTGCTAGGTTATTTTGAAAGTTGCCAATACAAAGAATAAATGTTTGAAATGATGGCTATGTTAATTATCTGATTTTCATTATTCATTGTATGCATATATCAAAATATCACACTGAACCCCATAAGTATGTACAATTATGCATACAAATATGTGTCAATTTAAAAAAACTGCTGCTACAAATATGTTTTAAATTGTAAAGGTAAGGATGAACACAATGAATGAATAATTGGTGAAACTCAGAATTGAAATAAATAGTACATAAAAAATAAAGATAAATATTAAAATTGGAAAAAATGCATTGTTTGATATGACAAGTTCACTGGATCAGCTTAATTAGACCTGTGGTCAGGTCAATAGACTGAAGCAAAGAGAGGCAAAAAAAAAAACCTGAAGAACAAAAAAATAAATAATGGCACCACAGGCACCTTTGGGATAATATCAGTTTACCTAAGATGAGTGTAATTGTAAATTCAAAATGGAAGAAAAGGAAAAATAAAAATCATATTTTTTCAAGAATGAATACAATTTATTTTGTATGAATATATAAGTATAACAAATGTATAAGTAAATAGTATCAAAATTGAAAGCTAAAAATGACATATTAATTCTAATAGCTTATAGATATTTGATTATAAAAAGGAAATGTCATTAGTGAATAATTAAAGTTTACTTTCTCTTTCAATTTATAAATTTTGTTTTCCATATTGTCTTTATACTTGTCAAAATCTCCAATACAATATGAAATAGAGATGATGATACAGAGCATTCTCATCTTCCTAAATCCAGGGGTAAACTTTTCAATAATTCAACTTTTAGAGTAATTTTAGTAACATGAAATACTGGAGATAAATCAATTTGATGAAGATGTTATTCACGTTACTTAAGTAACATGTCTTGACTTATTTTGCACTCTTGTTCTGTTATACTGTATATTTGTCTAATTTGCTTCACATATTTGTTAATTTTTCTGTAAATATTTGAAGCTATACTGTAATGTTAGGTGCATACAAATACAGATTTCTTATACATTCTCATTATTGGCTTCCTATTATTATATATATTTTTTACTTTTTTTATCATTATTCCTTTTATAATGATATATAGTAGCCCACCAGATTTATTTAATGATATTTTCACATTATACCTTTATTCATTTTTTGACTTTGAACTTTCAATGCACCTTATAACTTTTTTATCCAAGATTTAGAACTCTTATATTTCATTAGAACATTATCTTGCTAATGGCATGGTTTTGATCAGATTGTCTTAACTCCTGACTCTATCATAAATGAGTAGAGCAGCAGAATAGTAGTTAGAGGTTTAAAATCATGCTGTACATTTTTCTAATGTAAGTAGAACAAAATAAAATAACAACAAGAAAAGCATTAAAACTAAAAGGTTAAAGGCCAAGTTTGGAACTTAGTACTTTCAGATAAGGAAAAGCGTACGATTTAGAAAAGTAGCTAAGAGTATGCACTTGTTACCTTTCCAGAGATATAAATTAGACATAAGGAGTATAAAGGATCAAAGTTGCCAAGAAGGAAGTTATGTAAAGGTAGACAGACCTGAACAAGAATTAGAAAGTATCAGACTGTTTAGTAAAAAATTCAGAAGTGAAGAAGGCTTAGGTTTTAGAGAAGTTAGCTCACTTTAGAAAACCAAGAAATCCAAGGGTTTAAAGGAATGCACTTTATTCAGGAATTGTTGAATTGCTTGAAAAAGCCAGTGAAGTTGCAACACGTTATAGTTCATTAAGCATAAAATTGATTTAATGGATATAGTATACGTGATAAGAAATACACTTTCACTGAAAGTATTATGTCACATATATAAGAATTATAAAAAAAGATGGTTGTATGAATTAGAGTATGAATGCATTAAATTCTAAACAAATTTAGATACTTAAATTTTTTGTAGTTCAACTTATTTGGTCAATACAGGGATACAACCACACCCTCTCTAAATATAAATATTGTTGACTGGAAACAGTTTTAAAAATGTTACTTGGGAAAAACTGAATGCTCATTAACATATATATTCAGTAATATGAACATTGATACTCTGTTGAAATGTTTGCCTAATTATTAAATATGAAATAAAATACTATAATTTTAAAATAGTATTTTTGGAATTTTTGGAATGATGCTCATTATGCTTAAATATAAATAAGTACAGTCACATTAGACAATAAGGCTCATTCAGATGGTAATAATTAATTCATATTTATCCTTCACCATACTTTCTCAAGCAGGGGTTCAATAATCAGGAAATGATACGATGGGGCAAAGCATTATATCTTTAATATTTACCTAAATATATAATATCATCTAGTGCTGGTAATTGAATTAGATAATGTAATTAAGTCAAGGAGGCTTAATTGAGGTTTTCTTCTTCTTTTCCCTTGACTTTAATACTTAATGTACTTTGAGAAGCTATTACATAACTATATACTGAGTATTCTATGGGAGCATGAAAGAGGATAATTAGCCCTAGCCTGTTAGTGGAAGAAAATCTTTCTGAAAGCAGTAATGTAAAGATTGGGTATTGAAACATTAGTAAGAGGTTATCAGAAGAAAGAAAATTCATTAGAGGTAGTAGAGAGCTTATGAAATTAATTTCAATCTTTAAATAATATTTGAACACTTAATGCGCAGTAAATCACCTCCAAATTCAGTACTTAAAACAATAATATTTTTTTGCTCTCAATTTTGTTGCTCAGTTTAGGCTAGGCTCAGCTGGGCTGGCTTTTGTTTGGTCCAGGTAATGATAGCTAGACTTCCCTATGTGTTTGCTCCAGGTCTAGGATGGGTGCTATAGCTGGGACCTCTACTCATGTGCTTAGTTATTGCCCAGGTAGCTATTCTGGACTTTGGTACATGGCAAAAAGTCTCCCCAACAGAAAGAACAAGCAAATCCTAATTCATGAGAACTTTACTAGCCTTTTCTGGTATTGCATTTACTAAAGTTTGAAAGCCAGGATCTATGCAGAAAACTATATATGAGCATGGATACTTGGAGACATGAAACATTAGAGACAATTATAGCAATCTATATATGGTTTGACAAAATAAGGGATTAGAAGGATGGCTATGTAGAGACAAAGGCATGCAGAATCTTCAGTGTTAGCTTTTAATATAAAGAGCTTTAATATAAGCCTTTATATTATAAAGGATAATATAATATTCGAGTATAAGAGGCTTTAATATAAGCCTTTAATGTAAGGGGCTTAGGTTTTTTACTCTAATAAACTGAAAGTCATTGAAATATTTAGGCAGAGGTAAAGGTGTGTGTGTGTGTGTCTGTGTTATCTATAGTGTGTATATAATGGGTTAAAAAACGTGGAGATATTTTATTTATTAATGCATTTGTATTAATTATTCAAAAACCTACTATGTGCCTCTAACAAATAATTATATCTCTTCTAATTGTCAAAGGAAACAACACTTAGTGCGATTATTATAGATTTAATATGTATAGGGATTAAGAAAATTAAGAATGACAAGCTTAACAACAAACTGCTGATGCCAATCCTACAAAAAAAAACTGCTGATGCTAAGCAATAAATTAATTTAGTATAAAGATTTAAACAAAAACCACTAATTGGAGAGGGGTATTGAGAGTCACCCTCACAAAAACAGCCATTCAAAATCCAAAAATAGAAGAGAATGCCCAGAAATAGCATCCTGTGTGTAGAGGTAAATGGATAGTCCTATGAGAGATAACAGTAGAAAAAGTGAGAAGCAGATGGAAGAATCAGGAGATGGTAGCATCAACTGAGCCAGGGGAATCATTTTAGAAAATGAGAAATCATGCCTTCAACATGGCAGAAAGCACCAACAATAAAGACTCTCCCAGTTGACTATTATAAAGAGAGGTTATGAACATTGAGTCATCTATTTTTTTGAAGGTAGAAATTATATTAGTTCCTTTGTTCAGTATAATAATACAGGTTTCCTCTTGATAGTTTCTCACATTAAACAGTTTCCAGATTCTATTTTTCTAGTATTCTTATATTTTGAAATTAATGGGCTTCAAATACAATTATTCTCACGGTTTTGGTAAAGTTTATGAGTAACTTCTTTTTGTATGTGCACATGCTCTATTTTGAGTAGTCTGAACTGTTTGACATACCGAATATGTGAGTATTATGCATATAGGAATAGATCATAATAACATTAGTTTTAAAATATTTTGAAACAGGAATGAGTAGATTCTCATTTACTATATTTTAATTCCCTTTCCTGTCAGCACAGCTGGAGCCCATCATCTCTTTTACTGGCCAGCTGTCTCTATAGTCATTTCTCATGCTGATTTTCGGCTAGCAAGTAACAGCCAAGGAGGAAGAACAATAGACATGACTCAAGGACACTTATAATTCATTTATCCTTGCAGCTACATTGAGAAATTTTTAACAAAGTCAAGATTTTTTTGAATTTGGAAATTTTTCCATATGAAAAAATATTCTTACTCAACAATTATTTGAACTGAATTTGAGTGATAAAAATATTAGAACATTAATATTCTAATCAAATGTTTTTCCAATGAGTAGTTCAAGGTAACTATTAATAACAAGGACAAACGATTCTTTTTTTTAGAGTGTGTGTTAATATATGCTTTGAAATCTAAGCACTATCTATTTCAAATCATGTATTTCCCTCTATATATACATAGTAAATAAAGTATGTTTTTTTTAATGATTAAATAAAAATGTTTTTCAAGATTTGGTGGTATACTTATGCATTATATAGTATTAATTTGTTGTCATGAGCTATTTTGTTATTTTCTTATAGTCTGGATACATAGCAAAATTTCACTTGAATACAACTTAAAACATCGATATTTGTTTCATTGTTGATTAGTTATTTTATATTTTAAATTTTAAACTTTGCAAACATTTTGATGTTAAAAAAAAACCTGTGTCTTTTTTCATATAGATTTAGACAACTTGTGTCCAGCAACTATTTTTGGCATATAAGCCTTTAATGTAAGTAAGGCATGGTTATACATAATTTATTTTTAGTAGCTGTTTAGTATTTTCATCTAAACTCAAGCTTAACAACAGCAAAAGCAAATGGTAAAAGGAAGTCAAACTCAATAAAATAATATTAACTTATATTTCATCTATAAAAATATGCTTCTAGTTACATGGTAAGAATGTTTCTCTTCCCCTGTTTTTATTTATTGATTTTTTTGGCTAGTAAACTGTCACTTTCATTCAGAAAGTTCTTTAGGCAGCTTGGTAAGAATTCATATTAATTTTCCCTCTATAATGGTGATGCCCCAGATAGTGGAAGCATCAACAGCTGAGGTCCAGAGGGGGGAATGATAACTTGAGGTACACGACAACCTCTCATTTATAATCCTACTTGGATATGCAGTGTGAAAAAAAAATCAAACCATCATAGTTTTGAGCCACAGAAGTTTTTAGATTGTTCAGAATTACAGCATATAGTCAGCATCTTCAAGAAAAAAATAGAGACATATTATTAAACTTAACACCTTTTTTGAAGAAAGTGATTTCTAAACTTTTTCCTGTATTATTAAATGCAGTGAATAATATTGTATATAATAAACTTCAATTTACTGAGAACTATTTATTGAGCAACTTTTATATCACAGTTATCCTTGTAGGTTCCTGGAATACATTTTAGTCTAGCAGAAAGTTAGTAAAATATCTCCAACCCATAAAGCATATTATTAGTAGTGAGAGGCAGACAATAGTAAACCTAACATATATTTTTAACTTATGTAATATGTCAGAAATACCAGTGTTAGAGCAGATAGTCGTGGTAGCCAGTGTGATTAGATTGGAGATAGAAATTAGGGGAAATTAATAGGACATGAGGTCAAGATATAATGGCAGGAGTTAGGGAGAACTATAAGAGCTTAGAAGCAATTATAAGGATTTTGGCTTTAATTATGAGTAAGTTGGAGTATCATGGTAGTTTTATATAAGAAGTTTTATATTAATCTAACTGCTGTTTTTAAAAAGATCAACCACTTTTATATTAAAAATAGACAAGAGGGGAGGGGTAGGTGGAAGCAGGAAGAATGGGCAGGGAGCTATTGTAGCATCTCGGAGAAAGATCATAATGTTTGAAGTCCAGATGCTAGTAGTAAAATTCATTAAATATGCTGAGATTCTAAATATACTTTGAAGGAAAACGCAAAGAAATGTGTGTAGCAGATTGGTTATATGACCTAAAAGGAAGAGATAATTACCACAATTTTGCTGAGTGACTGGAAGGATTGAGTTGTCATCATCTATCAGAAAAACAACTTGATTATCTCGATATCTACCCAGTTATTTTTCTCAGTATTCCAAACTATGATCATCCACATTTAAACTCTATGCGTTCAAGATCCCACGAAAGCTGTTCTTTCTCTATTCTGTCTCATTTAAAGATACTCTGATCACCCAAGCAACTCCATTCAGACTTCTAAATGTCATCTTTAACAGCTTATTCTACTGAACTCTTACATTAAAGAAGTTTCTACAGCCACTTACACCTACTATCTAAAATCCTCTGGAACATTTCTAATTTTGTCAATCACAGCTGTCGTGTTTTAAATGCCATCATTATCATCCTGTACTAGAATAACTATATTGTAGATACATGCAGTCGTATTTAAGCTTTCCATTTTGCATGAAGATTGTATGGTTAAAAAAAATCCAACAATACACCAATCCCAGTTATCACTTCTAGAGGAATTAAATACCTAAATGTAAATTGAAAGGCTATTTGCTTAAAAGATAATAAAGGGAAATAACTTTGTCACTTTTAAGGCGAGGTAAATTTTGCAAAACATAGAAATTTCAAATATTAAAGAAAATATATGTAAATTAAATTAAATTAAAGTAAAAAAACATATGTTCTTCAAAAGAAAGTGCAAGTGTACAAACAAAAGCTACAAAATTAGATGCAGAATCTACGTACATATCTCTCAAAAGTAGCAGCTTCCATAGTACATAAAATACATCTAAGGATTAATTAGTAAAAAAAAAAACAGGTTTTAATAAAAGAGAGGATAAGATAAATGAAGAGAAAATTTATCGAAGTAATTCAAATGGCCAAAATACATAAGAAAAGATGTTCCACATCATTTATTACCAGTAAAATACAAGTTTAATGGAAAATGTAATACCCTGGAACATCCACCTCATTGTCAAATTCTGATGATACCCAAGGTTGGCAAGGACATAGAGTAACTGGAACTCTCACACACTGCTGATGGGAAATTAAATTGGAAAACATTTTAGTCTTAATACATTTGATATGCATAGTAATTCTACTATTGATTTTAGACCCAGAATGATGATGTTTCTGTAACAATATTATTGGCATTCGGGGCTTGGTGATTCTTTCTTGTTGAGGGAGCAGCCATCCTATGCATACTAGGATGCTTACCAACATTTCTAGTGATTTGTGCCAGCTTAGATGCCAATATTAATCCCTAACTCAAGTTGTAACAACCCTAAAACATTTTCATATGTTGTCAAATATCTTCTTTTAGGAGGAGCACAATTATCCCCAATGGAGAACCACTGCCTTAGAGAATCTTTCACAAATGTGCATCTGAATATGTGAGCAACCTTGTTTGTAATAGCAAAAACTGGAAAGTATCTAAATGGCCATCAAAAGTAGATGTGATAAATAAGCCATGGTAATATAATATAATAAAAAACAATAAAGTCATATAAATGAATTATTAACGAACTTAGATGAGTTTCAAAAGACATAGTTGAATAAGAGACTAAACCACAGAGAAAAAAAAACTCTGATATTTTGACATTGTCCATTGTCCAAATAACTATATGCAAACATATTTTAAGGGATACTTATATATGTAGTAACATTTTAAAGAAAATAATTTTTTTAAATAAAATAAAAGTTCAGAATAGGTTCGCTTTTAGGGGATGGAAGGTGGTGCATATAAGAAAGGCAGTGTGTGGGGTTACTAGTACCATTCTATTTCCTTGATACAGAGGGGTTGATTTATTCTTCTCTGAAATTTTCACATCTTGTTGTAATTATGATATATGGTAAAATTTACTGTATATCAATTTTAAAAAAACATCAAAAGACTGATTAAAAAGTTCAATCTATCAATCTACCCTAACATTTTTTTAGAAAAAACTTAAAAGCATGGTAATAAAAAGCACAAAATGAGCAAAACAAAACTTGATTTCCATACTGCTATTAAGCACCAAAAACAAAGGCACATTGAAAATCAAACAAAAATGATGAAAAATTATGAAAAATATTTACCAATTAAAACTGGTTAAGCAAAAGTTAATAAAAATTAATGAATTTCAGGCAAAAACACATTAATAAGAAAAGTAAAATGCTGTATAAGAAAAATTACCAATAAGATATAAAAATATGAACTTCATAAACCTAGAATATGATTTCAAATGTGTATATGTGTGTAAATTAAATGAAATTACAAGTTACCATGGTATATTAAGTTAGCTTTTGACACAACTAACACAAAAACTGATAGATCTAGCCAAGAAAAAACTAGAAATGACACAAAATTGTAAATTAAATAAGGCAGCTGTATCTACTAATGCATTTAAAACCACACAACTTAAATGATAAGAATATCAAAGTTCTTCCTTTCTTCATGCCTCAAATATTTATTATTCTTTAATATAAACTTATATAAATATTATATCTTCAAAAATACTTAATATTACAATATGAAAAGCAGACTTCATCATTTTCTCTGAAAAGGATACTTCCCTTCTTATTACTTCTGTGTATTTTTTTTCCACTAGCATTCATTCATAAAGCACAGGTTTATTTAAATCCTACTCTGTATCAGATTTGTACTGGCTACTACAGATACTGAGATGAATAAGAAATTATTCATACCCTAAAGTGTCTCACAGCATACTGTACATTTTCATAAAATGTTATCATAATACATGTTATCTCTAAGGAAAATACATAAACAGTGTGATGGGGAGCAAAAAGAACACACTGCTAATTATCAATACGGCAGTGAGCCAGAAGTTTATCCCTTTCAATTAGAAATCTCAGCATTAGCTAAGGTTAACATGTTAAAGATTCTGGCATCCTATTTTCTACACCTCTTTAGCAACAGATCTAAAACAATTACATTAAATTCATTTAATTAATTGATACAGTGCTATATCTCTACTTACACAATTATTACAAAGTATCAACATTATCCAGCCTCTCTGTTTTTAAATCTACTTAACATCATTCAAATCCACAGCTCCCATGCACATTGGTTTCACAATCCTGTTGATTATCACTAGAAAATCTTGTGCAAGAGATGAGTGAAGAACCTTTCATGGTCTTAACTGTTCAAGAAGAAAATGTCTGCTGTCCATCAGATTCTGCTACATGAACTGAAATTGAAACTGTTTTTCTGTTTTCTCATGTTCTAAAATACTTCCTTTTTAAATCATATATTATATATAAACCTTTACTCATGTTTTTTATCATTAGATATAAGTACTGGATGATGGGTTAAGATACTGCTACCAGAAACAGCACAGGGCCAGTAAAGCATTGTTATTTGCATAAAGTTTGATAATAAGGAGAGAAAAACAGAAAGCTAATGAGTTGGGATTGCCAGTAGAGAAATTAAGTTTTGCTGCTTGTTGTATTTTTGGGGGAGTAAATAAGAAATAAATTTCATTCGGCTTACAGTAACAGAGTTCTCTACTAAAGACCTTAAGGCCCGATTTTTTATCTCACATTACGTCAAAGTTTAAGGAGACAGTCTAGGGCTTGTACAACACAATTGTATAAAACCATCAGAAATCCAGGATCTTATGTATCTACTCTATCATAGATATCATGTGCTCTGCATACTCAAAGTCTCCTCAAGCTTAAAAGCTGGTTGTCGAAGCTCTAGCAATCACAGCCACTTTCTAGGCAAGAAGAAAAAGAGCAAAGGGCAAAAGGAGCCTACCAGTTGATTCAAGAGTCAGGCCTCTTTAAGGAGCTTTCATTGAAACTCCCCCAAAATTTTCTTATATTTGATTGGTATCACCTATTATGTGAGGGAAGGTAAAGTTTATATTTTTAGCTGGACATAACTCTTTTCTGAGACATTCTGTCTTATTATTGTAATCAAACAACAAAAACAAAACCAAGAAAAGAGAATGAATTATCTGAGTAGGCAAGTGGAAGTCCCTGCCACAGCCATCCTCATTAGAATGTTTAATTTGTGTCTAAAGCAGAAGAAATGGAATCATTGTACCAGGAAAAAAAAAAGCTTTTAATAAACAAAATGTCATCAAATAGATTAAGGACAACATTGGAAACATAAAACAAGAGAAGGAAACATAACCAACGAGAGGAAATACATGTTGGTGGAAAGAGATGGTACTCATAACCCTTCATTAGCATAATATTATCAGCTTCTCTCCACAACTTTTATCTGATTAGTGAACTCAGGGTACATAACTCTGTCCTTTCTTCCTTTTCTTGAGAGGAGATATTGATACAGGAAACAAGAACATTATCTCTTGCATATTCTAGCATAAATTGCAAAGAAGCAGAAAAAATTAGACATGTAACTTAGAGTTAATTGGGCAAAAACTCTTTAATTTTAAGATTCTGATACACACATCTAACTTGTCTACAGATGTAAACCAATCTTTACTTGAGTTCAGGCTTTTAGCATTGCCAAGTCAAGTGTTTAGTGTGTAAGAAGAGCATTCTGAGCTGATAATTCATACAGGCTTATATTAGACCATGTAACTTTTAAGTTCTGTAGTTATATTACTTATGATTTATTTTAATTGACAAGTAAAAATTGTATATTTTTGTGATGTATAATGTAATGTTGGATATATGAGTAAATTGTGGAATGGCTAAATGGAGCTAAATAATATATGCATTATCGCACTTTGTTTATACTGAGAACACTTAAAACCTATTCTCTTAGAGATTTTCAAAAATACAATATGTTGCTTTTATCTGTAGTCACCACAATGTACAGCATACCTCTTTAACGTATTCCTGTTGTCAAACTGAAATTGTATGTCTTTTGACTAACATGTTCCCAATCCCGACTCATCAGCCATTGGTAACCATCATTTTATTCTTTGTTTATGTGAGTTCAACATTAGTACATTCCACATGTAAGTTAGATGATTTAGTATTTATCTTTCTGTGCCTGTTTTTTTTTAAATTTTTCTTAAATAAGGTCCTCCAGATTCACCCATGTTTTTATGTTTTCACAAATTACAAAATTTCCTTTTCCTTTAAGCTGCATAGTATTCTATTGTGTGTGTGTGTGTCTGTCTATGTGTGTGTGTGTATTTATGTATGTATGTATATATCTCACATTCTTTTTACCTATTTGTTGAGGATCACTTAAGTTGATTTTAAATTTTGGCTATTGTGAATAACACTACAATGAACATGAGAGTGCAGATATCTCTCTGATATACTGATTTTAATTGTATTTTAACAGCTATAGCCAAGAGAAGATATTCTAAGACTTAGGGTACTAATAGTTTTTAAACTTGGTAAGAAAATGCAGCATTCTCCAGGTAAGCAGCTGTTTCTACACAGGCAGCATTACACATCAAGGTATTTCATCAAAGCCATAAGAGCCTTGGCAAAGAAGTAATATCTGTGAAACCCTAAGAAAAGTTACAAAGACTGAGAGGGACCCAGTTGAAGCAGAAAAGATGATGAACAGAAAAAATGATGAGCAGAGAAGATGCTAGACAAAGAAGACAGGAGCACTCAAATACCTGTTCCAAGAGTTGCTTCATAAGACAACAGGGGCAAAAGATTACTATTGGAAGGAACTGGGTGAAGGGCATGAGGCATGTGTGTATTATTTCTTACAAGTGCTTATAAATCCATAATTATCTCAAAATACTGAGTTAAATAACACAATGCAAAAATATAATAATTGACTAAATCTATCAATAGATGAGTTGGCATATTTAGCTAAGTTTCAGTCTTCTTACAGGGTATTAAAGAAAAAGAAAGAATATATTTTTTTTAAAGAAACATTTTCTTATTTGGGTTTTCTTTTTCTTGAGTCTGATATTCCAAGGTCTTTTAGGAGCATATGCTCTTTTAGGGCTCCATGTAGCTGATATAACAATATGATACTGGCATTAACTCCCATATGAGGAAATCATCCCATCCTTGAAAAGGTCTATCTTAAACCAGGGGTGTAGAGGTGTATTCTATCTGAGATGAATGTCCCCACCAAATTTAAATTCAGTTTTAAAAATACTGCTGGTGAAGCAAAAGTAATTTGTAGTTCAATTTCAACCCTTAGGGTTATAATTTTATGACAACTTTACTAGATCTTATTGCAGACTCCAGAAATTGGTCATTAATATGTGGAATAGCTAGTAAATTGAAGCCGAAATCTGGAATTTTAATAAGTGGCATATTATTCTTGCCATTATCTTCATGCATACCATTCCCTAGTTCTTAGGATATAAGAAAGGTCAAGATTAATGGTAGTATTATCCATGACAGATGAGTGTAGAAAATATTTTACAATGATATGAGCATATATTATTGTCTAAAATTATGTTGCTATATTAAGGCAAATAGTTTTAATTACAAATTTTGTAAATAAATATTTTAAGCCAATACTGTCATTTAAAACATATAATTGCAAAAAGTATCTTTAAATACATAGGGAAACATGAGCATGGCCTTCAAGATCAATCTGGCATTATGCTCTATAATCTTTATGTTTCTGCTCCAAATTTACTCTTGCAATATTAACAAGCTCATATAAATAGATAAAAATCCTCACAATTCTGCAAAGTTATTAGTGCATCATATTGGTGAGTTTCTAGAAATACAGAGAGTTAATATAACTGGATTTAGGAAAAACCATAGGGCATTCCGGTTGAACTTCACCTCAAAATAATATTTTCAAGGGAGGTTGCAAGTAGAAAATACACTTATGAGGGAATGCAAGTCTCTCAGAAGTCTATGAGGTCAAATAAAATTATGAACTAGGCAGTCCTCTCCAGGACTTATCATTGTTAGTATTTCAATTTTAGCTTAAAAGATTTACAGTCATATTTCTTACTGGTTTCAATTTGTGATTCCTTAGTAAAAGATAATGTTGAGTATTTTTATGTATTTACTGGCTATACATATATCTTCTTTAGTGAAGTATCAGTTCAAATATTTTGCTCATTTTTTGATAAACTGTTTTTCTATTACTGAGTTTTGGGAGTAGTTTATATATTCTGAACACAAGTCCATTATCAGATATGTGACTTAAATGTATTTTTCCTAGTTTGTAGCATGGCTTTTCATTTTTGCGATCCTTCTCCAGAGGAGGATTTAGTCTGCATGTTATTATTTTGCACCACTAAAGCAAGACCTTTCTGAGTACCCTACTAAGTGCCCTATAAATTATGAGGCTTTTACATCTGGCTGATAGAAGCAGACAATGTTCTCAGCTATATGTAAGTGCCAGACACCCTTATCTCTAATCATTTCAGAGGTACTTTCTTTATCTGGTCTCATAATTTGTGAAATCAATCATTGCTGTTGTGATTTTCATCTGTGTCAATCCATATTCTGAATACTTAAGGGAGGACCTCAGGAGACCTCTGGAGTTCTCTCTCTCTATGCAGCTCTCTGTTCTCTGATAATTTGTCCAGAAAGTTCAGCAGTCTTGATCTCCTGCTTCTCTTAGCTGAATCTCAACACAGAAGGTCTTTGCATTACACCTAGGTTCACCCTACCAATGCCACAACTTGGAATCTCTCTCAAGGCAGTAAATAGAGAAATCATAGAGCTTATTTTATTTTTTGTGTGTCCCTTAGGGATCATTGTCCTTGCTGCCTGATGTCTAGTGTCTTGAAAACAGTTATTTCATGTAATTGCCTTGTCTTTTGTTGTTTCAGGCAGGAGAGTAAATGTGGTCCTTTTATTCCATCTTTATGAGGAGATAAAAATTCCTTTTCAAATGTAGAAAGTAATAATCTTTTAAAAATGCATACACTCAAGGATATCTGTAATGCCATTAACACTCTAGGTAAACAATATTAATTCCATTTTTTCATCTAGAGATAATAATGCTTGGGACTACTATACATAATTTCAAACAACTAACAGTGTCTGTTAGTGAAAAAGATATTACAAATGTCAAATCTAACCTGCTTTTTCAAGGGGAGAGCTCATGAAGGAATTCAAACATAATCTCAATTCTTCAAGAGACACTCTTTAGCAACAGAGTACAGGATTCATTATTCTGGACCATACTGGCTACACTTATTGCAACAAGCTAATGCAAGAAAAGAAGGAAAGTAAAGAGAAAGGAGAAAATCAATCATGAGAAACATTGTTCAGGAGTACAATTAAATAAATGTAAACATACACACATGTGTGTATATGTGTGTGTGTAATATATATACACATACACACACACACACACACACACACACACAGCCTACATAAGGCACCTTTCAATCAAATTTAGATATTTGAAGCCTGCTTAAGATATCTTTAAATCACATATTTATATCAACGCTAAATACTAGTACATTTGTCCATCACTCTTTTCTTCCTCCCCAATCATAAGACATTTACAAATATATTTCTATAAGTATGCTAGCAATTGTATTTATGAATTGTACATTTAATCTTGACATATTTTCAATTGCACAAAAGGCCTTCGACAAAATCCAACAGCCCTTCATGCTAAAAACTCTCAATAAATTAGGTATTGATGGAATGTATCTCAAAACAATCAGAGCTATTTATGACAAACCCACAGCCAATATCATACTGAATGGGCAAAAACTGGAAGCATTCCCTTTGAAAACTGGCACAAGACAGGAATGTCGTCTCTCACCACTCCTATTCAACATAGTGTTGGAAGTTCTGGCCAGGGCAATCAGGCAAGAAAAGGAAATAAAGGGTATACAATTAGGAAAAGAGGAAGTTAAATTGTCCCTGTTTGCAAATGACATGATTGTGTATTTAGAAAACCCCACTGTCTCAGCCCAAAGTCTCCTTAAGCTGATAAGCAACTTCAGCAAAGTCTCAGGATACAAAATCAATATGCAAAAATCACAAGCATTCCTATACACCAATAACAGACAAACAGAGAGCCAAATCATGAGTGAACTCCCATTCACAACTGCTTCAAAGAAAATAAAATACCTAGGAATCCAACTTCCAAGGGATGTGAAGGACCTCTTCATGGAGAACTACAAACCACTGCTTAACGAAATAAAAGAGGACACAAACAAATGGAAGAATGTTCCATGCTCATGGATAGGAAGAATCAATATTGTGAAAATGGCCATACTTCCCAAGGTAATTTATACATTCAATGCCATGCCCATCAAGCTACCAATGACTTGGAGTCTGATGTTCGAGGGCAGGAAGCATCCAACACAAGAGAAAGATGGAGGCCAGAAGACTTAGCCAGTCTAAACCTTCCACATTCCTCTGTCTGCTTTTATCCAAGACATGCTGGAAGCTGATTAGATGCTGCCCACCTAGACTGAGGGTGGATCTGTGATATGGTTTGGCTTTGTCCCCACCGAAATCTCATCTTGAATTCCGAAGTGTTATGGGAGGGACCTGGTGGGCGGTAACTGAATCATTGCAGCAGGTCTTTCTCATGTTGCTCTCGTGATAGTGAATAAGTCTCACAAGATCTGATGGTTTTAAAAATGGGAGTCTCCCTGCACAAGCACACTTCTTCTCTTGTCTGCCACCATGTGAGATGTGCCTTTTACCTTCCACCATGATTTTGTGGCTTTCCCAACCACGTGGAACTGTACGTCCAATAAACCTGTCTTTAGTAAATTTCCTCGTCTCAGGTATGTCTTTATCAGCAGTTTGAAAATGGACTAATACAGTCTGCCCCTCCCAGTCCACCAACTCAAATGTTCATCTCCTTTGGCAACATCCTCACGGACTCACCCAGGTACAATACTTTGCATCCTTCAATCCAATCAAATTGACACTCAATATTAAGCAACACAAGTCCACCCCTTATCAACTTGAACCCATACACATCTCCTGAAATCTATATAATCTTCAAATAAAGACAATTATAAGGTTATAATTACACCTAACATAATACAGCTATCCTTCTTACAACAGGAAGAACACTAATCCTTAACCTACATGCTATTACATAAAGTTAACAACACTTAAATGCTGATGTGGAGTCAATAAATCTTATGTCACATGATAAAGAAAAACGAAAGGAATTAAAGTGAAGATATTTTCTTAGTACAAGTGTATGCAGGCACAAACATGTTCTTAATAAAATAAAGAGAAAATATTCATGACAATTACAGTGCTCATTTCTGCAACTGGTCACATGGTCATAGCTGGTATGGATGACTACCTTCTTCTACTACCCATTCCGTATTCCTTTTGCCTTCAGCAACACCTCAGCAGGTCATGGCTTTCTACCCAGGGGAGTGACCCAAACCTTCATTCCTGAAGGGTCTGGGCCATTTGTAGTCCTGCCTGGATTGGGTTGCTGTAGTTTTCCATTGACCTTAATCACAAGGTATGATAATACTAAGAGATGTCCTAAGGGATCTTACGTATTCCACACATACTCTCCCTTACCTCCATTGTGGAGCAACAGACTGATTTCATCTTGATAGTCCAGGTCAATTACCCCAGCCAACACTGTAACTCCCTTCTTAGCCTGCTGACTTAGAGATAGGAGGAGCCCAAAGTGTCCAGGTGGAAATCTTAACTTCCAGTTTAATGGAATCTTTGTTCTGTCTCCTGGTGGCAGCACGCTTCATTCTGAAACTAGGACCTGTAGGCCAGCAGAACATAATGTTGCAGGAACAGGAAGTGACAGTTTTGCTAGGATGTCACTAGGGTTGATGGTGACTGGGGCCACTTCCACTTCCACCACTTGATTCCTGGACACAGAAATCCTGGCTATGGGAGAAAGAGTACCATATATTGGATGCTGATTCAGAGCATACACAGCCTTCTGGAGAAATTTGCCCCAATCCTGCAAATTATTATCACCAAGTTAGCATTGTAATTGTGACTTTAAAAGGCCACTCCAATGTTCTATCAATCCAGCTGCTTCAGGATAGCAGGGAACATGGTAAGACTAGTGAATTCCATGAGCATGAGCCCCCTCCTGCACTTCTTTTGCCATAAAGTGAATACCATGATGGTAAATAAGGCATTCTGTGAGTCCATGGATGGTAGCCTTGGCAGAAACATTACGTGCAGGATATGCAAACTCATATCCGGAGTAAGTGTCTATTCTGGTAAGAACAAACTGCTGTCCTTTCCATGATGGAAGAGGTCCAATATAATCAACCTGCCAACAAGTAGCTGGCTGATCACCTCGAGAAATGGTGACATATGGAGGGCACAGTGCTGGTCACTGCTGCTGTCAAATTTGTCACTCAGAAGTGGCCATAGCCAGGTCAACCTTGGTGAGTGGAAGTCCATGTTGCTAAGCCCATGTGTAATCTCCATCCCTGCAACCATGGCCACTTTGTTCATGGGCTCATTGGATGATAACAGGGGTGAGTGGGGAAAGAGACTGAGTAGTGTCCACAGAACTCATCATCCTATCCACTTGGTTATTAAAGTACTCTTCTGCTAAGGTCACTCTTTAGTGAGCACTTACGTGAGATACAAATATCTGCACAGTTTTTGACCACTCAGAGAGGCCTATCCACACACCTCTTGCCCAAATTTCTTTGCCACCAATTTTTCAATCGTACTTTTACCAAGTCCCTGACCATCCAGCCAAAGCATTGGCTACAACGCATGAATCAATATCTAATCACATATCTGGATATTTCTCCTTCCAAACAAAGTGCACAACGAGTTGCACTGCTTGAAGTTCTGCCAACTGGGAAGATTTCCCTTCACAGCTGTCCTTCAGGGATGTCCTAGGAAGAGGCTGTAGTGCTACAGCCATCCACTTTCAGATGCTGCCTGCATGTCGTGCAAAACCATGTGTGAACCAGGCCCTAGTCTTCTCTTTCTCTGTTAACTGATGATAGAGAATGCCCCATGAGGCCATTGGTGCAAGATGGGGGAGAAAAGGCAGGAGTGGGGACCATGGGCATTCAAGCCACTTCCTCATGTAACTTACTTGTGCCTTCAGGACCTGGTAGAGCCTGATCACATACATATGACTTCCATTTGATTATAGAATGCTGTTGCACACAACCCACTTTATGGCTAGATGGGTCAGAAAGCACCCAGTTCATAATAGGCAGTTCAGATCACATGGTGACTTGATGACCCACAGTCAAACATTCAGTTTCCACCAAAGCCCAGTAACAGACCAAGAGCTGGTTCTCAAAAAGAGAGTAGTTACCTGCAGAAGATGGCTGGGACTTGCTCCAGAATCCTCGAGGTTTCCACTGTGATTCACCTATGGGAGCCTGCCAAAGGCTCCAAACAGCATCCCCATCTGCCACTGACACCTCAAGCACCATTGGATCTGCGGGGTCATATGGCCCAAGAGGCAGAGCAGCTTGCACAGCATCCTGGATCTGTTACAGAGCCTCCTTCTGTTCTGGACCCCACTCAAAAATGGCAGCTTTTCCAGTAACTCCATAAATGTACCAGAATAACACAACCAAATGAGGAATGTGTAGCCTCCAAAATCCAAATAGGCCCACTAGGCATTGTGCCTCTTTGTTGGTTGTAGGAGGGGCCAAATGCAGAAACTTATCCTTCACCTTAGAAGGAATATCTCGACAGGCCTCACACCACTGGACCCCTGGAAATTTTCCTGAGGTAGAAGGTCCATGAATTTAGTAGGACTTATTTCCCATTCCCTGGCATGCAAATATCTCACCAATAAGTTCAGTGTGTTTGTTACTTCTCACTTAATGTATCCAGTCAGCATAGTATCTTCAATGTAATGGACCAGCGTGATAGCTTGTGGAAGAGAAAAGCGATCAAGAGCTTTCCGAACAAGATTATTACACAAAGTTGATATATCCCTGAAGTAGGACATTAAAGTTATATTGCCAGCTGAAGGCAAATTGCTTCTGGTGGACCTTATGGACAGGAATGCAGAAAAAAGAATTTGCCAAATCAATGGCTACATACCAGGTGCCAAGAGATGTGTTAATTTGCTCAAGCAATAGAACCACATCTAGTACAGCAGCTGCAATTGGAATCACCACTTGGTTATGCTTATGATAATCCACTATCATTCTCCAAGATGCATCTGTCTTCTGCAGAGGCCAAATAGGAGAAAGGAGATGTGGTGGGGAATCACCAACCCTGTGTCTTTCAAGTCCTTGATGGTAGCAATAATCTCCACAATCCCTCCAGGGATGCAATATTGTTTTTGATTTACTATTTTTCTAGGTAGAGGCATCTATAGTGGCTTCCATTTGATCTTTCCCACCATAATAGCCCTAATCAGTCAGGGAGCCAATGTGGGAGTTCTGCCAGCTGCTAAGTATGTCTATGTCAATTATGCATTTTTATCACTGGGGAATTGACCACAGGATGAGTCCAGGGATCCATGGACCCAGTGTAAGTCATACCTGAGCTAAAACTCCACTAGTTACCTGACCTCTAAGCCCCTACTTTAACTGGAGGACCACAATGACATTTTTGGTCCCTTAGAATCAACGTCAGCTCAGAGCCAGTGTACAGTAGTCCCTGAAAGGTCTGATCGTTTTTATTTTTTCAATGCACTGTTACCCTGGTAAAAAGCCAGTCATAGGTCTCCTTGGGGAAAAATGGGAGAAAGATTAATAGCATAAATTCTTGGCAGTGTAGTGGGGTTCTTCCTCAAGGGGACACAGCCTCCCCTTCATTAAAGGGGATCTGGTTCTGTAAACTGGTTTAAGTCTGGAAATTGATTGAGGGGGCCATGATTCTCTATTTTTAAAATTCAAATGAGTCTTTTGACCACTCGACCTGGAAGTTTTCTACTTATATAAATTAAGCAAGAATGCAGTAGGCTCTCTATCAATTTTACTTCTAAGAACACTTAATCAACCAATGCTAGAGCTCTGCACGAGTCAGACTATTCTGATTGCAGCTTTGCTTCTGCTGTCTATTATAACTATGCCCACCCTCCTTTGATGGTTGAGTGTTGCCCCTTGGTCCCTGCCTCCTAGGAATCCAATTATTCCCAATGCACTGAAATTTTATAGTTGAGTGACTGCAGTTCCCACTGTAAGATGTGACATACAGAGAAGAGCAATCACAGAGCTCTTCAAGAATGCAGGTGCTGCCCTCACATATCTATTTCACAAATTATTAGTGAAGGACATGTATTCTGGACCCTCCCAGCTGGGATGAGTAGGTCCAATGTGACTAATCCACTCCACCATCCCAATCTCCCTAAGCCTTTGGATCTCTTCCTCTACATTAAACCAGGGGAGATCAGGAATTTCTAACTTACTCACAGTGGTCCATCTTTTGATCCATATTTCAGCTAACCAATAAAATAAACTATTATAATCCTTTTTATCTCCCTGAGCTGCAATATTAAATGCAGAATCTCTGCTTAGTGTGGCTCAAATCAATCAATTCATCTTGATCCAACTTTACGTTTCTTCCACCATTATCCTACACCGTTAATATCCATTCCCATGCCTGTTCTCCAGATTTCTGCTTATATAAATCAGAAAACTCAAGCAGTTCTTTTATAGTACAGTATAGTCTTGTGGAGTATAGTGGACCTCATGGGTCACACTCTGAAGCTCACCTTTAGAGGCCTGCCAGGACCTTTGTCTAGTTATAGATCTAGAAGCAAACAGGAGCGTTGGGGCTGGATTCTGAGCAGAATCAAAATTGTCTTGCCTGGCAACTTCCTCAGGGAATCCATTACTGTTGCCTCAGGCAGTTCAAGGTTAATCTCCTCAGACAAAAGTGGAAAGGCTGATTGCAGCATGGGTCAGGGAGGGGATGTTGCCACCACTGGGGATGGGGAAGCTGTTTCCTCTGGCATAAAAGGCTCATCAGAGTTTACAAGCTCTGTGTCCTTAGAGCTTCATCAGGGTCCTCCTACACGTCCCCATTCCAAGGTGCAGGCTCCCATTCTTTTGCAATCAATGCCCTCACTTTAACAGTAGACACCTGGCGAGGCTGTGCGTGCATCTTTTATTGCAGGTCAGCCACTTACATGATAAGAGCTTGTGTCTGATTTTCCACAATTTCAGTTCTTTCTCTACAGGAAATAAGATTCTCATTCAGAGCAATGTTAGAAGATTTGAGGCTCAGTGTTTCCAAGAATTAGAATTCTTGAGTTCATCGTTTTCTTTCATCACTTTGTCCAGTGAACTTAGGAGCAACCAACGAACTTTATTATATGCCTTGGTTCTCCACATATAGTCAAAGGTATTATGCATAGAGTCACTAAACTCCTTGCCTCTCACAAGTGGTGAATCAGGAATATCAAATGCATTTATTTTGTATAACTCTCTAAACAGTTCATACCAAGGACTATCAGTATTCTCTATGCTATTAGAAGTAGAGTCCTTAGCATTTTGGGGTCTAATGATATTAAGCAGCCAACTCCAGAAATCTCAAAACCAACTAAAGGAATCCATCCTTAAACTGTTCCTCTGGAACCACTCCTGGTACCAAAATCTGTTATTAGTCAGGGTTCTCTAAAGGGACAGAACTAATATGATAGATGAATATATGAAGGGGAGTTTATTAGGAGAATTGACTCACACAATCACAAGTTAAAATCCCACAACAGGGGGACTCTGCAAGCTGAGGTGCCAGGAAACCAGTCTAAGCCCCAAAACCTCAAAAGTAGGGAAGCCAATAGTGCAGCCTCAGTCTGTGCCTGAAGGCCTGAGAGCCCCTGGAAAATCACTGGTGTAAGTCCAAGAGTCCAAAAGCCAAAGAACTTGGAGTTTAATGTTCAAGAGCAGGGAGCATCCAGCACATGAAAAAGGTGGAGATCAGATGACTTAGACAGTCTAGGCCTCCTAGGTTCCTCTGCCTGCTTTTATCCTAGCTGTGCTGGCAGCTGATTAGATGCTACCCACCTGGATTGAGGGTGGGTCTGCCTCTCCCAGTCCACTGACTCAAATGTTAATCTCCTTTGGCAACACCCTCATGGACACACCTAGGAACAGTACTTTGCATCTTTCAATCCAATCAAGTTGACACTCAATATTAACCATCACAGTTATATTGAGATTTTTAAATTTGGATGAAAAACATACATGCTTTAGGATCACTATTAGTAAATCACTCTAAATCTTATAATAATCTTCACAAATATTCATAGCATATATGTTTACATGGAACAATAAATTATAATAGATTTCCTGGTTCTATTTTTTCCCTTAAATTCCTTTTCTATAATTAATATGAAAAACTTCTATTTGTAAATATTTACAAATAAAAATCCAGCACTATGTAATTGTCAGTTATAAAATAACACCACATGTATAGAAATATTTTGTTTTAGCCATTCACACTACTGAGTTTTTGTTAATAAAACCATGTATGACCTAAATATCCTGCACATAACATTAGGAATTTGAATACTGGGAATCAACAAAAGTGAAAAAATATCCAAATAAATTTCTAAAGTTTATATTAAAACATCAGAGATATTTTCTGTTCATTTTGGAGGACAGCAAATTATGTTTCATTTGGAAAATTAAGTCTTATACAGGTTCAGATAGGAAATATACACTTTTTTTTTTTTTTTTTTTTTTTTGCCTTTTGAGCCAGGGTCTCATTCTTTCATGCAGGCTGGAATACAGTGATGTAAGCACACCTCACTGCAGTCTCAACCTCCCAGGCTCAAGCGATCCTTCCGTGTCAGCTTCTCAATAGCTGGGACTACAAGCATGTTCTACCACACCTGGCTAATTTATTTTTATCTTTTATTTTGTAGAGACAGGGTTTTACTATGTTGCCCAGGCTGGTCTCCAAATTCTGAGCTCAAGCATTGCCTTCTCCTTAGCCTCCCAAAGTGCTAGGATTACAGGCATGAACCACCATGCTTAGCCTAACATATACTTTTATTTAAAATTAGCATATGTTATTTGTATTAATTTTTACTAATACATTTTCTTTTGGTCAAGTTTCTCTAATGTGGTTCCTTTAGATTAAGTAGATCCAGTAAGTGTTTCAAAGATGTCTTATAGATCTATTGCCTGAAGGAAGCACTAAACATGGAAAGGAACAACTGGTACCAGCCACTGCAAAAACATACCAGTACCAAATTGTAAAGATCATCATTGGTATGAAGAAACTGCATCAACTAACGGACAAAATAACCAGGTAGCATCTTAATGGCAGGATCAAATTCACACATAACAATATTAACCTTAAATATAAATGGGCTAAATGCCCCAATTAAAAGACACAGACTGACAAATTGGATAAAGAGTCAAGACCCACTGGTGTGCTGTATTCAGGAGACCCATCTCATGTGCAAAGATACACATAGGCTCAAAATAAAGGGATAGAGGAATACTTACCAAGCAAATGGAAAGCCAAAAAAAAAAAAAGTAGGGGTTGCAATCCTAGTCTTGGATAAAACAGACTTTAAACCAACAAACAACAAAAGGGGCAAAGAGAGCATTGCATAATGGTAAAGGGATCAATGCAACAAGAAGAGCTAACTATCCTAAATATGTATGCATCCAATACAGGAGTACTCAGATTCATATAGCAAGTTCTTAGAGACCTACAAAGAGACTTAGACTCCCACACAATAATAGTGGGAGACTTTAACACCTCACTGTCAATATTAGATCAATGAGACAGAAAATTAACAAGGATATCCAGGACTTGAACTCAGCTCTGGACCAAGCGGACCTAATAGACATCTACAGAACTCTCCCACACCAAATCAAGGGATTATACATTCTTCTCAGCACCACCTCACATTTATTCTAAAATTGACGACATAATTGGAAGTAAAACACTCCTCAGCAAATGCAAAAGAACAGAAACCATAAAAAACAGTCTCTCAGACCACAGTACAATCAAATTAGAACTCAGGAATAAGAAACTCACTCAAAACCACACAACTACATGGAAACTGAACAACCTGCTTCTGAATGACTACTGGGTAAACAACGAAAGTAAGGCAGAAATAAAGATGTTCTTTGAAACCAATGAGAACAATGACACAATGTACCAGAATCTCTGGGACACATTTAAAGTAGTGTGTAGAGGGAAATTTATAGCACTAAATACCCACAAGAGAAAGCAGGAAATATCTAAAATAGGCACCCTAACGTCACAATTAAAAGAACTAGAGAAGCAAGAACAAATAAATTCAAAAGCTAGCAGAAAACAAGAAATAACTAAGATCAGAGCAGAACTGAAGGAGATAGAGACACAAAAAACCCTTAAAAAAATCAATGAACGCAGGAGCTGGTTTTCTGCAAAGATCAACTAAATACATAGACCACTAGCCGACTAATAAAGAAGAAAATAGAGAAGAATCAAATAAATGCAATAAAAAATGATAAAGGGGATATCACCACCAATCCCACAGAAATACAAATTACCATCAGAGAATACTATAAACAACTCTATGCAAATAAACTAAAAAATCTAGAAGAAATTGATAAATTCCTGAACACATACACCCTCCCAAGACTAAACCAGGAAGAAGTCAAATCCCTGAATAGACCAATAACAAGTTCTGAAATTAGGCAACAAATAACAGCCTACCAACAAAAAAAAGTCCAGGACCAGATGGATTCACAGCCAAATTCTACCAGAAGTACAAAGAGGAGCTGGTACCAATCCTTCTGAAACGATTTCAAGCAGTAGGAAAAGAGGGACTCCTCCCTAACTCATTTTATGAGGCCAGCATTATCTTGATACCAAAACCTGGCAGAGACACAAGAAATTAAAGAAAAATTCAGGCCAATATCCCTGATGAACATCGATGCAATAACTCTCAATAAAATACTGGCAAACAGAATCCAGCAGCACATCTAAACACGTAGCCACCACGATCAAGTTGGCTTCATCCCTGAGATTCAAGGTTGGTTCAACATACGTAAATCAATAAACGTTATCCATCACATAAACAGAACCAATTACAAAAACCACATGATTAACTCAGTAGATGCAGAAAATTCCTTTCAAAAAATTCAATAGCGCTTCATGATGAAAACTCTCAATAAACTAGGTATTGATGGAACGTATCTCAAAATAATAAGAGCAATTTATGACAAATCCACCACCAATATCATACTGAATGGGCAAAACCTGGAAGCATTCCCTTTGAAAACTGGCACAAGACAAGAATGCCCTCTCCAACCCCTCCTATTCAACATAGTATTGGAAGTTCTGGCCAGGGCAATCAGGCAAGAGAAGGAAATAAAGGGCATTCAATCAGGAAAAGAGGAAGTCAAATTGTCTCTCTTTGCAGATGACATGATTGTATATCTAGAAAACCCCATTGTCTCTGCCCCAAATCTCCTTAAGCTGATGAACAACTTCAGCAAAGTCTCAGGATACAAAATCAATGTGTGAACATCACAAGCATTCCTATACACCAATAACAGACAAACAGAGTCAAATCATGAATGAACTCCCATTCACAATTGCTACAAAGAAAATAAAATACTTAGGAATACAACTTACAAGGAACGTGAAGGACCTCTTCAAGGAGAACCACAAACCGCTGCTCAAGGAAATAAGAGAGGACACAAACAAATGGAAAAACATTCCATGCTTATGGATAGGAAGAATCAACATTGTGAAAATGGCCATACTGCCAAAAGTAATTTATAGATTCAACGCTATCTCCATCATGCTACCATTGACTTTCCTTACAGAATTGGAAAAAAAAAGAAAACACTTTAAATTTCATATGGAACCAAAACAGAGCCTGCATAGCCAAGACAGTCCTAAGCAAAAAGAACAAAGCTGGGGGCATCATGCAACCTGACTTCAAATTATATTACAAGTCTACAGTAACCAAAACAGTATGGTACTAGCAGGAAAACAGATATATAGACCAATGGAACAGAACAGGGGACTCAGAAATAACACCACACATCTACAACAACCTGATCTTTGACAAACCTGACAAAAACAAGAAATAGGGAAATAATTCCCTATTTAATAAATGGTGTTGGGAAAACTGGCTAGCCATACGTGGAAAGCTGAAACTGGATCCCTTCCTTACACCTTATACAAAAATTAACTCAAGATGGATTAAAGACTTAAACGTAAGAACTAAACCCATCAAACCCTAGAAGAAAACCTAGGCAATACCATTCAGGACATAGCATGGGCAAATACCTCATTACTAAAACACCAAAAGCAACTGCAACAAAAGCCAAAATTGACAAATGGGATCTAATTAAACTAAAGAGCTTCTGCACAGCAAAAGAAACTATCATCAGAGTTAACAGGCAACCTACAGAATGGGAGAAAATTTTTGCAATCTATCCATCTGACAAAGAGCTAATATCCAGAATTTACAAAGAACTTGAACAAATTTACAAGAAAAAAACAACCCCATCAAAAAGTGGGCAAAAGATATGAACAGACACTTCTCAAAAGAAGACATTTATGCGGCCAACGGACACATGAAAAAAAGCTCATCATCACTGGTCATTAGAGAAATGCAACTCAAAACCACAATGAGATACCATCTCACGCCAGTTAAAACAGAGATCATTACAAAGTCAGGAATCAACAGATGCTGGAGAGGATGTGGAGAAATAGGAACGCTTTTACACTGTTGGTGGGAGTGTAAATTAGTTCAACCATTGTGGAAGACAGTGTGGTGGTTCCTCAAGGATCTAGAACTAGAAATACCATTTGACCGAGCAATCCCATTACTGTGTATATATCCAAAGGATTATAAATCATTCTACTATAAAGACACATGTACATGTATGTTTATTGCAGTACTTTTCACAGTAGCAAAGACTTGGAACCAACCCAAATGCGCATCAATGATAGACTGAATAAAGAAAATGTGGCACATATATACCATGGAATACTATGCAGCTGTAACACAGGATGACTTCATGTCCTTTGCAGGGACATGGATGAAGCTGGAAACCATCATTCTCAGCAAACTAACACAAGAACAGAAAACCAAACACCGCATGTTATCACTCATAAATGGGAGTTGAACAATAAGAACACATGGACACAGGTAGGGGAACATCACACACTGGGGCCTGTTAGGGTGTGGGGGGCTAGGGGAGGGATAGCATTAGGAGAAATACCTAATGTAGATGACGGATTGATGGGTGCAGCAAACCACCATGGCACATGTATACCTATGTAACAAACCTGCACGTTCTGCACATGTACCCCAGAACTTAAAGTATAATAAAAAAATTAGTAACAATTAAATACACAAAACCTTAATTGCAAACTATAAAAATATCACAACTGAAAACATATTCCTCAATATAATAATATAGAAGTTCTTACTGCTCATGGTCGGTTGCCGTGGCTCACGCCAGAAATACCAGGAATTTGGGAGGCTGAGGCGGGTGGATCACCTGAGGTCAGGAGTTTGAGACCAGCCTGACTGACATGGTGAAACCCTGCTGCTACTAAAAATACAAAAATTAGCCGGGCGTGGTGGCGGACCCGTGTAATCCCAGCTACTCAGGAGGGTGAGGCAGGATAATCACTTGAACCTGGGAGGCAGAGGTTGCAGTGAGCCAAGATTGTGCCATTGCACTCCAGCCTGGGCAACAGAGCAATACTCTGTCTTAATTTAAAAAAAAAAAAAAAAAAAAAAAAAAAAAAAAAGTGCTTACTTCTCATTACAAGTCTCACATGCTGATTTTGAAAACAAAACAGAAAGGACATTTATGCAAGAAAAAAAAAACAGTACAAACCAACTGTAAACTAGATTTTTTACTTCTCTACTTGCAGGATATTGATGAAATGAAACCATGAGTGTATAATACAGTAAAATTTCATTCATATTGAGTAAAAACAAAAAGTAAAATCGCATTTACTGTACAATCACTATCCCTCTTCAATGTTTTATGGGATTGTCACTGTATAATTTACTAAGATATTTTTGCTCTATTAATTAAATGCTTGCTAATTTATAAAACTGTTTCATTAATTTGGTAATGTTTATGCAAAGATATTAATATACAAACTTCAGTATCCTCAGAGGAAAATATAGCTTACCCTCAGTTCATATGAAGTGCAGATAGTCTGCTTGTAATGTGAAAAGGAGAAAGAGCATGAAATATTTTCAGTTAAAAGATTCTATGAAGAATGATACTAAATTTACAGCAGTCTTTTTTTTTTTTTTTTTTTTTTTTTGAGACAAAGTTTTGCTCTTGTCGCCCAGGCTGGAGTGCAATGACGTGATCTCGGCTCACTGCTGCAACCTGTGCCTCCCAGGTTCAAGTGATTCTCCTGCCTCAGCCTACTGAGAAGATTACAGGCGCCTGCCACCACACCCAGCAAATTTTTGTATTTTTAGTAGAGACAGGGTTTCACCATGTTGTCCAGGCTGGTCTCAAACTCCTGACCTCAGGTGATCTACCCACCTTGGCCTCCCAAAGTGCTGGGATTACAGGCATGAGCCACTGCACCCAGCCCCTTTAGTAGGTTTTTACATGAGAATTTACTGTTACAGAGAAGAGGAAAAAGAGATCCTATCTGTGTGAACAGGTATTGGGTTCCATTCTTTTGCTTCAGTGTTCAGGTTTTCTCTGGATTATGGAGAAGAACAATGAAACATAATTCATTATCAAGATTGCCAGGAGCCACTAATACTTCCAAACTGATATTCATGCATTATTATATCTTACATTCCAAAACCTTAAAGAAACAACAAAGAAAATTGCACTTTTACAAAGAATGTTACTTCAGGGTAAGAATATCAATTTATTATTTTTTACATCTGTGTTTTTGAAAGTATATTATGAGATTTTTAAAAGTCTTATAATTTTTGTCAACTTAGTAAATAGAATAAATGCTGGTAAAAATTATTGAAAAAAGTTGATTAAAAGGAAAAATAAGATAACATAAAACTATCATGTATTATTAATGATTGATACATTAAATTTTTGCAAATTAGCTTTAAATATTTGGGATAAAATCAAAATAAACTACTATTTAAAATGAATAATTGAATATGTACCTAACATGCCCAATAAATATTAAACTACAAATATCAGGAGACTTTCATGAAGATAGACATTTCTGTGATTTCCATAAAAGTTGTAAAAAATTTGTATTTGCTCTCTCCCGAGCTTTTCAAGGAAAATATTGAAAGGAAAATAGACATAAATATACATTGTGTTTAAATCTATTGTCAGTAGTTAAAAATATTATTTAGCATGCCTTCTATTTTGATTTCTGAAAAATGTAATCTATAAGTTAGGGCACACATTAATTGTTTAAGAGTTTAGCCTTTTCTAATATTGAATTATGACCACCTGTTTCTTGCCTATATCCATGAAAGTTCATGCCATATCTTTCTTGAAAATGTGTGTAAATTTCTTTATAAATAAGTAATAGCATATTATAGAAAAAACCTATGAACTTTGTTATATTATTCCTATTAATGATATCAAATAATACCATCTGATTAGTAGAGCTAAACATTTCAAAAGTTAAATAATTTTATATACTGTATAGTCAAAATTACAAAATATATTTTACTTTTTACTTGTCATTTACTGAGATCAACATTTTCTCAGTTAATGCTATATAAAATATACGGAATAACTGAGAGAATAATAAATTTCTGAGCTAAGCAGAGGCATCTCCACTCTTTTATTTTTCCCACCTATAGTACATTTTCAGTGACTCCATGTATGATTCCATGCACTGTTGAAGGAGGAGACCAGGGTGATAAAAGATGTGTGGAGAATACTGACAGGCAGATGAAGAGTGAACAACCACATGTGGTGTCCAAACAGGCAATATAAAAACATATGCATCTGTTTATCATAATTGGTTACCAACAGATTGAGGAGAAATATTCGTGCACTTTATTACAAAAATATAGGTACTGCAAATTTCTATTGACTTGGAATTCAGAAGTAACTAATTACAATTACAAATACAATTAATTAATTATAATCACCCACTCACATATCTACTTGGACTTACTTTATCATATATTGGTAAGACAAAATAATTTAAATTATTTTAAATTATTTCTCCATTTTTTTTCTGTAGTGTTTTATAAGAGTATTTACTTATTCTCTCACTTTAAATAACCAGAAATTTGGACACTAAAATACAAAACAAAAATTTTCAGACATTACAAAAATAAGCACACCATTATGATTATTGGGAGAAAGAAATCATTGTTCTGGACATCCAGGGATGGGAAGATAAAGAGAGCCTGGCTGTTTTGTTGAAGTAAAGACAAAGTTTAGGCCACCATGGAGCCTAAAAGGCTAAAGTGTGTGGGGTAGAGTACCATCAAAAAGGAACAGTTCAGAAGAACTATCCAAAAATCTATGCTGGTGTCCACTACAGTCTTTGGCTGATTAATAATCTGTGAATATGTAGCAAGTAATTCTGAAATGTAAGGCATGAATTAACTTCCAGGTAAATAACAATTTCCTAGGAGCTGAAAAATTCTCATAATTCAAAAATGAACAGAAATTGCTGGAGATGTCAAAGCCAAAGTGCATAGACATGGTTGAATACACGGGATATTTAATAAAAATATCAGAAGAGTCACATCATAGTAACAATGCTAAACTAGCCACAAAAGCAATGCTTCTTTGATCTACCCAAAATGAAAAAAAAAGACACCTCTCAAAATGTGAACAGTTATGTTCAAATAACTGCCTAACAATAAAATTGCAACTTTTCTTAAAAGAATTCAAAAAATCTAACATTCAGTAACACAAAATTCCCAATATCAGGCATGAAATGAAAATATTAGAGATGTGAGGAAGGAAAAAAACATGACACACAGCAGGAGAGAACTCAGACAATAGAAATGGAAATAATGGGAATAACTGAAAAGAATGTTAAAAAGTTATTACAAAGTTATTAGAGGGTAAGATAGCAGAATACTCAGTCACCTATTTATATCCTCTAAGAACAACAATTCTGCACTCATCCATGGGGAAAAAAAAAAAGCATTTTTGTGTTTTGGTGAGATCCTTGGGATTCAGGTAGGAGGTCGTAAAACCCTGGTGGAGCCCAAGACCATGGAGGAGAGTCTTTTTGAAAGTGAAAACACATATGCGATTGTGCTTCTAGGTTCAGACATGGAAATGGCCACGTTCCCTGAAGTGTCTGGCTGCCTAACCATTTGGTTGTGTGCCTGTTATCAAAACTATCCACCAAATGGTCTGGGAGGCATCACGTCTGCTAGTGCCTTAGCAGAAAGGCTAGGCGGCCTGCTAACACAAGTCTCAGGAGTGAACTCAAATATCAAATATCAAGCAGGTTTTTTTTTCTTTTTTTTTTTTTTCGAGACAGAGTATCTGTTGCCCAGGCTGGAGTGCACTGGCACAATTTCTGCTCACTGCAAACCCCACCTCCCGGGTTCAAGGGATTCTCCTGCCTCAGCCTCCTAAGTAGCTGGGATTACAGCCATACATCACCATACCTGCTAATTTTTGTATTTTTAGTCGAGATAGATTTTTGCCATATTGACCAGCCTGTTCCTGAACTCCTGGTCTCAAGTGATCTGACCACCTTGGCCTCCCAAAGTGCTGGGATTACAGCCATGAGCCAACACCCCTAGCCTTATTTTTGATTATAATAGAATACGGCTAATAAACAGTAACAGAAGAAATTTGGAAAAGTTTACAAACACGTGGAAGTTGAATGATATGCTTCTGAACAAGCAATAGGTCAAAAAAGAAATTAAGAGGCACAATTTAAAATATCCTGAGATGAATAAAAATAAAAACACAACCTATCAAAACACACATGCACACACATACACCCCAGCTAGTATCCAATATTGAATTGCTATATGCCATAAATCAGTAATATAGTATTCTTTAATTTTTCATTATTATTCCCTTGCTCTTTTCAAACTAAACATTTTTAATAAGCTCATCTTATACCTTGGCCTTTGATGGAATCCATATTTTGAATTAAAATAACAATAATTAAATGAAGATGTGACATTGAGAATTCAGAGACAAAACTTAAAATGTGATTTCCTTTCTAAATTCTCTAACCAACTCTCAACTTTGGTTTTAAATAATTATCCATCTGAATTAGGACAATTTTTTTTCAACTTTTGACTAATAATTTTTAATATCTTTATTAAATACACAGATATATAGTTTCAATATACAGACATATTCCAGATTACAGTCAATGGGGTTTAATGAAATAAATTAAATCTTTCCATAAAAGTATTTCTCTTTTGTGGTATTTGTTTTGTTTGTTTCACTCATGTCTGGAACATAGCATATATAATTTAAGACTTGTGATTTTGAGTTGGGTTCTGAAGTCTAGTAATGGTCTCTTTGTGATATTAAAAAACAAAAAGGCATTTCACTACAAAGGCAAAATTTTGCAGACATTTCTATTCTATTGTCTTCATCTTCTTGCCATATAGTTATGTGTTATTAAGGTAAATCTTAGTTGTTCTCTTAAGAGGGGTTTGCATTTGGTGATCAATTGCTTTAAAATTTGCTGTAATTTGGGACTTTAAATCATTTATGCATAGGACTTACCATAGGCTATCACTAACTATTCATAACATATATCGCCAGCTTAAATCTCTGTCCTGAGCTTCACCTAAATATGTGGTACTAGATGTTCTAGAGGTTCCCCAAATACAGTATGCTAAGTAGAAAATTATGTCTATCCCATTCCACTAACTTTCTCTTCTTCCTTTGATCCTCACCTTAGTCATTGAAACAAATATATACTGAGTTTTCAGAATTGAAAATCAGAACATGATACTTGATTCTGATCACCATATTCTTTACTTCAATCATATTACCACATACATAGAGCTTTATGTTATCAATATCATTCAAGTCCATTACAATTCTTTCTTTTTGTTTTAGATGGAGTCTCACACTGTCGCCCCAGGCTGGAGTTCAGTGGTGCAATCTCAGCTCACTGCAACCTCTGCCTCCTGGGTTCAAGGGATTCTTCTGCCTCAGCCTCCCAAGTAGATGGGATTACAGGCACCCGCCACCATGCCCAGCTAATTTTTTGTATTTTTAGTAGAGATGGGGTTTCACTATGTTGGCCAGGCTGGTCTCAAACTCTTGACTTTGTGATCCGCTGCCTCAGCCTCCCAAAGTGCTGGGATTACAGGCATGAGCCACCGCGCCTGGCCTCCATTACATTTCTTGACATCCTTTATTCCTACCTTGATTAAGTTTGGCATTCTCTTTCATTAAAATTATTACAACAGCCTATTAATTACTCTCTGCTTCCAGTTTTATCTCTCACAAAAGTATTCTCTACCTTGCATCAGAGTAATTTTTTAATTCAAATTTGATTATGCTACTCTTATTTTTAAACTTCTTCAAAAGTTCCCTGTTGCTCATAGGAAAATGGCCATACTGCTTAGCACAATATAAAGCCCTTCACTACCTGTTTCTCAATCTTCTACATTTGCTTTCTCTACCCTAAAAATATGATGATCCCTCTTCCTCGACTTTCAACTCTCGCTTTCCACGATCTGTACTCCAATCACACACAATTTCTTGGAATTCTAAAGATTAGTCATATTTTATCTTGCTTCCAATACTGTATGCATGCTATTCCGTTTTCTTCAAAACCATATTTCTGAATGACTACTCTAATATCTACCTCGTATTAAGAATTTGGTCAATGTTTCTATGTGTTCCTAAATATAGGTTGTTTTCCAGCCTATGTATGTCAATAGCATCCCATCTATTGTTGTATTCTTTACTCTGATTTATATTTGCCTAGCTATTTGTCTATCTACCACTCTACATGTTAATTTACTTAAAAACAAAGACAGACAATGTGTTACTTATGTATTTCTATATCTAGCTCCTACTTTCATTGATAAACAGATACCAGAAAGAAAACAAGCAAACCACTGCTATCAATTTTCTTAACACCTGGAAGAACATTCTTATCTTTTAGCATCTTATTCCATAATGAATAATTGTATGCAATTGAACTGCATAATAAATGCTGTTCAATTTAACCATAACATACAGTTACAACTATGTAATGGAAATACATGCTCTAAGCTCGAGGAAAAAATGTATACTAAAATTGAAACATATGACAAACCAGTATCAACAACAAAAACTCAGATATACTATTTTCTTTTATGGTGAGTATATTCTTCTGAACTATAATGTCTGCTATTACTTGTCAGTTCAGAAGAGATCTCTTGACAGCAGAAAAAAGCTGCAAAAAAAGTTGGAGAAATATGTACACTGTAGCTGTTTACATTGGCATGGAATATCCATCATTTTGAGTATCTAGTGTACTGAGCAGATGTTTACACATAAAATAGTACTGAGTACCAACAGAAATTGGATAAAAGAGGCTTCAACCCTTTTATTGTGTGTAATAGAGGGCAAGTGTCTTGACCACTCCGAGCTGCAGTTTACTCATCTCAAAATTAAGAATGACATACAACCCATCCCACATGGTTTTAATGAGAATTCAATTAAGTACAAATAGAAAATAATATGTGTAATATTTAGCAATTGTATTTACTCAAAAATATTTGTTTCTTGAGTTTTAATGTTAAGGATGATAAATTTATTTATTTCCTTTTGACTCCACACCTAACAATTTACCTTTTAACTTTTATTGAACAATCATAAAATTTTACACTTGGTGTGATTTTTTTCTCAATATTTTGAAATAACTTATGATAATGTGCATTAACCAAATATAAGTTTGAAAAAAGGAATGTGGGCACAATATGAGCATCTTTGCATTAGCTCATATTATAGAACATCATGTAGTACATCATAAATATATGAAATGTATATTTGTCAATTTCAATTAATTCAAATTTGAAAATGCTGACTTTAACACATTGGTGGTACTAAAAGTATCCAGCTCGTTTATTTGACATGAATTTTCTTACTATTGAAAGTGGATTTTTACTATTTTCTAGGAAATAATTTTAAATTAAATATTGTTTCTGCTATACTAGAACTAATAATGATTTGCTACAGATAGTGACATATAATATGGTTATTAAGAAATAGCTGAATGGAATAGATAATAAAACAAGAAAAACAATAACCTTTTAAAATGATTAATCCTGCTGAACTTAAACAATATATAAAATGGTCACTGAGGACAATATATGCTTGCCATGTAAGTCATATCATCACTTTCCACCACTTTCATCAAATTAAAAATCACTTCAATACTGTATCTGTCAGTGTTCAGTAATGTCATATTGCTACTTATATCTGGAAGTCATGAGAAATAAAAAAAGATAACTCTTGCCAATGTTAATAGCAACTGATGAATGAGCATTTTTCTCAATTTCTCAGTCTTCCTGCTGTTAAGATATCTAATTTGAACTGATATGAAATATCAGGCTCACAGTTTAGAGGAAAACATTCTGCCAGTTATGGTCAGGGAACTGCATATTTCTAGCTTATCTTCTTCATTGTAAACTCTCTAACACCTAGAACTCTACCTACCCATAGTGGACACTCAAAAATAATTTGCTGAATGAATAGTAAATGTGGACAAACTAAACAAACATGATCAGGTAAAAAATTATTATTTGATAATATGAAAAAAGCAGAAAAAAAGAAAATTTCTTTTTTTAGAGTTTTCAAAAATAGGTAAATGTTTATTGCAAAAATTGTGGACTGTATTTTTCAATGTTATTTTTGCCTAGTAGAAAACAAGGTTATCTTTAAGTTATTAATGTAAATTACACAAACATTTATATCTGAAATATAGATTTGCTATGATTTTAATATACACTCAATTGTCTCCAGAGTTGTGATATTGTCTTTGCCACGGATATAATAACCATAGTGGGAACTCTACCTTATAGTTAGAGGTTAGAAATTGATAAATTATTTAAAGAAATCAATACTCTAGCAACTACTAAGCAGAAAGATAAAATCTGGAGACATCACATTGTCTGACTTGAAACCATACTGCATGGCTATAGTAACTAAAATAGCATACGACTAGTACAAAATAGACACATAGATAAATAGAACAGAATAGAGAACCCAAAAATAAAGCCACATACCCATAACCAACTGATCTGCGATAAAGTCAACAAAAACAAACAATGGGAAAAGGGCAACCTATTCAAAAAATGATGCTAGGAAAACTGGCTAGGCATATGCAGAAAAATGAAAAGTGGACCCCTATATCACACCATACACAAAATTAAGATGAATTAAATACTTAAATGTAAGATCTGAAACGACAGAAATCCTAAAAAAAAGAAACTCTTTTGGACACTGGCCTAGGCAAAGAATTTATGATGACGACCCAGATTAAATGCAACAGAAACAAAAATAGACAAATGGGATTTAATCAAGCTAAAAGTCTTCTACACAACAAAATAAACTATCAACAGACTAAAAAGACAAAATTACAGGATGGAAGAAAATATTCGCAAATTATGCCTCTAACGAGGGACTAATATCCAGTATCTACAAGTTACTTGAACAACTCAATAACAACAACAATAAAAAGCCCACTAAAAACTGAGCAAAAGACATGTGCAGACATTTCTCAAAAGAAGACATACAAGTGGCCAACAAACATATGAAAAAGTGCTTAACATCACTAGTCATCAGATAAATGCAAATTAAAACCACAGTGAGATACTATCTCACACCAGTCAGATTGGTTATTATTGAAACATCAAAAAATAACAGATGTTGGAAAGGATTCAGAGAAAAGGGAACATTTAGACACTGTTGGTAAAGATATAAATTATTTCAGCCTCTGCAAAAAACAATATGGACATATCTCAAATGACTAAAAATAGAACTCCTGTTTGACCCCAAAATCCCACTACTGGATATCTACCCAAAGGAAAAGAAATCTTTATATTAAAAAAGACATTTGCACATCATATATTTATTGCAATACTATTCACAATGTCAGAGTCATGGATTCAACCTAAGTGTCCACCAGTAATGGACTGGATAAAGAAAATGCGGTATATATACACAATAGAATATTATCCAGCAATAAAGAAGAATGAAATAATGTCCTTTACAGCAACATGAATGAAGCTTTTTAGGTTGTTATTGTAAGAGAACTAATTCAGAAATCAAAAAATCAAATATCTCATGTTCTCACTTATAAGTGGGAGCTAAACAATGAGTACACATAGATATAAAGATGGAGACAATACACTCTGGGGACTCCAAAAGGAGGGAGGTAGGAGGAGGATCCAGAGTTGAAAATGTACCTATAGTGTTGAATATTTAGGTGATGGAGATACTAGAAGCCCAACCCCCTCCATTATGCATGTAATTCCCATATAACAAACAAGCACATGTAACCCCTGAGTCTAAAATAATATTAACAAAATAAATAAATAAAACTAATGGCAGAAATACTTAACATTGTATAGAGAGGGTTATGGTTTTAAAATTTAAGACCAAATCAAAATGGATTTTCAATCAGTTTCTTTTGGACAACGTTTAGATATTCCTCTTTTTTTAATTGACACATCTCACCTTTCTAAAGTTAAAAGACTAAAAAGTGCTACAATTTGATAATTTTGTAAATTGTGATACACTGTAAAGCAAAATGCTAAGAAATATAACATCTTGTCCCAAACTTATTTTTGTTCAAGTGCATCAGCCATAAAATTGAATTCCTGATGTTCTCTCAGTTATTTTAAAAGTAACAGGTAGGCCACTAAACATTCAAAAATGGTATTGTATTTGACATGTAAATAAAGATTTATTCATTGTTAGTACTATACTAAAAAGCAATTTGATATTCTTGCCTAAGTAGAAAAATATATCGAAATCTAACAGGCCTGGCTCACTACTGAGGAGTCTGGCTCTTGGTGAAAAACCTGCATAATTTTTCAGTCCCAGCCACAGGCAATTGCAGAGGCTTTACCTGACAGTCCTCAAGGAAGGTAGTCACCCTCTCTGGAACAGACTTGGTGCACAGTCAGCACATTGCAGTCTCTAAATTAGAGAGTTGCAGTCAAGGACTCAGGCAAACTGGCAGATCACACCCTTTCCATATTTAAACTTCTATCTCCAGCACCTCCATTTCTCTTTCTCTTTTTTTTTTTAAACCACCACTCGGTTTTTATATTTTCAATTAAACAAAATATAAAAAGAATCATGTAGCCATAACCCAGATTTAGCCATTGTTAATATTTTTGCCACAGTTTATATTTTTTTCTGAAGTATTTTAAAGTAAATTACTTAATAATACTTTATCTCTAAACATTTCATATGTTGGAAATAAGGACATTTTCTCAAATAACTGCACTATTAGTATCACATCTAACAAAATTGACATAACTTGCTGATATTATCTGATACTCAGTACCAGAAATGTTTTCTACAGCTATTCAAAATGGGATCCACTAAAGAATCACTCACTGCATTGGCTGTTATGTCTCTCAAAATAGAAAGAACACACAGTGTCTTTTTTCCCCCCAGACATTATCTTGTTGAAAAGACTTGTCCTGTAGAATATTCGACTTTCTGAGTTTGTCTAATGATTTTTTCATGGTGTCATTTAAATTTTCCTTTATCCCCTGTTTTTTCTATCAAGTGAATCTTAGCCTATGAAATATCCCAGCACCTTCATTTCTAGAGTCTCTTCGAGGCCTGGCAAGAGTCTCTTCAGATGTCTCTGCTGAGGCCTCCATATGGGTGAAGGAGGGAGAAAACAAAGACGATTTTCCCCGCTCTGATTCAGCACCCAGCAGTTTCCACCCCTAGGCCCCACTCTGTCACATACCTCTCTTCAGAGTCTCTCCTCATGGTCCAATGGTTATTTCAATCCACAATCCACAGGTAAAAATGGAACAGAAGGAATCGGCGTTTCTTTTGGACAATTACTTACACCATCACGATAAGCACTTAAAAGATTCTCTTTCATTTTTGGCTTGTGGCTTTACTTGCTACTCTGATACCTGGTACATCAAGTTTCTTCCAGCTGAGCTGAGTTTCTGACACCTACCAAAACAAAAATAAATTCAGAGGTATACACCTTTTCATAGTTTGTATTGAAATACTATTGCTTCTATTAATAACAATATGTAAAGTAAATAATGTATATTACTTCATTAATATGTATAGGAAAATCTTCATTGTAGATACAATAGACTTTGTAAAATTCAATGACATTTTTGAAACAAATGGGATGTTAAAACAACATACTGAAATGAGAAAGGTTTCCTTGTCCCCCTAGCAGGACGTCCAATGGAGGTGTGACTCACTCCTTCAGTGCCCTGCTCCTCAAACCTCTAGGGGAGCATACAGGCAGGCAGGCTGTGGGGCTCCAACCCCACGGCAGTGTCTAGGGGTGAATGTTTACAGCTCCTGAAGCCCCAGTGGGTGTATGTTACAGGGTGCTCTCTTAGTTTGCCATCTATAGGCGGCCTGTATTAACCAGCTCAATTAAACCCCCTTCCTTATTACAAGGACAGACGGATTTCTGTATCCTGGGGTTTCTTGCCTTAGTGTACCTGAAGAATCAGGTCACATGTGGGCTTGGAGAATGAGTGCAAGGCTCTCCGCTAATGGGGGAGCCAGAAGGGAGATGGTTGTCCCCAGAAGCTGGGCCGCTAGATGGCCCCAGCTCTCCTCCAATAGCCCCAGTAAATTCTGCCTCGTCCCACCTGTGGATGGCCTGCCAGTGTGCAGGGGTGCTCTTCAGCTGGCGTGCTCTCAACAACCAGCCGCTTGAGTGTTCTGCCGCCGATGCGTTCCTCACGACGCCCAACCACTTCTGTGTCTTCCCGCCAGGGTCTTGGGTTTTTATAGGCCCAGGATGGGGGCGTGGTGGGCCAGGGTGGTCTTGGGAAATGCAACATTTGGGCAGGAAATGCCTGTCCTCACCTAGGTCCCCGAAGGCGGAGCCCTAGCCGGGGAACAAGACCTCCCCTGTTCTGCACTTCCGTTCCGGCTTCCATATCATTTAAAGGGACCACACTCTTCCCTTCCCATTCTGGCTTAAAGTTAATATATTAATTCTTTAACCCATTCTGGCTTAAAGTTAATATATTAATTTGAATGTTTTTGCAAGAATCACCTATATTGGAAATATAAATATGTTCCAGTTTTTTAAAAGGGAAATGCTTTCTTATTGAGAGCCACATCTATGATCCTCACCCACTTGCTTTTTTATTTATTCAATAAATTTATATTCAGTATCTAAAATTTGCCAATTGCTGGGCTGATTACCAGATACATAACTGTGAGGCAAGACAGAAAATATCCCTTATCTCATAGGTTTTATATTTAAGTGGAGTATAGAACACAGTTTGTTGAAATTCAGAAAAACCATATTTTTATCAATCCAGGCAGTCACAAGTGTGTTCAAATTCTAGGGGAAGAAACAAACCCTTTACCTGCATGGAATAAATGAATAATAATTTACACCTATATTTTTGTTTGTTTGCTTGTTTAATTTACTATCATAGTATTATTAAGGAAGTTAAAATTACCAAATTACAGGATTGAAACAAAAAAGTTTTTGTTAGAAGATTTTGGAAAAACTTATTTATAACTAGGCACCAGATATGAAAATTTTTCTTCCTGTAACATTTTTCTTAAATTTCCCACTTCAGAAGGATCTGTAAAAACAGGGGAATGGGATTATATACAATATGAGTGTTAATATTTTCCTGCCCCATCTATCCCAGGGCTTGATCCATTGTCTCATTAATAAAGCTGCATTGTGACTGGGACATAGGCTATGGACACAACAAGATGGACTCACTGCCACTTTAAAACACGTTTTTGTGTACATTTATAAATGCAGTAAATCCCATTGATTAAAGGATATATATATAGATGTATATGTATATGGATTAAGATGTATTAATATGTATATATCAAGATATATACATATATATATGGATTAAAGGATTCTCTGATTCTCTTCTATTTTTAGGCTTGTTGCTTTAATTGGTTACTCTGACAGCAGCCAATTCTCCAGTGGCTCAACTCTTTTCCAGCTGAGCTGAGTTCCTGACACCCACCAAAACAAAAACAAAGTCAGAGGTATATACTCTTTCATACTTTGTATTGAAATAAAATTACTTCAAACAACATGTAACCTAAACAATGTATATTCCTTCATTAACAATTCTGTGAAGAAAATTATTCTAGATACCATAGATTTTTTTTAGTTTGATGACATTTTGCAAAGGAATAGAATGATAAAATCCAATTGCACTCTACCGTGCAATAATTTCTGTAGCTCTTGCAATAAACCTGTGAGGTAGGTATTACAATCATACCCAGTTTACAAATGAGGGAACTGAACCTCAAGGGGAGAAGACGATGGTGCAGACAAGAGCACTAGCTTTTAAATTATATATATTTATATATGATATATATGATGATATATATATTATTATATGATGACACTGTGTATTCATACTTCTTATTACAAAATATATTTGGATAACTGATTGGCACTTTTACAAGCATCTGATTATGATTTCCTCAGGAAAGGCAGTAAAACTAGCCAGTAAAAATGTCTGTTTATTTTCTATAACAATACACATAATTTATCACCTGATGTTGACTCAATTGATCAAAATAATTTCTATTCCTAAATTATTTTTTATTTAGATACATTATCTTTGGTTTGCATAAATTATATAAATCAGTTGACATTGTATATATACCCAAATCATTATAGTTAGTATTTTGGATGAAAACTCGATTTGTATTACGATAATTATAGTATCTTCTCATCACAAAATAACCCATAATGGGGAGTTTTACTTTTATTATGAATTTTATTTTTTTTCTAGTCACAGGTACTCCTACTAGGGACACATATATTAGCTCATTTTTATATTTGCATTTATATTTTTCTGATATTACTTTTCTACAAAAATAAACTAAACACTTTCAGAACATATGTTAGAAAGTGAAAATAACCATTTCTAAAAACATTCTTAACTTCAAGTTTATTTGTGTAAAGGGTTAAGATTACATGAATGTCATCTTTTTATGAAGTACCAAACTCTAGTTTTATTACTAATTCCCTTCTGTGTGGAATCAAACACTGCATATGGCTATAACATTGATTTCTAATTTTATGAAAATTGCCCTACCAACAGCTGGTCCCTTGAACAAATGAATATGTCAGTGACTGATTACAGATTAATGACATAGCTATTCTTCAAAGGTATAGCAATTCATATTCAAATTTGGTCTCTTTGTAGTTTAGAATGCTTAGTTAAACCAAAAACTCTTTAGCTTATGCAATTAAATACTTTTATTTATATAAAATTGAATGCCTTTGAAGATATATACAGTTTAGAAGAAAAAAAGGATTGAAAAATTTCAATTTAGGTTTATTGAAAAGTACATCTGCTTTCAATGTGATTTATCAAGATCAGAATGAAGTAACTGCTAATCAAATTTGCCTTAAAGCATCAGACAATATTATGTTATCTGACACGTTTATTTAGAGCCAATTTTTAAACATTTATTCAACTTCTACAGATGTAAAAGTTCAGTTTAAAAATCAGAAATTGCTCTGAAATCCTTATTGTCAAGCACATTGAAAAATATGTCATTACTCATTTAAAATGCTGTAGAATTCTTTTCAAAAAAGTTTTCCAGATTTTAATTGACTAATTGTAATTATATATATTTACTGGGTACAGTGTGATTTTATTTTACATATCTATATTGCATAATGCTCCATTCAGGGTTGTTTGTGTATCCATCACCTCAATTATTTATTATTTTTTGTGGTGAGAATATCTAAAAGTCTCCCTTTTAGCTATTTTGTACTACACACTATTCAACTGTTAACTATAGTTGTAGCACAGTGAAATAGAACACCAGAATTTATTTCCCCTGTGTAATTGTAACTTTCTAGCCTCTGACCAGACTCTTCCTATCCTCCCTTCTCCCCTTCCTTCCCATCCTCCTTTCTCCCCTTCCTTCCCTAGTTTCTGGTACTCACTGTTCTAATATCTACTGTTATCGATATCAACTTTTTTTTTTCTTTATATGAATGAGATTATGTGGTACTTGTCTTTCTGCATCTGGCTTGTTTCACTTAACTAATGTCATCCATTTTCTTCATGTTTTCACAAATGTTAAGATTTCATTCTTTTTTATGTCTCAATATTATTTAATTGTGTAGATACCACATTTTCTTTATATTGTATATTCATTCACTGTTGGACACAAAGGTTGATGCAATATCTTGACTATAGTAAATAGTGCTACAATAAATATGGCAGTGCAAATATCTCATTGACACACTGATTTCATTTCCTTTGCATATATACACAGGAGTGGGATTATTGGATCATATGGTAGTTCTTAAAAATAGAACTTTTTTAGGAACCTCCATATTATTTTCCATAATGGCTACATTAATTTATAATCCCAACAGTGTTCAAGTCTACCATTTTCTCTACATCATCACCAGCAGTCATTTTATTTATTTATTTTAATAATAGCCATTCTATCTGAAGTGAGGCGTTATCTCATGGTGTCTTTGATTTGCATTTCCCTGTTGATGAGAGATGTTGAGAATTTTTTCTTATACCTATTGGCTATCTGTTCTTATTTTGAGAGGGCCTTTCATCATTTAAAAAATTGTATTATTTTTACTGTTGAGTTGTTCTATTTTCTTATGTATTCTGAATATCAACTCCCTGTCAGATTTAGACTTTGCAAGTTTTTTTCCCATTCTGTAGGTTATCTTTTCACTACATTAAGAGTTTCCTTGTCTCTACAAAATCTTTTTAATTTGATGTAATTCCATTTGTATAGTTTTACTTTTTGTTGTCTATACTTTTGATATCTTATTTTTAAAATCCATGCTCATCCCAATTTCATGGAGTATTTTACCTGTTTTCTTCCAGTACTGTCATAGCTTCTGATTGCTGGTTTAAACAGTTAATCTATTGTGAGTTGATTTTTTTATGTGGTTGGAGGTAGTGCTCTAGTCTCATTCTCTTATATATGGATATATAATATTTTCAGCATAATTTATTGAACACACTGTCGTTTCTCCAATCTTTGTTTTCAGCACTTTTGTGGAAAATCAGTTGACTGTAGATGTTTGAAAATTTTGGATGATGTTTTATTACTCATTCAATTTCTTGACTTGTTATTGGTCTGCTCAGATTTTATATGGCTTCAAATTTAAACTTGGTAAGTTGTCTTCATGAATTTATTCATTTTTTTCTAGGTTATCAATTTTTTGGCTTATAGCTGTTCATAATAGTCTCTTATGATCCTTTGTATTTCTATGGTATGAGTTGTGAAGTCTCTGTTTTTCATCTTTAATTTTATTTGAATCTGTTCTTTTCTTTTTCACTTGTTAGCCTAGCTCAAGTTTTGTCAATTTAGTTTGTTTTCAAAAAACCAACTCTATTTTGTTGATCTTTTGAAACTTTTTAGTCTCTATTTTGGTTATTTCTACCGTAGGTTTATTATTTATTTTCTTCCACAAGAAGAATTTTGGGTTTAATTCTTGTTTTTCTACTTTTTTGTCATGTTTCATTAGGTTGTTTATTAGAAATCTTTATTTTTGGTTTAGAGATTTATTAACATAAAATTATGTCTCTCAACTGCCTTTAGTATGTTTATAGTTATGACTATACTGTGTTTCCATTCTTGCTTGTCTCATGGAAATTTTTCATTTTCCTTTTAATTTCTTCTTTGAGGTTTCTTTATGGTTTAGGGCCATATTTTTTTAATTTCCATGTATTTGTAAAGTTTCTGAAGTTTTTCTGCATTGATCTCTAGTTTTATACAATTGAAATCAGAAAACAGACTTTATAGAACCTCTATCTTCTTAAATTTGTTTATTGTTTTGTGGCCTAAGTTGTGATCTATTCTGGATAATGTTCCACATGCGGGTGAGAAGAATCAATTGTTGGATGGCATGTTCTGTAAATATTTATTTGGTCCATGGTGCAGTTTAAGTCTGATGATTGTTGAATTTTTGTCTCTATGTTCTGTTCATTGATCAAAGTAGAGTGCTAAAGTCCTCTACTATTACTGTATTGTAGTCTGTATTTCTGTTTAGGTCTAATAATATTTGCTTTATTTAGCTAGCTGCTCCAGTGTTGAGTACATATATATTTGGAATCATTATATCCTCTTGCTGAATTTATCCCTTTGTCATTGCATAATGACCTTCTTTGTCTCTTTTATTCTTTTCAATTTACTCTGTTTTATCTCAAATATGGATAGCTAACCCTGTTTCCTTTGGCTCTGTTTCCATGGAATATCTTTTTTCCTTTCTTCACTTTCAGTTCATGTTTACCTGTAATCATGCAGTGAGTTTCTTGTAGGCATGATACAGTTTGGTCTTGTTTTTAATTCATTCACTCTATATCTTTTAATTGGATAATTTTGTTTGTTGACATTCAAGGTTATTATTGACAGATAGTGACTTAGTCCTGCTATTTTGTTAAGTATTTTCTGGTTGTTTGGTAAATCCTATGTTTTCTTTTTAATTCCTCTTTTACGGTTTATTTCTGTAATTTATTATTTTTCTGTGGTTCTAAGTTTTGTTTCCTTCCTATTTCTTGTATATATGCTGTATTTTTTTCTTTGTGATTTCAATGGGGATAACATAAAGAATCCTGTAGTTACAGTGGATTATTTTATGCTAAGATCAAGCTGAATTTTGTCCTACAAAAATACTCTATACTTCTCCTCCCTCAAACTCAATTTATATTTCTGCTATTTTAATTACTTATTCTTAGTCATTAATTGTACCTGTTGTTTTTAGGCATTTTGACTTAAACTTTCATATTGGAGTATTGAACATTTTACATAACACAGTAAACCTGTAGGGGTTTGTGTGTGTGTGTATGTGTGTGTGTGTGTGTGTGTGTGTGTGTGTGTGTGTGTGTGTTTATCTCTAGTTTTATACCATGAAAGTCTGAAAAGAGACTTTGTATAATCTCTGTCTTCTTAAATTTGTTTAGACTTGTTATGTGACCAAGTTGTGATCTCTCCTGGATACTGTTCCATATGCAGTTGAGAAGGGTGTGCCTTTAAAATTGTTGGATGGCATGACGTTTAAATAAATAGGCAATTCTCAAAAGAAGATATACAAACAGACAACAAACATATGACAAAATGTTCAAGATCACTAATTATCTGGGAAATGCAAATTAAAACCACAATAAGATACCACCTTACTGCTGCAAAAATGGCTATAATTTAAAAATCGAAAAATAGTATATGTTGGTGTGGATATGGTAAAAAGGTAACTGTCTTACACTGCAGGTGAGAATGTAAACTAGTATAACCACTATGGAAAACAGTATGGAGATTCCTTAAGGAACTAAAAGTAAAAACACCATTCAATCTAGCAATTCCGTTACTGGATATCTGTCCAAGAGAAAATAAGTCATTATATGAAAAAGACACATGCACATGCATGTTTATAGCAGCACAATTAGTGATTACAAAAATATGGAACCTACCTAAATATTCCTCAAAGAATGGGTGGATAAAGAAAATGTCTTATGTATACACCATGGAATACTACTAAGCCATAAAACAGAATGAAATAATGGCATTCACAGCAACCTGGGTGGCGTTGAATGACATTATTCTAAATAAAATATCTCAGGAATTAAAAACCAAATATTGTATGTTCTCAATTATAAGTGGTAGTTAAGCTATGAGGATACAAAGGATAAGAATGATATAATGGATTTAGGGGACCGAAGGGAAGAGTGGGAAGGGGATGAGGGATAAAAAACTAAATATTGGATATAGTATACCCTGCTTGGCTGACACGTGCACCAAAATCTCAGAAATCACTAATAAAGAACTTATCCACGTAACTGAAAACCACATTTTCCTCAAAAACTATTGAGATAAAATATTTAAAAGGGAAAATTTTTGACCGAAAACAAAACAAACAGAACAAAACAAAACCTCTTGGACTGTAAGGTTTCTGCTGAGAAAAATTATCTTAGTCTAATAGAAATTTCCTGTGTGTGATGTTTTTCTTTTGCTGTTTTTAGAATTATTTCTTTGCCTTTAACTTTTGATAGTTTGAGAATTATTACTATATTATTCTGAGTTAAATTTATGAATTTTCCTTTACTGGTGAATTTTATGCTTTCACATGTTTCTATGTTAGTTATTATCATCCTTTTGTTTCAGTTGTAGCACTCTCAAGCATTCTTCCTAAGGCTGGTCTAGTGAGTGATGAATTCCCTCAGCTACTGCTTGTCTGGAAAGATCTTCATTTATCTCCCATTTCTGAAGTATAGCTTTGCTGGATACGGTATTTTAGGTGACTGTTTTTAGTACTTTAAATATAATACCTAATTCTCTCTTAGACTGTAAGGTTTTTGCTAAGAAATCTTCTGTGAGTCTAACGGAAATTCCTTCATGTGTGACTTGATTGTTTTGATGTTTTTAGAATTATTTCTTTGTCTTTAACCTGATAGTTTGAATATAATGTGCCTTAGAGAGGATTCTTTTGGGTTGAATCCAATTATATACCTTTGAGCTTTTTAATCTGGATATTCCTATCCATATAATGCATTGACTTTCGTTCTGGGTGGGTTCAGTAGTGAGGTCTCTGTGCATTTTCATTAGCTGTAATCTTCAGTGAAGACTATAATTGCCCCAATGACCTAAGATGCTTAGGAGTTTGTGATGGCAGTGGCATGATTCCACTGGGAGCAGAAGCTAGGCTGATTGTCATATTGCTTGCAGGCACAGAGGGCCAAAAGTCTATTTTGTGGCCCTCTGTGTAGGCTGTTGCTGTCCACAGGCTGGTTGCTGGGCCAGGCTTGGACACACACTGGCATAGCCAACCTGAAGACTGTGTGACTATCTCTGTTGGGGGACAGGATTGCCACCAGACTGGATGTTGGGCTGAGTGTGTTCAGGCATAGCAGTGCCTGGTGACCTTCTTGTGGTCTGTCTTCAGGAGAAGGGTCACTCCCAGACAGCTGTCAGGCTAAGAGTGAGGGTGAGTAGGCATGATTGGGCCATGTGGCATTGTGGCAGTTTCTCTGCAGGGATGAGGCTGCCCCAGATGGCTGTTAAACCAGATGCAGGAGGATGCAGATACCGTGGGAGCCCTTTGATCTTGCCCCAGTCTGTCTAGCCACCAGACTGGCTGTTGGTATGTACATGAGTGGATGAGAATGTGTCAAGCCTGGGTGTATCTGAAGCAATCTGGGGTGAGGCTATGCCAGTCATAGGACCTGGTGTTGGGCTAAGTAGACATGTAAATGTGCAGCAGGCTGGGCTGACTAGTGGCTTCTGTACTGTGCAGGCCCACCAGTTCACTGGGGTAGTGGTACGTTGCACAGGTTTAGAGGCTGGGGTCTTGGTCATTACATCTGTCCTAGGCTCCAGGCAGCTGGGGAGGTGGTATTGCAGGCACTTGTGTGAATCTGGGCAAATTACAGTGAAACCTTAGATATGGAGAGGGTCAGTTGCTCCTAGCCCCTAGGATAAGACTTACTCTAGTAGTGGTTTCAGTTTCAAGAAGACACTGAGCCATAGCAGCTTAGGATGTGGGAGTCGGGGTGCTGAAGGCAGACTTCTACTTTGAGGCAATGTAGCTGCATGAATTCCCAGCTACTCTCCGAACAGTATCTGGGGTCTTTGAGAGCTTGAGATTTCTAATGAAGCAGAAATTGCTAGCATTCATGGCAACAACAGAAGCCACTAGGGATGTCTATTATATCTAGAGATCTTTGGTAAGAAGTCCCCTCTGACTTCAAGCCAATTTCAGCAAGAGAGACAGTGTGGCAGAGGAAGAATACCTTGCTCCCTTCTTTATGGTCCTATCCTGGGCTTTTGTGATCACTGTTCTCTGAGATTTCACTGTTCTCCTAGTTCTCTCCAGTGTACTTCTTCAGTCACTCTAATGAAAATATCCCCTCTCCCCTCTCCCCTCTCCCCTTTGCACGGTCTCCCTCTGATGCCCAGCTGAGGCTGGACTGTGCTGCCACCATCTCGGCTCACTGCAACCTCCCTGCCTGATTCTCCTGCCTCAGCCTGCCTAGTGCCTGGGATTGCAGGCGTGCGCCGCCACGCCTGACTGGTTTTCGTATTTTTTGGTGGAGACGGGGTTTCACTGTGTTGGCCGGGCTGGTCTCCAGCTCCTGAAGGCGAGTGATCTGGCAGCCTCGGCCTCCCGAGGTGCCGGTATTGCAGACGGAGTCTCGCTCACTCAGTGCTCAATGTTTCCCAGGCTGGAGTGCAGTGGCGTGATCTCGGCTCACTACAACCTCCTCCTCCCAGCCACCTGCCTTGACCTCCCAAAGTGCCGAGATTGCAGCCTCTGCCGGGCCGCCACCCCGTCTAGGAAGTGAGGAGCGTCTCTGCCTGGCCGCCCATCATCTGGGATGTGAGGAGCCCCTCTGCCCGGCCGCCCAGTCTGGGAAGTGAGGAGCGCCTCTTCCCAGCCGTCATCCCATCTAGGAAGTGAGGAGCATCTGCCTGGCCGCCCATCGTCTGGGATGTGGGGAGCGCCTCTGCCCCGCCGCCCCGTCTGAGATGTGAAGAGCGCCTCTGCCCCGCCGCGACCCCGTCTGGGAACTGAGGAGTGTCTCTGGCCCGCTGCCACCCCGTCTGGGAGGTGAGGAGCGTCTCTGACAGGCCGCCCTTTCTGGGAAGTGAGGAGCCCCTCTGCCTGGCAGCCGCCCCGTCTGGGAAGTGAGGAGCATCTCCGCCCGGCAGCTGCCCCATCCGGGAGGTGGGGAGCAGCCCCCGCCCAGCTGCCGCCCCGTCTGGGAGGTGGGGGGCGCCTCTGCCCGGCCGCCCCGTCTGGGAAGTGAGGAGCCCCTCTGCCCGGCCACCACCTCGTCTGGGAGGTGTACCCAACAGCTCATTGAGAACGGGCCATGATGATGATGGCGGTTTTGTCGAATAGAAAAGGGGGAAATGTGGGGAAGAGAAAGAGAGATCAGATTGTTACTGTGTCTGTGTAGAAAGAAGTAGACATAGGAGACTCCATTTTGTTCTGTACTAAGAAAAATTCTTCTGCCTTGGGATGCTGTTAATCTATAACCTTACCCCCGACCCCGTGCTCTCTGAAACATGAGCTGTGTCCACTAAGGGTTAAATGGATTAAGGGCGGTGCAAGATGGTTCTTTGTTGGACAGATGCTTGAAGGCAGCATACTCGTTAAGAGTCATCATCACTCCCTAATCTCAGGTACCCAGGGACACAAACACTGCGGAAGGCAGTGGGGCCCTCTGCCTAGGAAAACCAGAGACCTTTGTTCACACGTTTATCTGCTGACCTTCCCTCCACTATTGTCCTATGACCCTGCCAAATCCCCCTCTCCGAGAAACACCCAAGAATGATCAATAAATACTAAAAAAATTAAAATAAAAAAAGAAAATATCATGGTTTATTTCTTGTTTTGGTCCTTTTTTATAAGGAATATGAGCATAAGGTAAGTCTACTCAGCCACTTGGCTGATGCCACTCTGAAAATTCTAATCACAGCAAGTTATCATTTTGAATTGCTACAATGTTACTATGCTACCACAGTTTCTGCAGAGCCTTCTTGTACATTTTTACATTTCTGCCTATCAGTTACTCTTATAAACTATCTAACGCTCCAAGATGTATATATTTGAAAAATATCTATGGAATTGGGCCCCCAGGTTAGACAAGAAATAAGGAATGCAATAAACAGACTAGAGTTAGCAAATAAACCAGTCCTCACCATTAATATACTACTGTGTTTCTTTCCAAGTTTGAATAGTTTTCTTTTTCTGTATTACTGTGATTGAGATATTGAAAGCTGAGCTTCATCTGGATTTCACATCATCTGACATTAGTTTTACAGAAAATTTTACTTATACTAAACTCCCATATATATTTAATGCATATGGCAATGTGAAAGACCTCCAGTCTGAAAATCCTCCTTAAAAAGGAAAGCATTTGAATGTTCTCCAACAAAAGATGCCTTTATACAATATTACTATTTAAGTTTCTAAAGAATTTTTTCTTTTTTACAGCTTATTAGTGTTCAATTGTATGTGCATAGATATGTATATGCCTCATTTTTTTGTCCATTTATCCTTTGAGGGAAACTTATGTTGATTATATTTCTTATCTACTGCAATAAACATGAGACTTGAACCCTCTCCTCAGCATAATGATTAGACATAAAAAATAAAAAATACAGATTAGACATAAAAAATAAAAAATTATGGAAATTCTGTCATTTGTGACAACATGGATGAACCTGGAAAACTTTTGTTAAATGAAATAAGCCGGGAACAAAAAGAAAAATGCTGCATGATCCCACTTATGTGAAGAATCTTAAAAAGTTGACTTTATACAAACAGAGGTTATAACTTTGTTTACTAGAGGCTGCAATAGGTAGGGAGGAGTGGGGATTGAGTAGATTTTGGTCAATTGATACATATTTACAGTTAGATAGGAGTAATAGGTTGGCCAGATCTACTGTGCAGAATGGTGATTATAGTTAATGAAATATATTGCATACTGAAAAATGCTAAGAGAGTGATGTTAATTTTCCTAACCACAAAATTTTTTGTCTTTTTTTTTTAATTATACTTTCAGATTCTAGGGTACATGTGCACAATGTGTAGGTTTGTTACATATATATACATGTGCCATGTTGGTGTGCTGCACCCATTAACTTGTCATTTACATTAAGTATATATCCTAATGCTATCCTCCCCCCTCCACCCACCCCATAACAGGCCCTGGTGTGTGATGTTCCCCACCCTGTGTCCAAGTGTTCTCATTGTTCAATTCCAACCTATGAGTGAGAACATGTGGTGTTTGGTTTTCTGTCCTTGTGATAGTTTGCTCAGAATGATGGTTTCTAGCTTCATCCATGCCCCTACAAAGGACATGAACTCATTCTTTTTTATGGCTGCATAGCATTCCACGGTGTATATGTGCCACGTTTTCTTAATCCAGTCTATCACTGATGGACATTTGGGTTGGTTCCAAGTCTTTGCTATTGTGAATAGTGCCTCAGTAAACATACATGTGTATGTGTCTTTACAGCAGCGTGATTTATAATCCTTTGGGTATATACACAGTAATGGGATGGCTGGGTCAAATGGTATTTCTAGTTCTAGATCCTTGAGGAATGGGCAAAAACTGGAAGTATTCCCTTTGAAAATTGGCACAAGACAGTGATGCTGTCTCTCACCACTCCTATTCAACATAGTATTGGAAGTTCTGGCCAGGGTAATCAGGCAGGAGAAAGAAATAATGGGTATTCAGTTAGGAAAAGAGGAAGTCAAATTGTCTCTGTTTGCAGATGACATTATAGTAGATTTAGAAAACCCCATTGTCTCAGCCCAAAATCTCCTTAAGCTGATAAGCAGCTTCAGCAAATCTCAGAATACAAAATGAATGTGCAAAAATCACAAGCATTCCTATACACCAACAACAGACAAACAGAGCCAAATCATGAGTGAACTCCCATTCACAACTGCTTCAAAGAGAATAAAATACCTAGTAACCTAACCACAAAAATTTTAACTGTGTGGGTACACTTTTCAGTTAGCTATATTTAACAATTCCACAATATATTTATACTTCAAAACATCATGTTGCACACAATAAATGCAATTTTAGATGTGGTTTTAAAATAAATACATTTGAAAAACATTTTCTCTAGACTTTTTATTTCTATTTAAACAAATCTGTGTAATTTTTGGTTACTTAATTGTGTATTTATTTGGTCACATGATTTTTGTTTGTTTGTTTAATTCTAGGAAGAAGAATGCCAGCTGAGATCACAAGAACATTTGAAGGAATTTAAAACAAAAATACCTAAAACTGGGCATTATGTGATTGTGTTGTATGGAAGATAAACTCTACTAAGTGTGTTAGACAAGTCCCCATAAATTACACAAGGTAAGGAGGAACACACACACACACATTGGTGAAGTTATACATGAGTTCATAAATTACCTGTACAGCAGCAGTCAGGCTCAGTACCCTAAGGTATGAACCTCTGCTGTTGGTCCAAATTACTTCCCAAATGAGATGACTCAAGAGTTGACAATGTGATTGGTCAAAATTCTACAGTAATGAAATGATGGGCCCAAAAGGATACATGTTAATTATAAATATGATTAAGAAAATACATAAAATTGAACGTTATTAACCCTATTTTTGAAGACTTTAAAGCCATATTATTTTAAAACTTCCCTATTCTATACGTTCCAAACAAGTAAAATTGGGAGAAAAGTAGTGATTTCAATTATACTTTTTTTTTTTTATCCAGCAACTCTGTAATTAATGTGATTCAACTGTTAGACTGTTTCATTGCTTAGAACATAAACTAAAAATTGTTTTATTCATTATCCTTGAGTTAAAAACATAACTGCTGAGACTTTTAAAAAAGTTTCTTTGGTTATCTTAACATATTTTGTAAAACCAACAACAACAACAACAACAAAACACTTGTAATCATAGGGAAAAGTAACCCACTTTAATTATTAAAATTGTTTTCTATGCACAGGTGGTGTTTCTTTATTTAATATTTCCCATTTGGATTTGTAAGAGCCATAGCAATATCCTTGAATTAAATACACGGCTGCACTTAATACTTTCTACCTATTTTTTCCTCATTATTTCTTTTATATACTTATGCAAATATATTTAATATAATGGAAGGAACTAATGATATATAATAATTCTTAACTTATAAAATATTTATAGCTCTTAAACAAATTTGTATTTATAATTACTTTAGCAAACAATATTTTAGTAGTAAAAGTTTTAAGACTCTTGATACTCAAGGAAAAATATGTATTTAGGAGATAAATAAGGGTGAAAAATCCAAATGGACAGAATTTTTAAAATTTTTCCTCAGGGCTAGCATATGCAATTTGTTGAGAAGCTAAAAACAGAGTTTGCTATAAAAATAATCTAATATCACGTTACTTCACAGAGAACCTTTATTAATAAATATCAAATATGCCCCCAAAATACATTAGTAAACCATTCTAGTTTTCGTTTAGAAAAGAATATGTTTCCAATGATAAATTTATATTTTAAATATAACAGTAAAATTTGATCCAAGAGTGAAATCAACCTAGATATTTATAATCATATAATCTATATGTAAGTGATTTCTGTTTTATTGTAATAGTGAATTACTAATGTTTCTGACACAGTTTGAGATTTGCAAATTTTCCTAAAAATCCTTTTAATATTTGCATCAAAATTATAACCTTTCCACATGTCAATGCTGCTTATAATATGTGAAGTAACTTGTCTGACTCTGTGTTGTTATAAAGGAATACCTGGGCAATTAATCAATTTATAAAGGAAAGAGATTTATTTGACTCATAGTTCTTTGTTTGTTTGTTTGTTTTTGTTGTTGTTGTTGTTGTTTTGACAGAGCCTCACTCTGCCACTCAGGCTGGAGTGCAGTGGCACGATCTCAGCTCACTGCAACCTCAACCTCCCGGGTTCAAGTAATTCCTGAGTCTACTTCCTGAGTAGCTGTGATTACAGGTGTGTGCCACCACATCCAGCTGGTTTTAGTAGAGAGGGTTTCACCATGTTGGGCAGGCTGGTCTCAAACTCCTGATCTCAAGTGATCTGCCCAAAGTGCTGGTTACAGGTGTAAGCCACAGCACCTGTCCTGGTTTACAGTTTTCCATGCCGTACAAGAAGCATAACTCCGGTGAGGGCCTCAGGACGCTTCCACTCATCACAAAAGGCAAAGGGGAGTTAATGTGTGCAGAGATCACATGACAAGAGGGGTGGCAAGAGAGAGGGTAGGGAGATGCCAAGCTCTTTTTAAAAATCATTTCTCACAGAACCTAATAGTAGAGCAAGAACTCACTCATTACTTCAAGGATATCACCAAGATATTCATGCAAGATCTGGCCTCATGATCCAGACACCTCCCATTAAGCATTGCCTCCAACATTGCAGATTTGGAGGGTATCAACATCAAAACTATGTCATACTATGAGCTGGTTAGGAATGAAAAACATTGTGCTCTAAAATCAAAAATTTTTGAAAGGGTATATGTATAGCCTATACTAATAAAAAGTAATTATAATACTTATAGTTTATGAAGTTTTACTCTTAAAAACCTTATACACATATATTGCATTTAATATTTACATGGGATAATATGCATAATATATTTTCCCAAGGCATTTAATAAAGTTTGAACAGGTTAAAAGAAAGATCTGATTATATAGAGACCAACTATGTATTATTTGTATTAACTAGCATTAGTACTGTAATTTCAATGTAATTGCACCCTGTAATTATCCAATGCCTTGCCTTCATCTGTTCCATTTCTTTCTTTACTTCAGAGTCTTCAATCTCTTCCTCTCATTTGTGAAGAAACACCAGAAGTGATCATTCTTCTCCGGAAGTCCAAGCAGCCCAGAAATTTTAAATAAGATATTCTTGACAAAAGAATTGCAAAAAAAAAAAAATGCAACTTTTTGAAGCTCTCTACAAAATTAGTAACAACAACAAAATAATAGGTATATTTTTCCAGGAATATAATAGAACTGAAAGTGTCAATAAAAATTTTTTGTTCAGGCTCAGTGGCTCATGCCTGTAATCCCAGCATTTTGGGAGGCCAAGGCAGGCAGATCACCTGAGGCCAGGAGTTCTAAATCAGCCTGGCTAACATGGTGAAACCCCATCTCTACTAAAAATATAAAATTGCTGGGTGTGGTGGTGCACACCTGTAATCCCAGCTACTTGGGAGGCTGAGGCAGGAGAATCACTTAAACCAGGGAGGCAGAGGTTGCAGTGGGCTGGAATCATGCCACTGTGCTCCAGGCTGGGTGACAGAGTGAGACTCTGTCTCAAAATAAAAGAAAAAAGAAAAAAAAATTGACAAAATTGTGCTGAAAGAAATACTTTTTGGTTTGTTTGATTGAAAGGGAAAAATGTTGTTTTTACTTGTATCACTGATGTAGTTCAGATTTATAAAGGGTTTTGGTGCCTCATCTTATAGAGAATGTAGATTATATATATTCACAATAGAATGATAAGACTTCTTTGTGGGTATCTACTATCTTAAAGTTATCCTCACCATAGGATGATGTAATTCAACAAACCTGAATGACATTTTCCTTTTCTAAATAAAATACTATATGTAATTATATTTTTACTTTAATTATTAATAGAAGCTACATATGAAGTTATTTTGGCTCTCTGCTCCTCTCATTCGACAGACGGCCACATCTCATGCAGCACCAGCTGCATCCATGAAACACCATAATGAAAGTGAAGGCTGAAGTAAACAAATTTGGCCATATCGAGGACCTGTCACCAGGCCTCCTTTTAACTCTGGCGAAAGAGATATTGTCACCATCAATGACCCTTTCATTGACCTCAACTGCATGGCCTAAGTGTTCTTGTTTGATTCCACCCATGGCAGATTTCATGTCACTGTCAAGGCTGAGAAAAGGAAGCTTGTCATCAAAGGGAATCCCATTACCATCTTTCAAGAGCAAGATCACACCAAAATAAAATGAGCTGATGTTTATGCTAATTATGTTGTGCAGTCCAGTGATATCTTCACTATCATGGAGACGGCTATGACTCACTTAATGGGGGAGCCAAACGGGTCATTATCTCTGCCCCCTCTGGTGACATCCTTATGTTCATGATGGGCATGAACCATGAGAAGTATGAAAACAGCCTCAAGATGGTCAGCAATGCCTTTTGGGCCACCAACTTCTTAGGTCCCCTGGCCAAGGTCATCCATGGCAACTTCAGCATCATGGAGAGACTCATGACCACAGTATATGCCATCACTGCCACATAGAAGGCTGTGGATGCCCCCTTTGGGAAACTGTGGCATGATGGCCACAGGGCTCTCCAAAACATCATCCCTGCATCTACTTGTGCTTCCAAGGCTGTGGTCAAGGTCAAACCTCACTGGTATAGCCTCCTGTGTTCCCACTACCAACATCTCACTCATGGACCTAACCTGCCATTTGGAGAAACCTGCCAAATATGATAACATCAAGAAGGTGGTGAAGCAGGCACTGGAAGCCCCCTCAAGAGCATCCTGGGCTACACTGAGCACCAGGCTGTCTTGTCTGACTTTAACAGTGACACCCACTCTTCCACCATCGATGCTGGGGCTGGCATTGATAGATTTGGCTACAGCAACAGAGTGGTGGACCTTGTGGTCTACATGACCTCCAAGGAGTAGACCTCCATACCATCAGCCTCAATGAGACTAAAAGAGGAAGAGAGAGGCCCTTAGCTGCTGAGGAGTCCCTGCTCCACTCAGCCCACACCATACTGAGAATTTCCTCTCCTCACTGTTTTCATGCAGACTCCCTGAAGAGGGAGGAGCTTTGGTAGCCCTGCCTTGTTCTGACCATCAATAAAGTCCCCTATACTCATTAAAAAAAAGAAGAAGAATGGAAAAAAAGAAATTATTTTTTGTTCTATTCAGACTAGATGTGATTAAACAACTCACAGATTGTCACTGTAACTGGCCTTTAAGGCTCGTAGGAGTGAAGATGGGTTTTACATCAAGTTTTTTTTAATTTTTATATTGAGCTGAAAAAAGTGTAGGTAGTTTGTCAAGTCTATTTTTTTGGAAAAAGGAAGACCTAAGAGACATTTTATAATTGATTATTTCATGAATCTCATGCTTTGCCTGAATGTATTTCTTATGTTTTTCAATATATCATCCTGTTTTTTTGTGCCATTCTTTTCTTTCGGATATACTCGATGTCAAATATGACATATCTGAAAGAAATGCATCACTTGAGTAACTATATCGAATGACTCACTATTTTCACAATGAGAAGCACTAATGAGAAGTCTAAAAACAGAAGAAGGAGATCTAGCTATTTACTTCTTTATTTTGTTCCTGGTTTACTACCATTCTAAAAGTGGCAATAATATATGGTACAGCTCTTGTCAGTTATTACCTCTTCCACAAATCAAACTGTCTTTGGAGTTGTAGGAGATTTTCCCTATTTTCCACATTACTTCTTTGCTGGACTAGAGATAGTTATTTCAATATCCCTGGAAAAATTGTTTCAAGTTCCATCAACATTACAGATAGAAATAACTGTTGCTAGCACAATCAAATAAGTAAAACAGTGACTATATAGATACTTGTATGTAAGTATACACTAAGGAATTTTTTTAAATTTAATTTATAAATTTTAAGAGAAAAACATTGAAAAATATTATTTCAAATCTGGAAAAGAAAACAATATAATTGCATTATTCCAAGTGAAGACGGGAAAGCCAGTATATTTTGATAAGAATGACTTACTAGTGGTTGGTTTGATTGTTTACATGTTTATTTTAATTGGTAAATAACTGTACCATTACGATTAATATATAATGTTTAGTATTAGCCCAATTAGAACTACTAAATTTGTTCTTCCTTCAGAGTACATTGATCCCATAGCATATTGATGTCATCAAAGACCATAGTTCTTCCAAACTCACCTGGACAATGGCAAAACATATAACATCAACTATGTTCAAAATTTAATAAAAACAACAACTTTGACTCATCTTCAATTGCTTTTACTTCAATTTATTATCAATACAGCTAATGATGAATGTAAACAATACAGAGTATGAAGGTAAAAGCAAACAGGTGAATGTAATGTCCTTAAGATTAGTTCCTCCTGGGAATGCATTGATGTTTGTTGTTCTAAGCAGGCAAAATGCTCTGAGAGCATTATTCAGGCGGGTACTTCACTCTGTTTTGCCTGCTTAGAACAACAAACATCAAATTAAGTAGTTCTAATCTCATCCTCCCTTTTTGAGATAAAACATCACATATAATTTCCATGTTAGTATAAGGTAACTTTAAAAAACTTTATAGGAGTATATTCATGTATGTTACACTTCACACATTAAAATTATACAATTCAAATTTTTAGTACATTTATGCAATTGTGAAAACATTATCACCATCAAATTAAGAACGTTTTTCAACCCAGAATAAATTCTGTAGTCATCAGTAGTCATTCCCCATTTCTCACCAAACCATCAGCCCTAGGGCATCACTAATATACTCTCTGTTTCAATAAATTTGCTTACTGTGGACATTTCAAACAAATAAAATCATAGAATATGCATTATTTTGTGAAGGGTTTCCTTCACTTGGAAAAATTGTTTCAAGTTTCAACTACAATACAGCATTTATAAGCACATATATTTCTTCATTAATTTTATTGCAAACAATATTCATTTATACATCACATTTCTTTCATCAGTTGATGTGAATTTTTGAGCTTGCCATTTTTTGGTTATTGTGAATGATGGTGCTATTAACACCTATGTACATGTCTTTGTGCAGACATAAGTTTTCATTTCTCTTGGGTAAATATCTAGGAATGGAATTACCAGATCATAGAGTAAATATATGTTTTACATGTTGAGATACTGCCAAACTGTTCTGCACAGTAGATGCACGATTTTTCATTCCTGCTAACAATGTTAAAGCCTAAAATTTTTCTGCATACTCACAAATACGTGTTTTCAGCTGTAATTTTAAAATTATAGCCATCCTAGTAGGTGTAAACTGTTATCTCTCTGTGGTTTTGATTTTCATTTCCCTGATGGGTAAAAATATTGAATAACTTTTCTTTATCTTTCTTTCTTTCTTTTTTTTTCTTTTTTAGTTAAAAACAGGCTCTCACTCTGTCATCAGGTTGGAGTGCAGTGTCACAATCATAGCTTACCTCAAACTCATGAGCTCAAGTGATCCTCACAGCTCAGCCTCTCAGGTAGCTAGGACTACAGGCACACAACACCATGACTAGATACATTTTGTTGTTTGTTGTTGTTGTTGTTGTTGTTTCTTCTTGTAGAAATAGGTCCTCACTATGTTGTCCAGATATGTCTCATTATTCCTATAGTAATTTTCCAGTTTCAAATACAGGATTATTAACTATAGTCATCATGCTGTATATTAGAACTCTATACTTCATCCTACACTACTGCTACTTTTTTTATTCTTGAACGTTTCATTGATACAAAAGATTTGTACATATTTATTGGGATTATATAACATTTTTTTACATGCGTAGAATGTGTAATGATCAGGTCAGGGTAATTAGGAAACCCAACACATCGAGCATTTATCATTTTTCTTGTTAGGAACATTTCAAGACTGTTTGCTATTTATTTTGAAATACACAAACTATATTCAATCTGCTCTGCTATTGAACATCATGATTTATTCTTTCGATCTGAATTTATGTTTCTACCCATATACCAATCTCTCTTCACCCACCTCTCCCCACCACCACCACCACCACCACCATACACACAGCCATCCCGGATTTGGTAACTAACTCCATGAGTTGGCACTCTCTATGGCAATGAGATTAAATTTTTAGCTCCCACATACTAGTAAGAATATGCAGCATTTGCCTTTCTGTGCCTGGCTTATTTCACTTGACATAATGTCCTCTAGTTCCATCCATGTTGCTGCAAATGATCCAACATTATTCTTTTTTTTGTGGTTAAATAGCCTTCCATGTGTGTTTGAGTGTGTATATATATACACGTGTGTATATAATATATAATACATAACATATTATATATAATACATAATATACATACATATTATATTTTATATAATATACACGTGTGTATATATACACACACAAACACATACAAATATATATATAACCTACATATATGAGGTTTTATATATATTTATATATAGGGTTTTATATATAGGTTTTATATCTATATATGCTTTATATATAGTTTATGTATATAACCTCACATATATAAAACACCTCATATATATATTTACATGTATACAACCTATATATATGTAAAGCCTCATATATAGGTTAAATATGTGTGTGTTTCTGTGTGTACACATATTATATAAAAATTATATATAAAACCTCATATATATATATGCACATGCACACATATATAGATATGAGGTTTACTTTATCCATTTGTTCACTGATGGATGCTTAGATTGATTCCCTATCTTTGCTACTATGAATATTGCTGCTATAAATATGTGATATGATAGCTTTTTTTGGTTTTGACTTGCCTTTCCCTCATGATTAGTGATATTGAACACATTTTTATACACTGGCTATTTGTATATCTTCTTTGAAAAACTGTAAATTTAGGTTGTTTTCTAATTTTAAAATCAGTTTTTTTGTGCATGTGTGTTATTGAGTTGTGGGAGTTCCTAATGTATTTTTAGATATTAACTCCTTGCAAGATACATGGTTTGCAAATATTTTCTTCCAATACACATCCTGACTTTTTCATTTTGCTGTTTCTTTTGCTGTGCATAAGTTTTTGGATTTAATATTCTCACTTGTTTTTTGGTTTGATATTATATTTAGTTTTATTTTTCCTTTGATTGTCTGATTGTTTTGTGTCATATTGAAGCAATCGTTGCCAATGCCATTGTCAAGTGTCAGACAACCAAAGGAAAAATATACTTTTTGTTCAAATAAGATATACAAAATGAATAAAAACATTAAGTGTAAGGCCTCACCATATATTTCATTGTAGAGTATTGATGTCAGGCTTTACATTTAGAGTTTTTATTCATTTTGAGTTGATTTTTTTATATGGTATAAGATAAGGGTCCAGATTTTTTGTTTTGCATGTAGATATCCAGTTCTCTTAGCAAAATTTAATGGAGAGACTATCCTCTTCCCATTGTGTATTCTTGGTGCTCTTGTACAAAAATTGGTTGATTGTATAGGCTTGGGTTTATTTCTGAACTCTCTCTTGTGTTCCATTAGATTATATGTCTGTTTTTATGCCAGTAACATAAATTTTTTTTTAATCACAATTAGGTGACATGGTTTGGCTTTGTTTCCCCATCCAAATCTCATTTTGAACTATAATCCCATAAACACCATGTGTGGTATGAGGGACCCGGTGGAAGGCAATTGAATCATGGGGCTGTTTCCCCCATGGTATTCTCCTAAGTTTTCACGAGGTCTGATGGTTTTATAAGGAGCTTCCCCCTTCACTCAGCTCTCATTCTTCTCCTTCCTGTCACCATGTAAAGACGGATGTGTTTGCTTCCCCTTCCACCATGATTGTAAGTTTCCTGAGGCCTCTCAAGCCCTGCAGATACTGTGACTTGATTAAGACTCTTTCCTTTGTAAATTACCTAGTCTTGGGTATTTCTTCTTAGCAGCATGAGAACAAACTAATAAAATAGATTTATAAAATAACTTGAAATTAAGAAGTGAGATGCCTCCAACTTTGTTTTTCTTTCTCAAGATTGCTATGGCTTTTCAAAGCCCTCTGGTATTCCACATGAAATTGAGATTTTAAAAAATATTCTGTAAAAATTGTTACTGGGATTTTCATAGGGATTACATTTGCTCAGTATACTACTTTGCATAGTATGAACATTTTAACAATATTAATTCTTCCAATATGAAGACTTGGTATATTTCTTGGTATATATTTCATTTATTTTTGTCCTTTTAGCTTTTCTTTCATTAATATTTAATAGTTTTAAATGTACATGTTTTTCCTCACTTCCTTCATTAAATTAATACATCAGAATTATTTTTGATGCAATCTTAAATGGGATTGCTGTCTTGATTTCCTTTTTGAATAGATAGTTGTTTATATAAACACAACAGTTTTTGTATGTTGATTTTGCATACTTCAATTTTACTAAATCTGTATGCATGTGGCATCTTTATCTGGCTTTGGTATCAGGGCAATTCTGGCCTCAAAATTCATTTGGAAGTATTCTCTCTACTTCAATTTTCTGAATAATTTAAGAGAAATTGCTATTGTTTGAATGCTTGCTAGAATTCACCCATGAAGCCATCTCATCTTGTGCTTTTCTTTCTTGGGAGATTTTTGAAAAATGATTATTATAACTACTTTAATCTCTTTGTTTTATATTGCTTTAGTCACATTTTCTGTTTCTTGATTCAGGTTGTATGTTTTAAGAAATTTAGCAATCTCTCTAGGTTGTCAAATTTGTTGGCATATAAGTGTTCGGCACTGTTCCTTATACTTCTTATATCTGAGGCATCCATTGTAATGCCTGATTTTATTTTGAGTATATTTTATTGGTCTAGATAAAGCTTTATCAATTGAATTTATTTTTTTCAAAAAAAACTCTTAGTTTCATTGACTTTTTTTCTTTTCTATTTTTATTGAATTTATTTTGTACTATTTTTAAAAATTATTTTCTTACTTATGCTATATTTGGTTTTGTTTCTTATTTTTCTATCCCTTGAGGTGTAAAGTTAGGTTGTTTATTTGAGATCTTTCTTCTTTTAATGTAGTTGCTTATATCTATAAAATTCCCTCTTGGTACTAATTTTGCTTCATCCCATCAGTTTCGGTAAGCTGTATTTTTAATTTTATTTAATGTTTAAAAGGCTTCTTTGTTCTGTGGGTCCCAGGGGATGTATGAATGCCCCTTGCCATTGGTTCCCAGAGTTAGTGGATTTAGAAGCTAGTCCCTCAGTTGGCAACCATAAAACGTGGTGTGTGAGATGTGTGAACAATGCCCTTCACTACTGAGTGCAGGGCTGGGAGTTAGAAATCCACCTCCCCCTCAATTGTGAGGCATTGTGCCGGGGGTGGTGTTTGTGGCACAAGAATGGTTCAGTTTTTGTTATACTACTGTTTCCTGGCATCCATAAATTTAGATGACATATCAGCTGTTAATCTTGTTACAGGTCCCTCTATAAGGTAAATTATGTGCTAGAAGATAAATTGCCCCAAAGTCTGATACAACTAAATTTTGAATGTTTTCAGGTATAGTCTTTATGGTCATTTTATGAGTCTTCATATATTCCAAGTGGCTTCTTCTCAGCTTTTTCTTTGCTTTTTTTTTTTTTCCTGGTTGTCTCTTAAAAATATAGCTCATTGACATTTAGCTTGTTGCTCTCATGAAGCCACCAGCCTCCTATTAATTGCTTACAAAATTTACATTGTTTTCAACAGTGTCCTTATGCCTTAAATTTCATGGGATCTCTTCTAAATAAAACTTATTCTCTTGGGATGTGCTTCACAACTTTCTCTTTTTACTACCTTCCTTTTTAACTTGTGTAAAACTTTTGCACCACTGCTGTGTATCTGGGGCATGGTGGAATCCAATGGCATAATTGTCTCAGATACATCTCTGCTTTATAATGATGGTACTGGGGAAGAATAGTAGCTTTTGGTTCTCTCAGCTTGTCTCACTTGACATAAAACTCTACCGTATGAATGATGTTAAATGAGGATGGTTGGGCCTCAGTGCTCTTGGTTGGCTGTGCCTAGAGTAGAGCTTCCTGTTTAGAAGTGGAGCATCAGTGGGCAAAAGGTGCTCCAAATCTCTCACCCTCTCTTGGCTTAAAAAGAGCTTCTACAATACAGAGCTAAGGAGAATAAAAAATGCTGTTGTCCTGCCACTCCTGGAGAGATACTGTAGCCCTAGACTGGTAAATGAATGGCAAGAGAGTCCTGTGATCTTGCCTACACACACTTGAGCAGGGAGTCCATCAACATAAGCTATGTGGCTATATTTAAAGAGCAGTGTGTTACAATGGCCACAGCCACTTGATGGTCTTGTCAAGGTTTAGTGCATTTTCTTCAATAAGTATTTATGTATTTGCTGTTTTTCATTAGGACATTCAAATGTATTAAATATTTGTTTTTTAAATAAGTTTCATCTGTTATGGTTGCTTCTCTTGGGAAAGGTATACCATTCCAGACTTTATTTAAAGCACTTTATATTTTTCAAAAAACAAAACACTACCATAAAAATAAAATTCTCATTGTTATATTTGAGTAATAATGTGAAAAATATATATTGCAGAATGAGTAACTCTTCTCTACCTCACATCATGGTATTTTGTGGATATTAAATAATGAAATACATGTAGTTATCTAGCACAGGACTGGCATATAACTGGTTCTTCATAAATTATTCCTCTTTCTGAATCAAATTGGGAAACATTTTGTGATTATAATAAATTTTAACTTCAAAATAGGTTTAACAATGATTTTTTTTCAGTTTTCTGTCCTGTCAAAAAAGAACAAATGGGTGTATAAAAATATTCCCCCCAAAATTACAATATCTCATACTTAATATACAGGAAAAATCATGTTCAGTTATACGTTTTATATCAATAATTATTTTAATGCTAATGTTCACATATGTATATTCTTGTATTTGTTATTTATTCCTTGAGAAAAGCATCTATCTAGTAATTTTAATTTTTATTGATCTTTCAAGGAACTATGTAGGTAAAAGCAATAAAAGCCTTTAATATCATGGGTGCCACTATCCTCTTACATTCACCTTATACTTGATGTATTTGAGTCCTATCTTGTTCCTGACCTCTAAAGTTGCCTGTAATTTTTCTCTGTCATTTGGTTTTGTGCAGTGACTTAGGTGATTCTGCTTTACAATAGAAAATTATTAACTATATAACTGACATTCACTTCTTGGTCTTTTCTCAATTTTTCCTATTTAGGAGATCCCATTTTAATCCTGGTTTCCCTTAAGCTACCATGAGAGGAGGTTAAAAAATTAGACTTATATCTGCACAACTCTAAAACTTAAATACCACTTTCCATGCATTGCAAACTGTTATAAACCAAAATAAAATTTTAAATGATATTTCTTATATTATTTTCATATATATATTTGCAGTACAGTTCTCAAATTGCCCTGGGTGACCAAGCTTTCCTCCCAACTTCCTGCTTATAGTACTTAGAATAACTGTAGGATGCTCAGGAAATGCAAAATTCTGAAATAAGGAGGAACTATTTGAAAGAGCCGAGGTTTTGATCCTGTCCCTCCTAAAATAGAATGTCCTATAATGCTTTTCCAGAAAGTGACCCTTCCTTTAGGTCATAAAACCCACGGCAGACTGCTTTTGTGTCACTCAGCTGCAAAACATTTGGGATACACTAAGATGAGATTCTATCCATCCTGGGCAGCTTTTCTGAGCCTTCGGGGACTATCTTGAGATAAAGTCTATGCTTCTGTTATCCCTGCCTGCCTGCTTATCTTTAAGTAATAGACCTGTTTGTTAGTATTCTATCTTACTGGATTAAGGCAACTAGTAAAAGTGCTGCCCAAGATACAAGTGGACTAATGTGTTTGAACTCCTATTCTTGGTGATTGGCACAGTGATAACCTTTTCTATCCTCCATAAAAAGGGGTTCCTCCTTGGATCTGGTAATCAGTGACTCTGCTTTGCAGTATTATTTAAAATAGTTTAAATTTGACACCAACTTTAAGAAATTAACTGGAGTATTATTTTCTCTTTTTAAGTGCTATAAGAGTTATAGTGAAAACCCCTATCAGATCTAGGGTGAATGGCTTAGAGATCAAGAAGAAAGTAGGATATAAGATAGATCTTGAAGTGAACAAGTCCAATAGCAGAAGAGTATCCCAAGAGTAGAAGTCAATGTGTTTATGTATACGTGAAAATATTACTATTTCCTTCATTAGAAAGCTCTAGTGCAGTGGTCCCCACTATTTTTGGTACCAGGGACTAGTTTCATGGAAGAAAAATCTTTCACATATGGGGGAGTGACGGGGTGGTTTCAGGATGAAGCTGCTCCACCTTAGATCATCAGGCATTAGATTCTTATAAGGAATGTGCAACCTAGATCCCTTGCATGCGCAGTTCACAATAGGTTTCACCCTCCCATAAGAATCTAATGCCAAGATTGCACCACTGCACTCCAGCCTGGGCAACAGAGTGAGACTCTGTCTCAAAAAAAAAAAAAAAAAGATTCTAATTCCATCGCTGATCTGACACGAGGTGGAGCTCAGGTGGTAATGCTCCCTTGCCCACTCCTCACCTCTTGCTGTGTGGCCTGGTTCCCAGCAGGCCACAGGCTGGTTCACATCCATGGCCTGGAGGTTGGGCACCCTGCTCTGGTGCATGTCATAAAACATGCTGCAGATATTTAGTGACCAAAGATTTATTAATGGATGCTTTGCAAGATAACTTTTGAAATACAAATTAAATTCAGATTGTGGAAAATTCGGGTTTGGGAACTTTAAAGTGTCTCCATTTAGGAAATAAAGAACTACACATGTTTTACTATTGCTATTGTTTCATTCTATTTTCAGAAATAGAGGAAAGTCATGCATCAGGGAGATTGTGGATATGATGTATCACAGATAAAAGATACTTGAGATAGACCTACAAGTTAGGGTAAGTTTCTATTATCTAAGAATGAGTTAATAAGGAGCTAAACGGGGAGATAAGCTATAGAAATGGAAAGACGGACAGATCCAGATAAGATAAAATTACAAATCTAGGAATAACAGACATTTGGAAGGAAAAATGAAGTATCAAGCATGGTGAAGGTTTTACAAAATTCAGTTGAAAAATCAAAAAAAGTGGTTGATCATGGGGATTTTAAGCCTATGCAATCATGCACAACTGTTTATGGCCTGAGGGTAATAGTCTGCATTACAAGAAGATCTGAAACCTAAAGTAATAAGCAAAGAATGTGGTACATTATATCCAGAGATAATAAAGCTGCATAGCCTCAAGTGTCTGCTGTGAAATTCTTTTATAAAACATTAATTATATGAATGTGTCACATTTAACAGTTCTTGGGAAGAATTCTTATGTTCTGCTCAGAAAACTGAATTGATTTTTTTCTACTCATGAACAGTGCAAATTTAGTTAAAATATTGCTTCTCAAGGATTTTACTTTCATGTGTAAGGGAGTCTTTAATGTTGGCTATCAATTTAGATAACAATTATAGCCAATGGACAATCTGTTCTTAAGATATATGAAACCAATTAGAAATTCTCTGTAGGTGAAATATTTAGTTATGAAGGATACAATTAATTTAATTTATCCTAATAGCTATTGTCTCTGAAATTTTGTAGAAGGAAAAAAAAAAGATACATATTTCCCTATCAAAATACATGATTTATCAAAATTACTCAGAGTGAAAAAAATATTCTCCATATTCTGGAAGTTTACATTTGGCAAAATGTAATAGTGCTTCTAGTTTAGCTTACTTGAAATTTATTATTTTTTATTACTATAACTAATAATTATGGCCATTTCTACTTATTATTTCTTTCATTACAAAGCACTAGTGCATGTCATTAGCCAATTAATTATTCATGGCACTAAACATTTTACTGGTTTTTTTTCTTAGCCTCATGAACAGTGGAGGTTTGAGTATTTAGATATTTCTGATTATTACTAACTGTGGAGATAAAGCAATTAAAAATGTAATGTGATAATCTTCATTATACCCAGGTTTCCTGATGCCCAAAGCCTACACTTTTACACTGTTGATGGGAGTGTAAATTAGTTTAACCATTGTGGAAGACAGTGTGATGATTCCTCAAGAATCTGGAACCAGAAATACCACTTGACCCAGCAATCCCGTTACTGGGTATATACCCAAAGGGTTATAAATCATTCTACTATAAAGACACATGCACACGTATGTTTATTGTAGCACTATTCACAATAGCAAAGACTTGGGACCAACCAAATGCCCATCAATGATAGACTGGATAAAGACAACTTGACACATATACACTGTGTAATACTATGCAGTCATAAAAAAGAATGAGTTCATGTCCTTTGCAGGGACATGGATGAAGCTGGAAACCATCATTCTCAGCAGACTAACACAGGAACAGAAAACCAAACACAGCATGTTCTCAATCCTAAGTGGGAGTTGAACAATGAGAATATCTGGGCACACGGAGGGGAACAAAACACAGGTATCCTTCTTCCCTGGGCCTAAATGGGCTACTAGGCTTGACCAACTACCTTATTTTTCTGAAATCTTGATGCTCCTTCTAAATAACAAACATATTTTTGTCATTTTGTTGTTGTTATCTTGATTGTTTGGGGACTAGTTAAATGCTACAGTAGTGGTTCCCAAAGTCACTTTTTTGTTTTTGTTATTGTTCACCTGTCTTTGGTAATATATTTCAGGCCTCCACATACTATGAGAATTTCAGTATTTTCTTCGGTCACAAGGCTGATTTTTACAATAATTTTTAATAATTTTCTGATTTTTATAATTTTCTTTTTATAAAAGTATTAATTTTAATTGATAAAAATATATATGTTATCATGTACAACATGTAGTTTTGAAATATGTACACCTTACGGAATGATAAATCAAGCTAACTTATGTAGGCATTACCTCATATACTTATCATTTTGGGGCACACATTTTTAGAAAAAGAAAATTAAAAAGATACTTACATAAATATAAATAAAAATTGGGATCTTGGAAAGATCCATACAAATGAGGGATGTTAAAAGTATACATCATGATAAGTTTGCATTTAATATGACAATTGTCACTATATTTAAAAGGTAAGACAAACAAATTTTAGTGAAGAAAAAAGTCTTATAAAATGACATGCTTGCAAAATTAGATGGAGAAATAGGAACACACTGGGGCCTGTCAGAGGGTGGGGGTCAAGGGTAGTGATGGCATTATGAGAAATGCCTAATGTAGATGACAGGTTGATGGGTGCAGCAAACCACCATGGCACATGTATACCTATGTAATGAACCTGCACGTTCTGCACATGTATCCCAGAACTTGAAGTATAATAAAAAATAATTTAAAAATTAAGCTTAAAAATACTTAGATTCTATTATTTTAGCATTTTCTAAATAATACAGATTACAAAGACATATGCAGTATTTGTTGCATTTAGTCATTTGATATTTTTCAGACATACAGTTTTATAAAACCATAGCTTTAATCATATTTGTCTATTTTGGTGGAATAAAAGTCTATTTGTCAAAATCTAAGTAAAAAATCAATTTTAATAGTTTAATAGCTTTACTTATTACTTTAAATTTCTTAGTCTTATGGAAATTTTTTAGACATATGCTGGCCTCAGTTTGTGCCCTTGCACAGCCCAAGGAATGTTAGAGGTACGTCTGAATAACGTTTATGCTATTAGTAGATTCTGAACAATTTAATGTGTGTCTGTTGATCTGTGACTCCAAATGGAAGTTTATAGTGCTTCCTGATATCTTGTTGGGGGCAAAAAAAATGTTATAAGGAATATAGATCTATAAGGGGATAAAAATAAATAAAAGCAAACAAAACTGTAGTACTGAAGACAGAACAATAAAAAACAGGACAGAAGAATATGTGAAGCAAAACAAGAGAGTAAAGCTCATCATTCCATCCAGAACCCATTTGGAGTTTTCAAACAATGCAGTGGTGTGATATAAGAATTGAGTGTTTGCTATAGATAAATGTAATTGCTCAAGGCCACATTATTTCTAAGGGTAGAGCTCAGATTCAAACTGTTGTGTGCCTGGCTGCAAACTTTACTCTTTCCATTACGCTCCTTTTTAAGACTCAAGTAATTGCTGTCATAGAGAAATCGTTTAGTTACAGCATATTTCTCAATTTTATCCATTAAACAATTTTGCCTTTTCTAAAGCTCTAAGTTAAAGACAATGTTTTAAATCCATGAATAAGGAGACACTTTATTTGTGCTCTCTAAATAAGTCAGATTAAACCATAATTCTGTACTTCTCATCTGAGTTATTAGATTAGTGCAAAGGTAATTACTTTTGCACCAAATTAATAGCAATACTGTAATTAAGAATCTGGTAAAAATGATTGCAAGAGAAATCTGGATGCAGGTTTTTAAAAAATTAATAAAGAAGTGTTATAAAAATTACCCAGGATAAATTTTAGGTAAGTAAAACCTACATTCTCACTTTTGCAAAAATTCTAGTATTGTGATTATTTTTAAATATCAATCAATTAGTATTCAAATAGTTATATCTATTCCAAATGTTAGCAAAGATTATAGAAAAATTATTGATATCATTGACCTTTGGATCAATAAAAACAATAATATAACAATAACTTTATAGATCTCAGTATATTTCTTTTAGAGCAATAACATAAAAATACTTTTGTTTGTTTGCTCCTGATAAAATTCTGAATATTAGTGTGTGTTTCCAAATTATTGTAAAGTAAAACACTTTCATGATCTTTATTACTTTTTATCTTCTGAGAAGATTTCTTTGTTATAAATCTCTCAAAGACTTTCACCTACCCTGCTGAATCAGATTTTGTTGTTTATGATAATCTATTTCTGCTGTTAGAAGGCAAAAGCTGATGCTTTGTAAGATGTAAATTATAAGTAAATAACTGGAATAACATAGAACATTATGTCATGACATGAATTTCAACTGGATTAAGGAGACTTCAATAAAATGTTTTTTGCAAACAGTTTTTTTTCAAATTCAGTATACAAATTTTCATTTGATATGCTTTCCCTCAAAACATATACTCTTTACAAAAAATAAATATTTATAGAAAGCTCATATTTATTGATAAGAAACAATCCAAATAATTAATATTTCCAGGAAAGTTATAAAAATTTTAATATTTTCTATTACTTAGAATTACAACTGATTTAAAAGTAACATTTCCAAGGGCAATACTTGGAATTCTTTAGGATGACTTATCATGTACATAAACATAGTTATAAACTTTTAGGGGTATACGAAAATCTAATTTACTAAATTAAAATCTTACATTTTTGAGAACATAGTCTAAATAGCATGTAAATCCGACCATGAAAAGTCCCTTGTTTCCTATTTCATTTGATTTACTCAATTATCTACACAAATTATTATTTTACTGTGTGTTATCACCCAGAAAACACATGTAAGGGATTACTCATAACATTCCACGGGAAGATTATGTTTCCCATAATACTGATCAGAGAATTAAAGTTTAAATGAGTTAACAAGACCTGTCAAAATTAAAAAGTGACATTAAGGTTGTAACAATATTTCAGAACCTATGTTCTAAAAACAGGTAACATTATATTGGTGCAAAGTAATTGCTATTACTTGGATACCTTGACCCAGGAGTTCGATGCCAGCCTCAGCAACATTGTTAAACCCTGTCTCCACCAAAAAAAAAAAAAAAAAAAAAAAAAAAAAAAGTCTGGTGTGGTGGCATGTGCCTATGGTCCCTGCTACTGTGGAGGCTGAGTCATTGCAAAACACTTTTGCACTAACCTAATAGTACTTCTCGATTCAGTTTATAACAACAACAAAACAGGAATTGGGATTAATATTACTGAACTCAAATTCTGGATTCATCTCTTAAAAACCAGGTAGCTTACAAAACTTTATAAGTTGGCTTCCTCATCTGTAAAAGTGGGAAAGAGTGTTTCTCCCATGGGGTTGTTTTTATTGTTAAAAGGGATAGAACAGTACTGTTATTTTACTTTACATACATTTACATGAATTGTTACCATAACACAATGCAAAGTCAGCATTTTCATTCCTATAAAGATGTTTAAAATCGGAAAGTATAACTAATTTGGCCAAGGAGCTACAGTTAAATGTTTACATCATTAATTACAAACTCGCTATGATTTCACTGTTTAATATTTCTCTTAAATTATTTAACTTCTTCTTGTATTACCAGCATTTTAGGAGGCTGAAGTGAATGGATACCTTGAGCCCAGGAGTTTGAGACCAGCCTCAACAACATGGTTAAACCCTGTCTCCACCAAAAAAAGGCTGAATGTGGTGGCATGTGCCTATGGTCCCTGCTACTATGGAAGCTGAGGTGGGAGGATCTCTTGAGCACAGGAGTTGGAGGTTGCAGTAAACCAAGACTGCACCACTGCACTCCAGTCTGGGCAACAGAGCAAAACTCACTGTAATCTCAAACTCCTGGGATCAAGGGATCTTCCTGCTTTAGCCTCTCAGTAGCTAGGTCTACAGACCCACACCACCACACTTGGCTGATTTTTTAATTTTTTGTAGAGTTGAAGTCTTTCTATGTTGCTCAGCCTGGCCTCAAACTTCTGGCCTCAAACGATTCTCCTGCTCTGGCTTTCCAATGTGTTGGAATTTCCAGAGTGAGCCACCATGCTCAGCCTACTTCACATTTTATTTTATTTTATTTTATTTTATTTTATTTTATTTTATTTTATTTTATTTTATTTTATTTTATTTTATTTTTAACTTTTATTTTAGGTTCAGGGGTATGTGTGCATGTTTGTTATATAGGTAAGTTGCATGTCACAGGGGTTTGGTGTACAGATTATTTTACCACTCAGGTAATAAGTATAGTACCCAATAAGTAATTTTTAAATCCCTATCCTCTTTCCTGCCTCCAACCTTAAGTAGGCTCTTGTGTCTGTTTCTTCCTTCTTTGTGTCCGTATGTACTCAATGTTTAGCTCCCTCTCATAAGTGAGAACATGCAGCATTTGTTTTCTTTGTCCCTGGTTTAGTTCACTTCTTATCAAAAACGATGGAAGCTAGAAAGTAGAGGAATGACCTAGTCAAAGAGCTGCAAGAAAAAAAAGGATAAAAAATGCTCAATGTTGAATCTTATGTCCGGAAAAATTATCTTTCAAAAATTAAACTGAAATAAGGACATTACCACATAAAGAAACACTCAAGAATGCAATGTTAGAAGAAGTGGTGAAGAATAAAAAACCAAACACCGCATATTCTCACTCATAGGTGGGAATTGAACAATGAGATCACACGGACACAGGAAGGGGAATATCACACTCTGGGGACTGTGGTGGGGTCGGGGGATGGGGGAGGGATAGCATTGGGAGATATACCTAATGCTAGATGACACGTTAGTGGGTGCAGCGCACCAGCATGGCACATGTATACATATGTAACTAACCTGCACAATGTGCACATGTACCCTAAAACTTAAAGTATAATAATAATAATAAAAAAAAAGAAAGTTCTTTAGGCTAGAAGCAAACAACAGTATAAAGTAATTAGAATACACACAAGCAGAGAATGCCAGTAAAGATAATTATAGGTAAGTATAAGAAAATATAGTTATGTACTTCTTCTTCTTTCTTTTCTCAATGGATTGAAATACACTCCATGAAACAATACTATGAACAACTTTGCCAAACATAGATTATTTAGATAAGATGGGCAAATTCCTAAAAAGACAAAAATCAATAAAACTGAATAGAAATAAATAAAAATTGATTATACCTATTATAAGCAAAGATATTGAGTTAGTAATTATCTTATTACCTCAAATCAAAATTTAGAAAAATATACCTTTATTGGTGAACTCTGCCAAACATTTAAAAATGAATAAATATCTCTTTTACAAGTCTTATAATTGCAGAAGTGAGGGAACACTTCTCAAATCGGATTATTGGGGTCAGTATTAACCCAATCATAAACCAGAAAAAGACATAGTAAGAAAAGGACACTATAGCCCAATATATCTTTCAATATAGATATAAAAATGCCTCAACAAAATACTAGCAAACAGAATCCAGTACCTTATAAGAAAGTAAAACTACTGTGACCAAGCGGGATTTATCCCAGAAATGAAAGATTAGATTGTAATCTGAAAACCAATAAAAGTAATGCACCATTTTAATGGAATAAAGGCAAACCCCACATGATATTAATCTATGAAATAAAAGCATTTGAGTAAAATCTAACATACTTTCATTGCACAAACATTACAAAATGTAGAAATATAAGGAAAACCTGCTAAAAACTAATCAAGTGCATGTTTAAAAAAAGTATAGGTAACATGATAATTAATGGGAAAAAAACTGAATGATTTCCCTGTTACTATCAGTAAAAAGGAAAGAATGTCCACTTTATTACTTAAAAACATTGTATTGGTGGTTTAAGCCAGAGCAATTTGAAAAGAGAAAGAAGTACTATTCGGTTTGAAAAGGAAGAAGTGAAGATATCTGTATTCACAAGTCATATGATCTGGTCTATAGAAAATCCTAAGTATTTTTACTAAAAATCTCTAAGAACCAGTAAGTATTATATTTAAGCAGTTTCAGGATGCAAGATCAATATACAAAAATATATTGTATTTTAATGCACTACAAATGAACAATCCAAAAATGAAGTGAAGAAAACAATTTCATTCACACTTACAGCAAAAATAAAACTTCTAGAAATAAATTTATCAAAAGAAGCTTAAATTTTATTAACTGATAAGTACAAAATTTTGTTAAAAGTTAAAGAATATTTAAAGAAACGGAAAACTTTTAATGTTCATGGATCAGAAGACTTATTGTTGTTAAGAAGGCAGAACTTGTCAAATTTGTCTACAGATTCAAAATAATCAGTATGAAAGTCGCAACTGGAATTATTGGAGAAATTGACAGTCTTTTTTAAAAATACTTATGAAATCTCAAGGAACCCAGGATATCCAACACAATCTTGAAAGAAACAAAGCTGGAGGACTCACATTTTCTAATTTAAAACCTGACCTGAAAGCTAAAACAATAAAGTAGGTGTGCTATAATATACGAATAGACATGAGATTAATGAAAAAGAACTAAAAGTTCCAAAACCGACCCCACATTTATGATCACTTGGTTTTTGGCAAACGTGCCAATAAAATTCAATAGGGAAAAAATTATCCTGTCAAAAATGTTTCTGGAAAAAGTGTATATCCACATACAAAGCAATTAGTACAGATAGCTACCTCAAATTACACACAAATATTAACTCAAGATGAAATATAGACCTACATGTTATAGTTAAAACTATAACATTATTAGAAGAAAACATAGAATATATTACCCTAACCTTGAATTTGGCAATATTTTGTTACATATGACAGCAAAAGCACAAATGATAAAATAAAAAATCTTACATGTATTAGACCTCAAAATTAAAATGTTTTGTGCTGCAAAGCATACCATCAAGAAAAAAAAAAAACTCAGTGAAAAGGAAAAAATACTTGCAAATAATATGTCTGATATAGGACTAGTGTCCAGAATATATACATAATTCCTAAAATTGAATAATAAATAGAGAAATAACCCAATTAAACATTTAGCAAAGTATCCAAATAGATACTTCTTGAAAGAAAATATATGTGGCTAATAAGCATATGAAAATATGCTCAATATCATTGAAAAGCAAATCAAAACCACAATGAGATGCCACATCACATCTTTAGGGTGGTTATAATAAATTTTAAAAAGGAATAAGTGTAGTGAGGATGTGAGGAAATAAGAACCCTCAGGTATTACTAGTGAGGCCATATAATGGTACAGCCACTTTGGATGACAGTTAGGTGGTTCCTCAAAATCTTAAACCTAGAGTTGCCATATAACACAGCAATTTCACTCCTGGATATATTTCTAAAAGAAACAAAAACATGTCCACATGATTTATAGATAGACACTTATGTGATTATTCATAACAGCACAATGTCAACCAAACCAAATGTCCATCGCCTGCTGAATGGATAAACAAAATGTGATACATTCATACAAGGGAGTTTTTTTTTTTTTTTCATCACAAAGGAATGGACTACTGATGGATACTACAGCATGGATGGACTCAAATATTTTACAAAATGTTTGAACAACTGTAAGAAACCAGTTACTAAAGACCACAAATTGAATAATTCAATTTATATGAAATGCCCAATGTAGGTAAATTTACAAAGTTATAACAGTTTTTTGGTGTTTGAGGGGAAGTTGAGAAGGATAAGGAAGAATGACTCCTGAATAATGTTATTTATTTTTTTTTTGGAGGAAAATAAAATCTTCCAAAATAAAATTATGGTGATGATCACAAAATACAAAAATTAATCGTAAAGTTAAAAAGGGAGTTTTATGATATGCAAATTATATCGTGATAAAATATTCATAAGTATATTAATACTTTAAAAATTGTTTCCATAAATTTGAAAAGAAAGTTATAATGCTGATAGAGAATACAATGAGAACAAAATAGGAGCTTAATTAATGGGTTTTTAAAGATGCCATTTAATCATGTTTATTTGTTATTGCAAAGAAGAAAATTGGTATAATCAGTAGAGCAGTGATTTAGAATAGAGCAGTTAAACTGAAATACTATGTATGAAAGGTTATTACGAAGTATTTAAACACAACCTTATTTGCTTAACCGTTGTAATACGTAATAGACATCCACAACAGCAACACTGTTTAGATATATTATTTGAATAACATTCTGCCCTTATACATAGTATGTGTTACGGGGTAGATTTTGTATTTTCATATATAAAAAGCATCTAAAATATTGAGGCAAATATTTTTATTTTTGCATTAGTAGTAAAATTTATCTAAACAAAATTTTAAGGACTCTGTTTTACAGATTTATGAAAATATAAATGTCAGCTGTAAAAATACCATTCACTACTTTTTCAAAAACTGGTAAGACTGCATACATCCCTCATTGTTGTACACTTGTAAAAAAATCATTATATTGAAATAATATTTATTCTACCTGCAATAAGACTTTATCTTCTATATCTTGTGGAGACTAAAAAGTGGCTTGAGAATAGTATATTTTTTAACATATAAAAATGTTCAGTTTCAACTTACAATTTTCCATCCAAATGACAATATGCTTCTGTGATAGGTAGACGTTTTTCCCCATGACCTTTTCACCTTATTGATGTGCCCATGGATATATTAACTTAAATCACAAAGGGACTTTCAGCAGATATAATTAAGGTTACTAATCATCTGGCTTTAAGATAGGGAAATTATCTTGGATTACGCAGGTGGATACGATGTAATCACAGGGGTTCTTCAAGGCACAAGAGAGAGACAGAGAGATTGGTAGAACAAGTGAATTTGATGTACTTTGCTTATCTTGGATGGAGAGGGCAACATGGGAAGAAAGGCAAACATCTTCTAGGAGCAGGGAGCAGCCCGTAGCCAACACCACATAGCGAAAAAGATGCTGGTCTAATGAATACAGAAACTAAATTTAACCAAGAACATAAACTAATTTAGAAGTGGATTCTTGTTTTGAGACTCAAAATAAAAGCGCTGTCCAACATTTTGCCTTCGACCATGTGAGACTCTGAGCAAATAATTTATCCATGCCATGTTGGAATTTGGACCTACCCATCTGAGATAATGAGTAAATAATGTTTTAAGCTACTAAATGTGTAGTAATTTGTTAAATTGCAATAGAAAATTAATATACCTGGGTTAATGAGATTTAAATTTTAGAAGGAATTGTATATGAAGGTCAGTTATGCATAAATAACTACATTATTCATCTGCTCACTTAAAATCAATCTGAGAAAGTTGGGTCATTACATCTGCTGTTTTTCTTTAGTTATCTCTGAAAACATAATTGATATACCGTTTAATATTTTGGTAATAACATTGATCTAACTACTAAGTAATATTTTTATTACATGTGGGCTTTTTGTTTTATTTTTTCACTTTCAAATATATGTTTGCTTTTATTTATTTATTTATTTATTCATTTTTCTCAACTTTTAGGTTCAGGAGGTACATGTACAGGTTTGTTACATGGGTTAATTATGTGTTGCTGAGGTTTGCTGGGCTTAGTTTAAACAATTGGTACAGTTTCTAAAACTCTTCAACTGAAGTCTAACCAGTGCATAGAATGGTGTACAAAGGAATGAATTACAGAATGTGAACAGACTGATATCATCACCACTCAGAATTTTTTTTTAAAGGCTGTAACAGACAAAACATGAAGTAGCCACCTCTATAAGGGCACATAAAGCACTGGATTGTGATTGTTAATCTGTATCATACAAAGCAGGGATTCTCAACTCTCCGGGCCAAAGAGTGGTACAAGTCCCTGATCTCTTAGGAACAGGGCTGCACAGCAGGTCAGCAGAGGGCCAGCTGGCTTTACCATTTGAGCTTCACCTCCTGTCAGATCAGCGAAGGTATTAGATTCTCATCGGAAGGCCTGGCACGGTGGCTCACACCTGTAATCCCAGAACATTGGGAGGCCCAGGTGGGTGGATCCATTGAGTCCAGGAGTGAAGGTCCAGCCTGGGCAATGTGGCAAAACTCTGTCTGTACCAAAAATACAAAAATTAGTGGGATGTGGTGGCTGCGCGCTTATGGTCCCAGCCACTTGGTAGGCTGAGATGAGACGATTGCTTGAGCTCAGGGGGCAGAGGTTGCAGTGAGCTGAGATTTTACCACTGCACTCAGCCTATATGACAGAGTGAGACCCTGTCCCAAAGAAAGTAATAATAAAATAAATAAAAATAAAATAAAAAATATTCTCGAAGGAATGTGAACCCTATTGTGAACTGCACATGTGAAGGATCTAGATTGTGTGCTCTTTAGGAGAATCTAATGTCTGATGATCTGAGGTGGAACAATTCATCCCTAAACCACCACCTCCTTGCTGGCCTGTGAAAAAATTGTCTGCCATGAAACGGATCCCTGGTGCCAAAAAGGTTAAGGACTGTGAAATTATCCTGTCTAGTCATATGTCTCATACAACTCTCTACTACCACTGCTTAGCATAGTAATTGGCATTTGTTATTACTATATGCCAGGAATAAAAAATAAGGCTGGGCTTTCAAAGATGGGCTAAAACATTAAAGAAATACTCTAAGATGCATAATATAGTCAATTCCCATTTGTACACACATCATAAATATTATGACTAAAAATTGAATAAATAGTAGAATCAATTATATCTAGAGAGACAAATAATATGATGACAAAATAAATACTTCCAGGCATAGCTCTAGATTACAATAAATTAATGACATGCATTGGCTTTTGATCTTTGAGGCTTATTCCACTATCTGTAGCAATAATCACTGTCACTAAACCAATAGCTTCAAAATTTTTACAACTTTACATCTTTTCATCTAAGAGGAAAAATATGACATTCCCTAATACATAAAGATCAAGTGAGAAATCATAAAAAAGTAATAGAGTATACCAGCAAACCACTATACTCTAGAAGAAACAGTATTGATATAAATGCTGTTGGTGAATTTTTATGCAACATAATTTATCGAATGCATATAATATACTAATTTTTAAAACCAGTACTTAATAATATCCATGGACATGAATGAAATGAATTCAGGATTTATGGTTAATCATCTTTAACCAATAGTGTATGTAGCCAGAGGAGTCATTTTTATTTTGAACCCTAAGTAAAAACAGGTTATTACATAAAATGGCCTTTCATATCTTTCAAAAATAAGATTACAAAATTATATCTGCATGATAGACACAGCCTTGAATCTGGCTTAAGGAGACTCATTCATTTATGTGAGTCATTTAAAGGACTTAGAGAAAACTGTTTTTCAAATAATTCCACGTATTTGCCTTTTGTGATGCCATTTTCTCCACCTTGAATGACTTCCAGAAGTTACCTTTTTTTAAGATTCAAATCATTCTTTAAAGTATTGTAAGTATATATTTTTCATAAATTTTTCTATTTACAAAAAACAGAAACAGCAAAGCAATCTTGACAATCTTTAGTCCATACATTCTTGAAGTTTTTATGAGGACGTACTGTACTAAGTTCTGAACTATAAATTCAGTCTTTGCTTCCATTTTAATTTTATTTTAGTGAGTACTGGTACAGATACTTGAACCAGTAATTTTTTAAAAGCATAATATTGTAACGAAAATGCTGGATACTATGAGAATACTATGTAGAGACCCTTAATCTGAATATCAAGATTGGCTTTCTGGAAGAAGATATATGTGAGCTAAAAATAAAGGCAGGTCAATTACAGGGAAAAAGAGGCTCATGTAAGAGGAGCAAAATCTTACCAGACTCAAGAACAAATAGAAGACGATTACACATTAGGTAAAGTGAGAGTTAAGTGTGACTGAAGCATAATATACAATAGTTGCACATAAGATATGTGATTACAGATAATATGGGTTCTTGTCAGGCATGGCTTTGTAAAGAACCTTGGAATTTAAGTGTACTTTATCTATGGTTGATTACATATTTCATACATTTCTAACAATTCTTTCATAAAAAGTAACTTTTTTCATATTTTATAGTACAGAAATTAGGAATGGAAAAATCAGTGTCCATTTAAAAAAGCTAGTATTTGATAACCATGCACATTACACATTATTTAATTCAATCCTCAAACAACCTGCAATATAAAACTTATTATCATTTTTTAGGAAAGAAAACGTAGGGTTAGAGAGGTTAAATAATATGGTCTCAATCTGATAATAAATACCCACGATGAGATTCCAACCAAGATCTCTGACTCTAAAGCCTATGATCTTTTCAAATGTGCATTTTATATTTCACAAAATATTTTTTGAAATCTCAGATAAAATCTTTATCAGTCAATTGCCTATTCATTCTTCTGTTATAGTTTTTATTTTCAGTATTTTGGGTACATACAATGATGAATATTTATATTTTTATAATTTATAATTATATATTGATTTTTATTAATGAAAAATCAATAATTATAATTATGTACTTGAATATTATAATAATATATTATTAATTTTATTAAACCATATCCTGACAAAGCTTTTGTCTTCATGTAAATATAATCTATAATGTTTATATTATAGATTTATAGTGTATTGATACAATTATTTTTAAAATGAAATAGAATCTCCTCCAAATTATTTTTTAATAACATACAACCTAAGAAGTCAATACATAAATTGTACTTATATGATGACAACCTTGTAAATTAGGCTCAAAGAAGAAATTTCAACACAGATCATTAATTTTGAATAAAAGTGTGTTGTATTAAGATTTTTTGAACTGTTTAAATGTGAATAGCAGAAACTACACCAGTATTTATAAAATATTTTATTACAAATGATTTTTAAAGGCATAGTTTATATTTTAAGAGTATATTTCTCCAAATGGTGATTTTATGCAAGATTCTTAGATATGGTAAAATGATTATGGGAACAGATTATGGGAACAGATGGGAACCCCAAATGCAGAGATTACCCTCTGGTTCCAAATCAAATTAGAGAAAATATGTATCAGGAATGAGTTGTAAAATTTACAATGTATAAGAAATAAAATTGATTTGCTTATATGTCCCGCCCAGTGTATATATGGGCAGGTTTTGGCTGATTTTTGTTCATAGCACAACTTATTCTTCATAGTTAGCATCTCATTTGTGTATTTGACAGCATCATTATATTTTTTTAATAAAGTTGCCAAATTCCTTTGTGGAGATTGATCATTGTGACAGAAAATTATTTTCAGGAAAATAAGCACTTATATTTTCCAATAAATAATGTAGTCCAAATTATTTTGTAATATTCTAGTGCATGCTTGCTGCTAATGTTATAGCTAATTTAATCGTTTATTATGTAGGCTGATTTGTGATGGGTTTGAGTATATTAGCAAAGAATCAGGCCCTAGAAGTAGACTGGTTGTATTTAAATACTGGCTTAACCTTCTTGTCGTTGTAGCATTGAGGAAATCATTTACCTTTACTTTGGTTTTTTAATTTTATCCATAATGAATGATACTATCTATCCTTTGAATAGCATTAATGTACATATACATTAAACACATATAATATATACAAATACGTGTGTGTGTACCTGTGTGTATACAATCTTCAAAGATCACCTGGTAATTAGTGAGTGTTAGATATTATTATTACTATTACACATTTATTATTATACTTATTTATGAAAACTGTGTTGTTATTATATAATATCTATTTTTCTTTCTATTCTGAATTCAATAATTAGGTTTTATTAGATTAATAGCTTAAATGCTGCTAATATGACATCTTCCTAGTATTTATTCTGCTTGTTACCTGATGTATTTTACTCAAATCAGTATCTTTACATTGCATTCATAGCTTTCAGAATAAAATTATTATTTCCCTGCCTTTAACTTACAGTCTTTTGTAAAAGAACCATCATGCTGTACTTTAGGTATGTAGTAGTTATACTTTCACATAGACTTTCTTCTTAACCTATGTGGAAAAACTGTCTTGATTTAATTTTTTTGACAGTAACACTTTGAACTACAGCCATTAGGTGAAAAATATGATAATGTGATTTTGAGGAGACAGTGATGTATTATGGGAGGTGGGCATACAAGCAGATCATTTTAATCTCTGATATTTTAATCTAAAAAGTAACAAAAAGAGTTAATGAGAATGACAAGTGTGCAAATGAACTGAAATGCATGTCGCTAGGGGGACATTCAAGAAGATATAACTAACAGAATGTTAATACAGAAATAGAGACATCAAAACTAGATTTATTAATTTTTATGGCATTAGTTGATATCATTTGAGTGTGTATTATTTAATTTATAGATATTATATACTTTATTCTAAATTACCTTTTAGCTCCTTTGACCTAGAGACTTGTGTTTTTTTCTATTTGAGGATCCCACACCACAGAACATTTAATTAATTATTATTATTACTTTTTATTTGTTTATTTATTTTGAGACGGAGTCTCCTTCTGTCGCCAGGCTGGAGTGCAGTGGCGCGATATCGTTTCACTGCAACCTCCGCCTCCCAGGTTCAAGCGATTCTCCTGTCTCAGTCTCCCGAGTAGCTGGGACTACAGGCGCGCGCCATCATGCCCAGCTAATTTTTGTATTTTTAGTAAAGGCGGGATTTCACCATGTTGGCCAGGATAGTTTCGATCTCTTGACCTCATGATCCGACCGCCTCAGCCTCCCAAAGCGTTGGGATTAATTAATTTTTAAATAAATTTATTCATATGTTGTCCAATCTCATACCTAATTAGCCTTCTCTGGTCTATAACAATTTTCCAGACTTTACCCAGTTTTAATGACTAGATAGTTTTGTAGAATATACTGGTTAGATATTTTATAGAATGCCTTTCAACTTGGGTTTGTCTGATGGTTCTCTTACACCTAGACAAGGATTATGATTTTGTGGGGGGCAGGAAGACGAAAAACGTGAAGTACCATTGTTATTATATCCAGGGTGGATGCTATCACCATGACTTATCTCTGCTGTTAAACTGTTATCACCTACTTAAGTAGTGTTTATCTTTTTTTTTCACTATGAAATTAGTTGTATTTTTTAATCTTTCTCTCCATTTCTATCCTCTAGATTTTGGAAACATGTTACAAAGTGCAGCCCAAACTTAAGGAGTGGGGAATTAGGAACATATGTTCTGCAAAAGCCATTGATAAGAGAATTTTTAAAAATTAAATACTTTTTTAAAAAGAAACCTCAGACTGGCTAAGAATGTTACTGTCTTTTCCTTATTATTTGAGAATTTTTATCATAAACAAATGTTTAGTTTTGTCAAATTATTTCTGTATTATTGATATGATCTCGATTTGTATTATTTTGTTTGTTAATATGATTAATTACATTGATTAATTATCCAATGTTGATCCACATTTTCATTCCATAGAAGATTTTACTCAATCATACTACAATGCATTTTATATGTTCTTGCATCTGGTTTGCTCATATTTAAATATTACTATGTCTATATTTATAAGATGTTAATCTGTAATTGTATTTATTTCTATTGCATTTGTCTGGGTTTGGTATTGTGGCAATGATGACTGTATAAATTATATGGCGTATGTCCCTAGACTTTTTAATTTCTGGAAGAGGCTTTTTTTTTTTTTTTTTTTTTTGAGAGAGGGAGTCTTGATTTGTCAATGTTTAACTCCTACATATAAGGGAGAAAAAGCAGTATTTTGTTTTATGTTCCTGCATTAGCGCACATAGGATTATGAAGACTTAGTTAAAAATTATTTGGCAAAGCTGATGCTAAGAAGGGTATTTCCTAGGTTTTGGCCTTGTCAAAATCAGATGGCTGTAGATGTGCGGCTTTATTTCTGAGTATTCTATAATTTTCCAATGGTCTGTGTCTGCTTTTGTACCAGTATCATGCTGTTTTGTTTACTAAAGCATTGTAGTATAGTTGGAAGTCAGGTAGTGTCTGTGGCTTTGTTCTTTTGCTTAGAGTTACTTTTTCTATACAGATTCTTTTGTGCTTCCATATGAATTTTAAAATAGTTTTTTTTTTTTCTAATTCTGTGAAGAATAATGTTGTAGTTTGATAAGAACAGCATTGAATCTGTAAATTGCTTTGGATAGTATGGTCTTTTAACAATATTGGTTGTTCCTATTTGTGAATATTAAAATTTTTTATTTGCATTTCTTTCAGCAGTGTTTTGTAGTTCTCATTGTAAAGATCTTTTACCTCCTTGGTTAAAATTATTCCTAGGTTTTTCCTTTTCTTTTTGAGTATTGTAAATGGAATTGTGTTCTTTATTTGAATTGCAGCCTGGGCATTATAGGTGTATAAAAATACTACTGTTTTGTATATTGATTTTGTATCTGGAAACTTCATTAAAATTGTTTATCACTTCTAGCACTCTTTTGGTTGAGTCATAAGGCTTCTCTAGGCGTAGAACGATATCTTCTGTGCAGACAGATAGTTAGGCTTCTTCTTTTTCTATTTGAATGCCTTTTATTTATTTGTCTTCCCTGATTGGTCAGGCTAGGAATTCTAGTACTATGTTGAACAGGAATGGTCAGAATGGGCATTCTTGTTTTTTCCACTTCTTAAGGGAAATGATTCCAGCTTTTGTTGTTTCAGCAGGCTGTTGGCTTTGGGTTTGTCATAGTTGGCTCTTATTATTTTGAGGTATGTTCTTTGATGAATAGCTTGTTGAGGTATGTTGAGGCATGTTTCTTTGATGAGTAGCCATTCAGTGTGACATTGGCTTTGGTTTGTAATAGATAGCTCTTATTATTTTGAGGTATGTTCATTTGATTACTAGTCTTTTGTCATATAAAGGAATGATGAAATTATTGAAGACTTTTATGGATATATTGAGATGATCATGTGGTTTTTGCTTTTATTTCTGTTTACGTGGTGAACCTCACTAATTTTCATATGTTGAACCAGATTTGCATAGCAGGAAGAAAGCCCACATGATGTTGGTGTATTTACTTTTTGATGTTTTGCTCAATTCAGTTTGTTAGTTTTTTTGTTGAGGATTTTTGTATCTATCTTCATCAGGGATATTGGACTGAAATTTGCTTTTTTAATTGCATTTCTGCCAAATATTGGTATTAGGCAGATGCTGGCTTCATAGAATGATGTAGGAGGAGCTTCTGCTCCTTGATATTTTTGAAATAGTTTGAGTAGGATTGGTTCCAGTTCTTATTTCTATATCTGGTAGAATTCAGTTGTGAATCCATCTGGTACAGGGCTTTTTTGGTTGTTAGGATTTTTATTACTGAGTCAGTTTCAGAGCTCCATATTGGTCTATTCAGGGTTTCAACTTCTTTTGGGCTCAATCTTGGGAGATAGTTTTTCTCCAGAAATTTACCCATTTCCTTAAATTTTCTAATTTGTATGCATAGAGTTGTTAAGAGTAGTCTCTGAGGATCTTTTGTATTTCTGTCTGACTGATGTAACATCATTCTTTTCATTTCTGATTACATTTGTTGGGATCTTCTCTTTTCTTCTCTCTTTTAATCTAGCTAGCTGTCTAACAATCTTGTTTATTTTTTCTTGGTTTTATTCATCTTTGTATGGACTTTTACATCTTAATTCTATTCAGTTCTTCTCTAATTTTTGATATTTCTTTTCTTCTGCTAACTTTGAGATTTGTACTTTTTTCTAGTTCCTTTAGGAACAAAGTTAGATTGTTAGTTTGATCTCTTTCTAACTTCTGGATATAGGCTTTTGGTTCTATAAACATTCCTTTTAACACTGCTTTTGCTGCAGATTTCACCAGAGATTTTGGTAAGTTATAATTATTCCCTAATTTTTATTAATTCCAAAGAATTGTTATTTAATTTCTGCCTCAATTTTGATATTTACCTAGGAGTTATTCAGGAACAAGTTGTTTAATTTTTGTGCATTTATGCAGTTTTGAGAGTTTTTTTGATATTTATTTCTTTTTTTATTTTACTATAGTCCAAGAGTGTGCTTTGTATGAATTCAATGTTTTAAAATTTATGGAGACTTGCTTTATGACCAAGCATGTGGCCAGTCTTAGAATATGTTCTATGTACAGATAAGAAGAATGTATATCCTTTGGTTATTGGATGGTTTATCCTGTAGATGTCTTTTAGTTGCAGTTGTTCAAGTGTTGAGTGTAAGTCCAGAGTTTCTTTGTTTGTTTTCCACCTTGATGTTCTGTTGAACTCTGTCAGTGGAGTGTTGAAGTCTTCCATCATTATTGTATGTTTGCATATAATTCTTAGTAGGCCAAGAAGAATTTGTTTATGACCCTGGGTGCTCCATTTTTTGGTGCATATATATTTAGGATAGTTAAGGCTTCTTGTTGGGTTGTATTTTTTTCATTATGTACTTCTCTTCTTGGTATATCTCAATTTGTATTGGTTTAAAATCTGCTTTATCTGATATAAAAATAGTGACTCCTGTTCTTTTTTTGTTCTTTTTCATTTGCATGCTTGATCTTTCTCCACCTCTTTACTTTGAGCTTGTGGGTGTTTTTACATGTGATATGGGTCTCTTGAAGACAGCAGATGGGTGGGTCTTGCTTTTTATCCAGTTTGCCACTCTATACCTTTTAGGTGGGATGCTTATCTCATTTAAAGAGTTAATAACGATATGTATGATTTTGATCTTGTCACTGTGTTTTTAGCTGGGTCCTATGTTACTTGATTATGTGATTGCTTTATAGTGACTATGGGCTATGTGCTTAAGTGTGTTTTTGTGGTAGCAGGTGTTGTCCTTTTGATTCCATGTTTAGCACTCCCTTAAGGGTCTCTTTCAAGGCTGGTCTAGTTGAAATAAATTCCCTCAGTGTTTGTTTTCTGAGCAGGATTTTATTTCTCTTGCTCTTATGAAACCTAATTTGGCAGAATATGAATTTTTCTGAAATTTGTTTTCTGTATGGATGCTGAAAATAAGCTCTCAACCTCTTCTGTCCTGTAAGGTTTCTGCTTAAAAGTCTGCTGCTATCTTAATGGGTTAAAATCTTAAAAGTAGCTAGAGAGAAGATCCAAATGCCATACAGTTGGACTTATTAGGCCATACGGAGTGTCTAAGTTTTTTTTAATTATTTTTAATCTTTCTGATCTTTCTGAGCAATTTCCTTGACTATTTTGTTTAACGGGTCAAGGAGGTGGCAAATATCCAGAGAAAAGGGATATTTTCTCTGGATATAAAATTTCATTTCGGTAGAATTTTTTTTTCTTCCTAAAAACATTAAAAATTTTACTCCACTGTCTTCTTATTTGCATAATTTCTGAATAGAAATTATCTATATGTCTTATCTATGTATATGTATTTGCATATGTATAAGTGTATTACTTTGTTTTCACACTGCTATAAAGAAATACCTAAGACTTGGTGATTTATAAAGAAAAGAGATTTAATTGACTCACAGTTCCACATGGCTGGGGAGGTCTCAGGAAACTTACAATCATGGAAGGAGGAGAAGAGGCAGGCCTTACATGGTGACAGGAGAGAGAGAGTGACTGTGTCAATGCAATAAAAACTACCATTTACAAAACCATCAGATCTCATGGAAATTACTCATGATCACAAGAACAGCATACAAGAAACCACCTCCATAATCCAATAACTTCCAACCAGGTGTCTCTCTAAACACTGGGGATTACAATTCAAGATGAGTTTTGGGTGGGGATACAAATCCTAACCATATCAATAAGTAAGGTGCAACCCTCTCTCCCCTCATTCTTCTGATTTACTCCTTGGCTTTACTTATCTATAGTGTCAGTATGATATGCCAAGACATGACTTTTTCTCCCTCTTTCTTCTTTTGTTTTCTCCTTCCTTCTTTTTCCCTCCCTCCCTCTCTGCCTAATCACTCCATTCCTCTCTCACTCCCTCCAACCTTTTCTCCTTCCTTCCTTCTTTCCTTCTTTCTTTCCTTCTTTCCTTCCCTCTTCCATTCTTCCTTCCTTTTTTTGTATTTAGTCTACGTGAAGTTCTCGCAGGTTCTTGAATCTGTTGCTTTCACTGTTTGGGAAAAGAATACAGCCATTACTTCTTCAAATATTTTTGTGCCTCTTTCCCTCTTTCTTTTTTTTTTTAACTATTCCAACTATACATATATTAAACATTTTGTAGTTATCTCACAGTCTTCAGATAGTCTTTTTTTTTAAATTCTTTGTTCTCCTTGCTTTTGGGTTTTGAAGGTTTCTATTGATAGTCCCAAATAGCTCTGATAACTCATATATATATTTTTTCTCAGCTATGTCCTGTCAAGTTAGAAGCCTATTAAAGGCATTCTTTATTTCTGTTACAGTGTTCTTAATCTTTAGCAATTGATTTTGGTTCTTAGGATTTCTATCTCTTTGCTTACATTGTATGTCTGTTCTTGCAAACTATTTCTTTATACGTTGGAGCCCCTTAGCATATTAATCATAGTTGTTTTAAATTTCTGGTCTGTGAATTCCCACATCCTTGATATGTGTGGTTCTAATGCATTCTCTGTGTTTTTAAATTGTGTTTTATTTCCTTTTAGTCTGCTTTGTAATTTTTTGATAGCCAGATGTAAAATATTCTAGGTAAATGGAACTGCTATAAATATACTTTTAGTAATGTAAGGGGTTAAGGGGAGGGGATGTATTTTACTGCCCTATTATTAGGTTTTAGACTTTTATTGAGTCTATGCTTCTGGATTCTGACCTTCATAAGTGTTTCTCAGTTTATTTTTTGTGTCTCCCCTTTTAGGTGGGACAGGATGGTTAGAATGGGCTACAGTTTGGTATTTCCCTTCTCTTAAGTGGAAGAATAGTGGGAGCTGCAGTTAAGTGTTTTCCTTCCTTTACATGGGCAACTGACAGGACTTTTGTATTTTCTTTCCTTCAGATCAACAGGAACCCAGCCCTGGACATACATATGGCCTTGTAGAGTCCCATGACTTTGTCAGAGCTTTTCAAAGTCTTAATTTCTCAAAGCTTCACATTCTCCAGCCTTTCTTTACTGGCTTTTTGCTTAGTCTCTTCTTTGTTTCAACTTTTATCTGCCATAGGAAGTAGAGTATAATACATTTACCTGTCTGCATTTTTTTTTTTTTACAATTACCCTCTAGGTAGCTACCTCAGCACTGGGAAAGTTGCAATTTTGGTGAGATAAAAAGAAGTGCTTTGATCCCATCCTCTAGGGAGCCACCAGACAGGTTAAAACAAAGAATCAAAGTTCTTTGAGACTAAGATCAATTCTGCTTCTCCACTACCAGCACTTGTGCTGGATATGTGGACCATTTTTTAATGACACCACCAGTTTAGGAAGCAGGGGATAGTGAAACCAACCCAATAGTCCCACACACTTACATAGAAATTGACCCTCTTGTCTTAAAGCTTGAAACTTACATTGGTTTTATCTGAGTTATTTACTCAGGAAAGACCCTCAAATCTCTCAAAAAGTACCGAAGAACTAAAACTCACCAGATCACTGCATCCAGACAATGAGAGGCCAGACCCCTCATTCATCATGATTGCTTCTTTACCCCTGCCTATTTCCTGTTTTCCTAACCGACCACCTGCTTCTTATTGAGGAACTCCTATTTGTTACCACTCCCTAGTTCCTGTTTTCCCACACATAGTTACATTTTTTACATACTGTATAAACCCCTAATTTTAATCATTTGGCGATATAGATTTGAGGCTGATGTCCCATCTCCTTGGCTTCCGCACCCAATTAAAGGCTTCGTCCTTGACAATATTCATTGTCTCAATGATTGGCTTTCTGTGTGGCAAGCAGCAGGACCTAGACTGAAACCTTGGTGTTTGGTAACAGTCGGACTCAAAACCTCTGTAACAACATTCAACTGTTTTTTCTTGATTCAAGTGTTCACCTGAGTGTTGCAAACTTTTAGCGTCCATAATTCTGGAGAAGTTGAATCTGAAAGTTTGTTCATTTATTTCCATGAGTGTCCCTCCTAAACCAATTTTATTTTCTTAGGGACTTTCAGTTTTATATACAATTATGAAATACCATACATGGAAATATTGTTGCCATCAGGAGATGATCTTTAAAAGATTATTTATATATCTAATACAAAATAAAATTATTCTTAGAAATTGATATAGTTCATTGAGTTCAATATACAAAAGACACTGTCTCAGTTTATTCGTGGGACTGTTATTTTTCATCGCTGTAATATTATGAAGGAATGTTTCACATATATGGCTATAAAATACATATGAAAGAAATTATTTTAATTAATTAATTATTATTTGACCATTCCATATCTACTGGTTTCTTAAAATTATCTCTCATAACCATAAACTTTTACTCTTTCTATCATTTTATATATTTCATTACATACTTAGAAAAACTTTCACAAACCAGAATTAAACATGCCATTAATGCACCAGGAATGTCATACTGAAAAACAAAATATTACTAATATTATATACTTATTCTGAAATGGGTTCATTAAAATAACATCTTTTAAGCCAAAACAACTTTTTTGTATTTTTGCTCTCACTGATGTAAGTGCAAATGTTTTAAATACATAATAAATTCTTAGTATATTTGTAAAAATGCTATTATTAGTAATTATTTTCAAATAATATAGTTACACTACTATTTTTTTCTACAAATACTTCAACATATGTAGATACCATACGTTGTAATCCAAGACCATCAATTACCATGATGGATATAAAAAACGGAATTTTTTTATATTAAAACAACTTCACAGAAATCTGACTTAGTCATTTTCCCACAGTCAGACATTGAATAGGAGATCTGCTAATGGGTTCTTCACTTGATTTCGTTTTCTAAAAATCATTCTAATCAAAAATATTTTAACCTGTGTTAATGACTCTAGTTTAGTTAGTTTTAATCAGTGTTAGTTGATTTGATTAAAAACAAAATCTAAAAACTATCAACAAAAGAAAAACAATTGCAAGTTTCTTTGCCTTATAAGACTCAAATGTTGGGCCGGGCGTGGTGGTTCACGCCTATAATCCCAGCACTTTGGGAGGCCGAGGCAGGTGGATCACGAGGTCACGAGATTGAGACCATCCTGGCTAACATGGTGAAACCGCCGTCTCTACTAAAAATACAAAAAATTAGCTGGGTGTGTTGGTGGGCACCTGTAGTTCCAGCTACTCGGGAGGCTGAGGCAGGAGAATGGCGTGAACCCAGGAGGCAGAGGTTGCAGTGAGCTGAGACCGCGCCACTGCACTCCAGCCTGGGCAACAGAGTGAGACTCTGTCTCAAGAAAACAAAACAAAACGAAACAAACAAACAAACAAAGACTCAAATGGCATTCATAAAAATTTTGAAAAATAGTCTTAGAGTTCAAATTCACATTACCATTATCTTTAATAAGGTTGAAGTCACCGTAACCATAGCACTGCTTCTATTTTTAAAATTCTTTGCTTGAATTATAAGGTTATTGAAATGAAATGTTTTTATAAATATAAGTGAATAGCAATTACCTGCTACTGTTTTATTTTAATGATCTTTCTTATGTCTTTATTACTGCTTTTTCTTATTAGAAACTGTGTGAAGAGATTAAAATAAGTGATCCTTAAAATCACTTAAAGCAACCTATCATCTTATTGCCCTGGGATGGAAGTCAGGGGATATGAGTTCTATATCTCCTTACTTAGCAGAATAACTGAGATTTTTGTCTGACTTTAAATGATCTTGGCTTTTTGTCTTCAACCAGAAATTAGAGAGGATTCTTCAGCTATAAAATTATATTAATCTGTAGTTCTGTAAGCAATTAGCAATGCTGTTGAAACTCATTATAGACTTATTTTCATGTATCAGGAAATTTCCCAATGCTGTATATCACTTAATGTCAATTATTAATTTATCAACATTATTTTGTTGCTGATTAGGTGACATTGACACATCATGAATTAATGAGCTTTTATATTCTATTCAAGAACTATCAATATAATAAGCAATCCTCACATCTCAAATGGTTTTAGTATTTGCTAACAGGTAAACATGTCACCAAGTAGCTTGAGTACATGCCATTACAGTGTGAAAAGACACACCTGTGTCATTGTGTTCAATTCCTAAACATTATTCCCTGTCTCTTGCTCTGTTATTTGAGGTTGTGTTCATTTCTCCTAAAAAGCAGTAATTAAATTGGTACAATCTCAATGTTTATTAACTACATTTATTTTAATTCTAAAAGGTTTGTCATAAAATATCATTAGATGAAAAAAGGAAGGTAAAAATATTCAAGATAAAATAAACAATGACAAATTGGAACAATTTCATAAGTAATTCAGTATCCCTCTCTTAGGCAGTAACTGGAGGTAAACTCCTTCTTTCACAATCCTTACATTTCAGATACTCTTCCACAATTTGAATTTTCTGAGGTAAAAACAAATTAAAAGGTCTTTAAACATGTGGGTTTTGTGTAATAAACAAGCTGTGCTGCTGATTTGCAATTTCCCACTTACTCCAAGCCATAAGCCTAGCTGCCATAAACATAAATCCTAGTTAGCCTATTTTCCTTTTTAGAATGAAGGTCTAACGGCAATTTTCTTAAACAATCTGGCTTCCTTCATACACAAACTTTTATGCCATACAATTCCATTAACTAAGTATTTTTTTTCAAGCCACTTGAGTTTACTTTGTTGTACACAAACAATTGCAATGAATATTAGCTTTGGACTTCAGTCTTATCAGCCACAAAATTTGTGTTAAGATGACTCTGACTGGCTGTTCTTGCATCACCAGACATTTTTATCTTTATGTGTTATTGATATTGTCAGTGCATAGCTCTCTTTGGAGCATCTAGGACTTGTATGTATACAAGCACAAAAGAAAATTGATAGCAAAATTATTTTTCTTATCGTTGCTACTGTTCAACTTTTATTTTTACTTGATAAGGAGTAAACACTCACTGGACTATTTTTTGTCTAAGTATGTTTTTAAATTGTATATCTAAAATTTTATCATGTTTTTAAAGAAACATTTTGTATGAAGTCAAGTTTTTAAATCATGGATGTCGTATTTCTGGATTTTCATTAAATAAACTTTAAATTATCTCTGAATCCTAAACTACTAGTTTGTCAGGATAATCAGTGTCAGTATCACTTGTTTTTGCTCAGCCCCTGTAAGGTTTCTTAAAAATCTAGGAGGCTTTAGGGGTTCCTGAAAATATAACAGACACTTCAATTATTTTTCTATTATAGTGGGCTTTAATAACAACATTGTTAAAGACTACTCAATTCCTCAATTATTTGGGACACCAAATTCTTTGTCATTCATTGAATGTTAGGTCCTTTATAGAATATGAGAGTCTCTATGCTTAAAATTGATACTCTCAGGGGTCACAGCTTCAGAGGTCTTGCCTATTTTTCTGTCATCCTCAAAGGCATCCTCCCACCTGCCTTTTCCCTTTTCTTCCTGGACACTCAGTATAGTTTGTTCTTGAGCAACATGCTCGGTCGTTATGTAGTTTTCATTCATTTAACTCTGCTTTGACTTGCCTAGGAAAAGACAGCGCAAAACATGGCTATCCAGTTGAATCAGAAAGAAGGAAATGTATTAGAAAATAAATAAATAAATTGGTTTGTATTTTAATAAATGGTACCATGATTACTATTAAATGTTGCATTCTATGTTCCAAGAAACAACTGTATTATGCTATATAATGTTGAGTCTGTCTAGGAAAGGTTTTTAATGCCAAATTCTATTGGTGTGGTGAAAAACACGTTATTCCTTTCCATATTCTTTTTCAAATATATGCACTTCATGTTGTTCACTTAAAAATAATAATTCACAAATATGAAAATGAAAATAAGCTGTTTACATGTGGTGGGCATGATGGCTTCTATTTTTTAATGGAGGATGGTATTGATGTTTTCCTGCAGATATATATTAAACAACTATAGTATACTGTGGATGTTTCATAATTGAAATAAAAGAAGTTAATCGTTCATTTCACTCTTTATAGACAGACTGATAAACACACAGATACATACAGATAAATGTAACAAAAATACAAACAAACGTATAGCAGTGAAACCGGAAAGGTTCCCTTGTCCCTTCTCAGGGCATGTGATGGGGGTGTGGCTCGCTTCTTCAGTGCCCCACTACTCAAACCTCTAGAGAAGCATACAGACTGGCAGGCTGTGGGGCTCCAACCCCACGGCAGTGTCCGTGGGTGAATGTTTACAGCTCCTGAAGCCCCAGTATGCATGTGTTACAAGGTGCTCTTTTAGTTTATCATCCATAGGCAGCTTGTGTTAGTCAGCTCAATTACACCGGGTCACAAGGACTAAGGGGTTTCTGTATCCCATGTTCTTGCCTTGTTGTACCGGAAGAATCGGGTCACACGTGGGCTTGGAGAATGAGTGCAAAGTTTTATTGAGTGGAAGTAGCTCTCAGCCAACTGGGGAGCCAGAAGGGAGATGGTTTGCCACTGGAGTTGGGTAGCTCAGAGGCCTGGCTCTCCTCCGTCTCCCCTGCCAAACTCCACCTCCTCTCACAGGTGGATGGCCTGAGGGCGTACAGGTGCCTGTCAGTGTGCTCTTCTGCTGATGTGCCTCTCTGGACATCCAGCAGCTTCTGTCTTTGCCTTGCTAGGATCTCGGGTTTTTATAGGCCCAGATGGGGCCCTGGCAGGCCAAGGTGGTCTTGAAAAATGCAACAGTTGGCTTTGAAAGCAGGAGTGCCTGTCCTCACCTAGGTCCCTGGGGATGGAACCCTAGCCAAGGACCACACCCTTCTCTATCCAGAGCTTCCCTTTTCTCTTTCGTGTTATTTAAAGGGACCGCTCGCTTCCCTTCCCAGCTTTCCTGCATCAGTAGTACTGGGTACTCTGTTAGGCATTGGAATGAAAAAGCCCCTCAGATATATTTTAGTGAACACTAAATTATAAGTATTAATATGTTTGTGTTTACTTCAATGTGTTTTGAGGGACACTGCAAAGAAAATCATCTATGTGGGGAATTAGTAACTGTTGAGGGAATGGTACATTAAACACAGTCATTGTTCTTTTCCTGTAGGACTATTCCATCATGTTTATTTAAATGGTGAGCCTCTTGAAGAGGATACAGTCTACGGAGTATTTCCAACCATATATGACTATGAAATATTTTCATTACAAGACATTTAAAAGGATGTGTATGTTTTCAACATTCCTTACGAAGTGCTTCAATATTCTCTTTAGGAAAGTTCAGGAACTTTTGTCAGAGTCCTTATTTGTTTGTTCAAAAGCCTTACAGTGCTAAATGTGGTATGCTCCTCAAAATTATCCATACATCTTTTGAAGCTGGAACACTGACAATACAACTATTCTTAAATGTGGGGCTAAGATATGTAACTGCTAAGTACAAATATTCTATTACAAAGTTTAATATTTTTACTACCTTGTAAAAATATAAAATATTTGCTCTTTATATTTTGTGTGCTTCAAAATTATTTATTTTTTATTTTAAATTTTTATTTTTTAAGTTCTAGGGTACATGTGCAGAATGTGCAGGTTTGTTACATAAGTAAACATATGTCATGGTGGTTTGCTGCACCTATCAACTCATCACCTAGGTATTATTCCACCATGCATTAGCCATTTTCCCTAATGCTCTCCCTCCTCCCACCCCACCCCACACCAGGCCCCAGACGTGCATTGTTCGCCTCCCTGTGTCCATGGGTTCTCATTGTTCAGCTCCTAACTATAACCTTTTTTAGTATACTATTATTGCAAGGGCATTTTTTTATAGTTTCCTTTACAGGCAAACTTTTAATAAACTATGTTAACTTCTTAAATGTGTAGTTTAAATCTGAGAAGACTGAAAAGATTTAACATGATGTTGATAAATGTAAAAAATAGTAATATGTTCATGGAGGATAGGAGGAATAAATATCATGAAAATGGCCATGCTGCCCAAGGCAATTTATAGGTTTAATGCCATCCCCATCAAGCTACCAATGACTTTCTTCACAGAATTGGAAAAAAACTACTTTAAAGTTCATATGGAACCAAAAAAAAAAAAAAAAAAAAAAAAGAGCCTGCATTGCCAAGTCAATCCTAAGCCAAAAGAACAAAGCTGGAGGCATCACGCTACCTGACTTCAAACTATACTACAAGGCCACAGTAACCAAAACAGCATGGTACTGGTAACAAAACAGAGATATAGACCAATGGAACAGAACAGAGCCCTCAGAAATAATACCACACATCTACAACCATCTGATCTTTGACAAACTTGACAAAAACAAGCAATGGGGAAAGGATTCCCTATTTAATAAATGGTGCTGGGAAAACTGGCTAGCCATATGTAGAAAGCTGAAACTGGATCCCTTCCTTACACCTTATACAAAAATTAATTCAAGATGGATTAAAGACTTAAATGTCAGACCTAAAACCACAAAAACCCTAGAATAAAACCTAGGCAATACCATTCAGGACATAGGCATGGACAAGGACTTCATGTCTAAAACACCAAAAGCAATGGCAACAAAGCCAAAATTGACAAATGGGATCTAATTCAACTAAAGAGCTTCTGCACAGCAAAAGAAACTACCATCAGAGTGAACAGGCAACCTACAGAATGGGAGAAAATGTTTGCAATCTACTCATCTGACAAAGGGCTAATATCCAGAATCTACAAAGAACTCAAACAAATTTACAAGAATAAAACAAACAACCCCATCAAAAAGTGGGCAAAGGATATGAACAGACACTTCTCAAAAGAAGACATTTATGCAGGCAACAGACACATGAAAAAATGCTCATCATCACTGGCCATCAGAGAAATGCAAATGAAAACCACAATGAGATACCATCTCACACCAGTTAGAATGGCCATCATTAAAAAGTCAGGAAACAACAGGTGCTGGAGAGGATGTGGAGAAATAGGAACACTTTTACACTGTTGGTGGGACTGTAAACTGGTTCAATCATTGTGGAAGACAGTGTGGCGATTCCTCAAGGATCTAGAACTAGAAATACCATTTGACCCAGCCATTCCATTACTGGGTATGTACCCAAAGGATTATAAATCATGCTGCTATAAAGACACATGCACACGTATGTTTATTGTGGCACTATTCACAATAGCAAAGACTTGGAATCAACCCAAATGTCCATGAATGATAGATTGGATTAAGAAAATGTGGCACATATACACCATGGATTATTATGCAGCCATAAAAAAGGATGAGTTCATGTCCTTTGTAGGGACATGGATGAAACTGGAAACCATCATTCTCAGCAAATTATCGCAGGGACAAAAAAACCAAATGCCGCATATTCTCACTCATAGGTGGGAATTGAACAATGAGAACACTTGGACACAGGAAGGGGAACATCACACACTGGGGCCTGATGTGGTGTTAGGGGATGGGGGAGGGATAGCATTAGGAGATAAACTTAATGTAAATGATGAGTTAATGGGTGCAGCACACCAACATGGCACGGGTATATATATGTAACAAACCTGCAAGTTGTGCACATGTACCCTAGAACTTAAAGTATAATAAAAAAATAGTAATATGTTGGTAAACTTGAGCTTGAATCTTTGAATCTAAACATGTCTGTATTTCCTAATTGGTAAAGTGGGATCTTGCTTTTAATCCAATTTACAATTTTAGTCTTTTCATATCACGATTGAAGCAATTTGACTTTTCACTGGCATTTTGCTGTTTTTTTTCTATGTCTCTTGCCTCTGTTGCTATTTTCTTCTATTAACTTCTTTTACATAAAACAAATGTTTCTTAGCATGCCATTTATGTCTTCTGTTGATTCACTACCTATTTGCCCTATGATTTACAGTATGTCTTTTCGTGTATTAACATGTACTTCACATTAATACCGACAATTCCGAAACAACTAGCAAGTTTGTTCTATTATATCTCCCTATTAATTTTCTTTTATTCTATTATTGCCATATGTATTACATCAATTTATGTTATAAAACTAAAAAGAGTATTGTAATTATTGCTCTATATAATCATAATTTAATAGAACTAAGAGAAGAAATGAGAAAAATTATAAAAAAACATACTCTATTTAATGATATATCTATCATTCTATAATAGTACTTTTCATTTTTTCTTGTGGATTTGAGTTTCTTGATTGCTCTGGCTAGAGAATGATCAATTTCATTGATTATTTAAAAAATAAGCACGTATTGTTTTTATTTTTTCTGTTTTATATTTCACTTTTTCTACTTTTATCTTTATTATTTCCTCTCTTTCATTTGCTTTGAAATTAGTTGACTCCCTTTCTAATCATTGCTTAGCATGAATAGTTAGATACTTGATTTGAGACCATTCTTTCTTTTAATATAAACGTTTACTGCTGTATCATCTTTGTTATGGACTGAATGTTTGTGTCTCCTAATATTCATATTTTAAAATCTAATCTCAAAATGACAGTATTTGGAGTTGTGGCCTTTGGCATATGTATTGAGTCCTTATGAATGGGATTAATACCCTTTAAGAAAACAGGCCAGAGATTTAGCTTGCTCTCTTTCTGCTATGGGAGGATACAAGGAGAACTTTGCCATCTGATCATGCCAGCACTCTAATATTGGACTTTAAGCCAACAGAAGTTTGAGAAATAATTTTTTCTTGTTTATAAGCCACCTAGTCTTTGAAATGTTTTTATAGGATCTGAACTAAGACAATATTGTTAAGTGCTACTTTATCTATGTCCCACAAACTGTGATATGTTGTTTTCATTTTTATTCATTTCAAAAATATTTTCTAATTTTCTTTATGAATTCCCATTTAATCCATGAGTTCCTTAAAGGTATTTGTTTTATTTCTAGACATTTTGAATTTTCTGGATATCTTTCTATTTTTTATTGATAGTATAATTCCATTGTATTCAGAAAATACAGTTTGGTTATTTTCAATTCTTTCAAATTTGTTGACATTTGTTTGATGGCCCAGAAAATGTTCTATATTAGCAAATATTTGAAAAGCATTTTTTTCTATGTGCATTTTGTTTTTGTTTGTTAGATTTATAGATGTCATTTAGGTTAACTTATGTTTATCAGGTATTCTAAATTTTTACTGTTTGTCTACTTGGTCTGTAGATTTCAGAGAGAATAATAGAAATAAGTCCAACTATAGCTATAATTGCGGTTTTGGAAAATTTCTCTTTCAGTTCTATCACGTTTTGCTTCATGTCTTTGAAAGCTTTGTTAGAATTATTTTATCTTTTTCATAAACTGACTAATTTCTGGTAATATTTCTTATTCTGAATTCTACTTTTTATATATTTGTATAGCCACTCCAATTCTCTTGGCTTCATATTTGCATATTATATTTTCCACATTATTACTTTTAACATTTCCATACATTTATGTTTAAATTGGGTTTCAATATTAACAACAAATAGATGTGGTTTATTATATCAAATTCTACATAAATAGCATTAATTGAGTCTTTACCTTGTTTATATGTAACTCAATTATTGACATGTTTAAATTTAATTATGCCATCTTATCACTTTTTATTTCTTTTATCCGTTATTTATTCCCTTCTTCTACTTTAGATGCTAGCTTTTAGGTTACGTATTCTTTTTTTCATTCCACTTATCCTTCACTGTTGGCCTAGTATTTATTTACAGCTTTAAAAAATAGTGTTAAACTTTCAACAGGATAAACCTAATTCTTCTCTCTCTTTCTGTGCTGTTTTAGTCATACATTTTACTTTTATTTCTAATATTACCACTTAAATAATTTTTACTATTTTTTCTTTTTTTTTCTTTATAGAGATGAATTTCTATAAATAAGACAAAACTATATATTTATTGTCTTTTTTTTTGCCATTTTCAGAGATCGTTATTCATTGAATAGAACCAGATTTTGACGTGGTGTCATATTTACTTTATGAAAGGAGGATTATTGAATATTTCTTTAGATCTGCTGACAATATATTCTCACAGCTTTTATTTGTCTGACAGAAAACATTTGTCCCCTTGTTTTCTGCATGTAATATTTTGATGCCTTCAAGGTTTTCTCTTTACCATTGTATTTATCAGTTGGCATAGGCCGTATTATGGTTGTGTTGTTCTTATATGTTTTTGTGTTTTTCTTCTTCGGGGTTCTCTAAAGTTATTGCATTTTATTTTAAAGTCCTTTACTATTTTCGAAAATTCTTAACCATTATCTTTTCCTTTTTTTTCGCTTTTGCACTTCTCTCTCATCATTCAGAGATTTCACTTAAACTTGTGTCTTTCTGTTTGATTTTTTTATATCCTTAGAACGCTATAATTTTTATAAATCTTGTTTTTTGTGTTTTGCTTTTTATATATTTTCCTCACCTTTAATGAATTATTTCTACCAAATTGCCTGTACTTAAGTTCACTGATTATTTCCTCAGCTGTGTTTGCAATTATATAAAAAATTACCTGAGCGGTTCAGTTGAAAGTATAATTCTTTTCTACAACCCAACCTTCCTCATTTGTGATAAAGTTCTACCAGTTTGAAATTTAATTTTGTTAACAGAGAGATAATACAAGTAAACAAGTAACAATAATAGAACAAAGTGATATATAATGTGGTTAACATTTTTTTAGTTGTGAAAATATTTTGAGGTAGTTTTAATATTTAAATAAAATAAAATTCTTATAGTGTTTCAAGTACCTTTAGCTAAAATCCTTAAAGAGCTCTACAGCGAGGATTTTAAATCAAATAATTTGATTTGCATGATAAATGGGTTGCATTTTGGATCATTTATCTAGTGTGAAAATTCATTAACATCATCTCCAAATTGTGTAACCCCAAGATACATAATAAAAATTAAGACAATGTGAGTGGATTCTTAGTTCAATTGTACAACAGGTTTTTTTTTTAATTTTAATTTTTCAGATTAGGGATGTCAGAGGGTTAATATTGGATTTTTTGAAGAGATATTGACCTGGAAGCAGAAACAGGAAACCAAACTGTATTGAGTGCTGAGGAATTTTACATATACCATAGTTCTGAAGAGTTGGTGTTATTTCCTCTTTATGGATGAAAAATCTGAGTCTCAGTGTATTAGTCTGTTCTCACACTGCTTATAAAGTCATATCTGATACTGGGTAGTTTATAAAGGAAAGCAGTTTAATTGACTCACAGTTCCATATAGCTGGGAAGCCTCACAGTCATGGCGTAAGAGCAAGAGACGTCTTACATGACGGCAGGCAAGAGAGTTTGTGTGCACGGAAACTCCCCTTTATAGAACCATCAGATCTCATGAGACTTTTTCACTATAAAGAGAAGAGCACAGGAAAGACCCACTCCCATGATTCCATTTCCTCCCACAAGGTCCCTCTCATGACACGTGGAAATTATGGGAGCTACAATTCAAGATGAGATTGGGTAGGGACACAGCCAAACCGTATCACTCACAGAAGTATATTCAATCGCCTAAAAATCACACAGATACAAAGTGGCAGATTTTACATTCCAAATTAATGTGTCTCTTAGACATAGTAATTGTTTTTACTATTCCACATGAATTTTGAAGTTAGAAAAATCATATTTAGAAGCTACATGTAAATTCCATAAAACTTTTAAGTACCCCCAAATCCATGAAAAAGTCAACTTATGATTAGGTGAATTAATATAAACACATTACTATGTTCACTGCTTGGTCAAAGATCAATCACAGATCATAAACACTTGAGGATTGGAAGATGAGTGATTGATAGAATGTGTTTAGAAAAGTGATTGTCAAGGAGACTTCAGAGTTTTGAGTATCACCTCATCACATTTACTCAAAATAAATATTTATTGCCAACCTATAAGGATTAGTCATAATAATCAATGGATCCAGAGACAAAACAGAACAAAACAAACTCTTGCTTGTAGTTTTGGTCGAGATAACAATTATACTTAGAAAAAACAGTTTTCAAAGTAATTCTGGTATTCTGCACCACAGAAAACTTGAGCGTATGCTCTTCAAAAGTTAAAAATTCTGCAATGAAGACAATATGTCTATGGGGAAAATTTTGGCCTGGAATATGCAGAATATGATGACTACAATGTTCTTTATTACAGTAATCTATTAAGACACCAAAAATTTAGTTTGGGATTAGTTTTAAACATTTTTCCTTAGTGCTTAGTTCAAGCTCCATCCATGTCCCTGCAGATGACATGATCTTGTTAATCTTATGGCCACATAGTATTCCATTGTGTATATGTACCATATTTTACTTATCCAGTCTATCATTGATGGGCATTTAGGTTGATTCCCTATCTTTCCTACATTGAACAGTCCTGCATTGAACATACACGTGCACGTGTCTTTACAACAAAACAAAACTTATATTCCTTTGGGTATATACCCAGTAATGGGATTGCTGGTTCAAATGGTATTTCTGTCTTTAAGTCTTTGAGGAATCGCCACAATGTCTTCTACAATGGCCCAACTAATTTACACTCCCACTAACAGTGTATAAGCATTCCTTTTTATCCATAACCTTTGTATCTGTTATTTTCTTGGGTTTTTAGTAATAACCCCACTCACTGGTGTAAGATGGTGTCTCACTGTGGTTTGATTTGAGTTTCTCTGATGGTCAGAAGGCTGTTAGTCTTAGCAAACTAACACTTGAACAGAAAACCAAATACTGCATATTCTCACTTAGAAGTGACAGGTAAATGATGAGAACCCATGGACATATAGAGGGGAACAACACACACTAGGGCCTGTCAGAGGGTGGAAGGTGACAGGAGGGAGAGGATCAGGGAAAATACCTAATGAATACTAGGCTTAATACATGGGTGATGAAATAATGTGTGCAATGACTCCCAGGAATGACATGTATTTACCTGTGTAACAAAACTGCACATGTACCTCCAAACTTAAAAGTTAAAAAAATACTTAATTCCAAACAAGAGTGACATTTTCAAAGCTTTGTAGAGAAAAATAGAATTAAAGTGTTAAGTGTACCAACAAAATATTAATTCTGGGACCATGGAGATATTTGGATAATTTAACTCCATTATGATTCATACTAAAATAGCTTCTACTATTAGGTACACTTTCTCATTTAAGTACATCAGCCAAAGAGTACTGATTACCAATGTTTTACCTGTAATTTCTCTTCTTAAATGTAGGGGGAATCTATTATCTATCAACCATTGTTGAAATCATTATTAGTTAAATTTGAAGTATTCCTGTAGAGGGTGCTGAAAACAAATCCTGTGTTTCTAATGCTTTCCAAAAAATATTTAGTGTAAAATAGTTTTTAAAAAAACAGAAAAAAGAAAGAAAGGACAATAAAGTGTCATTTAAACAGAGGGAAGCATGATTACAGTTTCTATTTTTGTCATATACCCATGACATATCTCCAGGAAAGAAAATAAAAACCATGCTTTACATCTTGTTAAATGCACACTTGTTCTATATAAATTTTAGCTTGTTAAAATAATAGCTGACAAATATGCACTTCTTATTTTAAACCTTTAAATTACATAAATGTAAATCTACAAAAATGGAGAGATATTTTCATATGTAATTATCATCAGCAATATAGAAAGGATATGATTTTGTTTGATGCCATTTAAATGTGGATATTGTTATGTTGTGAATCCATCATTTTTTATGATAATGAAGAAAAGTGAGTAAAATTATTCAAATTTGAGCATTTTTTCCCGCAATTTGGGAACTACAAATTTATATTCTTCTTAGAACTGCTAATGTTGTTGTAGGCAAGAAAAGTGTTCTACATGATTTAACAAAGGCAGATATTGCATGTAAAATTCAGTGAGTTTAAACAATTTTTTTGGAAAGATTGAAGGAATTTTTGCCAATCATTTGAAAATCAGAGGAATATAGCCAATTCCATTCGTTTCTATGCTCAATTTGGTTAATCTCTGTAAATAAATCTTAACTAATCCCATTTTTCTGTCAAGTCCATAGCCAATGGTTTTTAAGATTCATTGTCTACCATATGTTAGCACAAAAAGTTTTCCAGAAGGAGATTTGAATTTCTAGTTCAGAGTACTCATCTCAACGTATGTCAAAACATCTGCTCTTCCTTGAGGGTAACCAACTCCAATTTTTAAGTGTCTGTATAAGCTCTCAAAATCTCACAGAATATTAATAAAAGCAATATTTCAAATTGTCTCTTCAAAGATGTTCTAGAATAGGTCCTGAAACATGTAGTATATCTTTAGCATGTGTAAAGTACACTGTGGAGAATATGTTAAATCCATCACCCTCTTTAAATGCACCACCTTTTATATATAAAGAGAAATCTTTAGACATAATGAAATCAAACCCATCTATTATTAAAATATCAGATTAATTTAAAAATACAGCTATGTATCTACCTTAAAAATTACCTAAATGCCTATAATTCACCTTTCTGACTTATAAAACCATCTGAGCATATGTAAGTTTATTTTCCATGATTAACTGATGATTGTAGATATACCATCTCTAATAAATAACTTACTTATTATTAATAACTTTTTAGTAAGATTTAAAGTTATTCTGTAGTGAGTAAAAGGGTCATGGAAAAAGTATTGCCAGCACATGAAGTTCACTAAATAAATGTGTTCATGTGCAAAACAAAATAATGTTTTAGACAAACATGTTACAGATTAGCTGTTTCCATGACATTTTTGCATGAATCAGACTTTTAAGTGTTATATTTAAAGGACCATATTAAAGCCACCTTCTCCATGAAGAGGTCTCTCCATACAAAGAGTATTACCTATTACTACTAAGCTCCAAGAGCACTTTCACTTCTCTGATATCAGTTTTTACTCCTTTTTCCAATAAGGGATACACATGCATTTTCTGCCTCCTGTAGGTTGTATCATGTCCTGAGGAATGGAGTATTTTCACTCATCTTTGTGCCTTGTTTAGGGGCTAGCGAATTGCTTTGTTCATTTAAACACTGAATAAATTTTTTTCTTTGAATTAGAGAAATCAGTTTTAAATATTTTAATAAATCTAAGTATTTTAAAAGACTGTATTTCTTTCTTTACATAAACCAACTATTAATGAATGCCCTACTGAACAACCAGATTTCTGGGTAACACAGGAAATGTATTTAATATTCTACTTGCAGTTAATGAAATATATAAATTCTAAACTCCCACTAAACCTACTGAAGACAAATTCTAGTATTATTAATAATTCACGTGGCCGCATTTAGTGACAAGTGTAGGTCAAATAGTTTAGTAGGTTGTGTTTAGTCACATGGAAGAACTGGCAGATGGATACTAGATAATAGCTTTCAATTCCTGCCATATGTTGTACCATATTAATAAATTTTACCTTGATCCTCTTTTGCCTTTTGAAAAAAGTCATAATTATTATTTGGTTTGCTGATATTTTATTTTGTGCTATTCAATTAATGTTAAGTTAAATAAATGTAATTTATTTTTCTTTCTTGTGCTATCCTTAACTGATGTTCTTATTAACATCTATATCTGAAAACAAAATAGGTTGTAGACATTTCTTTTCCCCGCCTCTCACTTTTATTCTGCCCCCCTCCCTTCTTTTTTTCTGTGGGTTTCCTATTTTTTGAAGACATTGTAGAAGACAACTTAAGAATCATCCAGGTTTTGGTACATGAATATTTAAATTGTTTTATCATTATTTATACTAATTAATAAATTCAGAGATTCTATCACCTTATTCAAAAGGCAGCTTATAATTTTAAATAATACCTTAGTGCCATATCTCTGGAACACTGCTTTTTCTTTCTTTACATTCCATCATTCCATCATCTCTCTCTCTCATTGTCATTTCTCTTTTTCTTTTAATACCAAACTAGAATTGTGTCCATTTCCACGTTTTTCAAATTTGACTGCTTATTGGAATCACTTGGGAAGATGCAAAGAATTCTGAGGGCTGGGTTTATCTTTCAGAGATTCTGATTTGATTGCTGTGGAATATGACCTTGACATAAGATGTTTTGAAAAGCTACCCACATGATTCTAATGTGTATAGCATGCTTGAGAAAAAAATGCTGTTTTAATAATATTTTCCAAGAAAAATTCTAGCTTTCTTAATCTTCTTTACGTTTTCCTGATTTTCTCTATATCAATAAATATTATCATATATATTATATCTGTTCATCAAGTTCTTTAGGTTTGTACCATTTTTCTTTTTCTAATTTTATAAATTAAGATGTTTAGATCATTAATTTTTCAGTCTTCTTTTACTCTATCCTTTTAAGATGATGAATTTCTTTCTAAATAATTCTTTAAACTATATTTCATATGTGATGTTTTGTTTTCATTAAATTCTAAATTTTTCCCACTTTTCAATTTGATGCGTTCAGAAATATCTGTATTTGTGTTCAAATCCATAAGTTATGCATGTTTTCCTTTCAAATATAGAAATATTTTCTGGATTTCTCATTATTTGCTTCTAATTATACTACTATTTAGAATTTAGATGATGTTTTTAGTATTTGTTTAGGTATTTCTTCTGGATTAATACAGGAAAAATAGTGATAAATATATAACTGATGAAAGTAATTTATATTAATTCCTTGGTGTAGATTTTGCTTTCTGTTACAAAATAATATTTATTTCTTCTATGTTCTTGCTCTTTTTAATGATAATTTATTATTTTATTACTAATATAATATTGCTCTTTGTGTTTATATGATACATGATTACATCTCAGAGTATTCTCTGAATCAATGATTTCATTATTATACATAAATTATTACATACAATGTATATATTACTTATTTGCTTTTTATATATGCTGTTCATTACTTAATAATATTTAGCCTGACATTAATATTGTTTCATGTGCTTCTGTCTGTAATTAAATTTTTAATCATTTGTGGAAAGCTATTGAAAATGGTTATGTTATTTAAAATAAAACTTTTCTCAATATATGAAAAAAAATTTTCATTGTATTGACTTCTTTTTCATTTTTGAGATATCTGCTCACACATTAATTGCCATTCTTAAAAGTGTTTTTCTTTTTCTGTATATTGGTTTAAGGCATCCTTGTATTCTTTTATTTTCTCCAGTTTCATAAGGTATTAGCATGAATGGCTTCATTTTTATTTCCTTGTATAATTTGTGTTGTGAGTTCATGAAGTCAATCAGTTATAGGAGTCTCAGGTAATTTTTGTCTGAAATATCTTCTATTTTTTCCATTTCCCTTTCTCAATCTTTTTTATGCCTCTTAATATGTGTTTTATATTATTCGTCTCTATTTTCCCTATACTTCATTTTGACTTATTTCCTCAATTCTGTCTTCCAGTACAGTTTTGCTCAGATTTAATAAAGCTTCGTTTATTTCTCCTATGCCTTTTAAATTACTTTGTCTTTATAAGGTATAGTATCATTTTTTTCAAATGTCATTTTGTCCACAATAATTTTTTAAGTAAATTTTGTTTCCATAAAACTAAGCTCTCTTATGGTTTTAAATATGTTTTATATTTAACAAACTAAATATATTCATTAAAACTTACACCTGATTGTAATTTTGTCACTCATACTTACTTGGTGCACATCTACTCTTTTTTCCTTTTGTTTAGATAACTTGAGACATTCAGGGATTGCGATCTTAGCACATTTCCGATTGAATCATTGTAAAGAAAAGTGTATCTGGCACACACCGATTGAATCGAAAGTGTGTCTACTCCATTCAGCCCCCCACCTCCACATCAACTTCTTTTATCCCATAGCACAAAGTTACATTGAGTTTTCTTCTGCCTTTCAGAGATCACAATTTTCATGAAAGTCTTGTCAAAAGATTACATTCATTCTATTACCCTGTGATACAATTTAAATGCAATAAAACTTAGTGATTCCACCATTCCAAAGTACATTACAGGTCACTGTTTTGATAACATCATTCTGCGAAGATGTGGATGGCAGGAATTAATAGATGATTAATATGTTTCTTTACAGGTACATGAATATTAAGATATGTGAGATAAAGCCAAAATGTCAGAACCTATAACCTTAGAGAAGATTATGGAGAGGCATGTTGCTCTACCTTGCAACCTCTAATACAAGGTTAAGGCAGGTAACTTCATGGCTCTCCGAATATGATACATACCCATATCAGATAATTTCATGCTGTTTTGATCCATTTGTTATATAATTCAATAAACAGCAACTTTGTGGCACAAAAGAGGAGATAAATCCAAGAGGAGTCCAGACTAAAATTTCTATCCTTTGGATTTTATGACTTGTATACACAAGGTTTTTGACATTTACTAAGATATACTTGGAGGTTTTACTGAAACTATGTCATGCCTAAATGTAGAAACATAGAAGTGGCTTATGGTCTTGTAGAACAAAGCCATGCCCTACTGGCAGGTTGTAGGGGCAGTTGAGAATACCTCCTCAACTCCTATTGTTTGTGGTGTTCCTAATGACAGTTAATTGGAGTAGGGTTACTCTGCATAAATTATCAACAACTGGAAATTGACTGTTTTCCTAAAGTAAGCTAGATCTACTCCTGGATATATCTGAAAGACAGTGGAGAGGGAAATCCTTTCAGTGGAGAAAATTAGGTGCCATAATTCATTGCCCATTTCTTATTGAAGGAAAAATGCTCTGAAATAAATTCAACATAAATTTAGAGTCATTGTCAAATAGATTATTTTTATGTTTAAGGTTTTTGGAATAAGCAAGATTAGTGGATTAATGTCCAGAATTTTTAGAGAAGTAGAGAAAAAATTCACAGAGATTAAACGTTTAAAATATGAGTATTTCAATATACTTTGTAAATGCTCAGTAAATGTTGCTGAATGTAGGGGACTCTTTCAATTATCTGTTGGAGAAGAAGATTGCCGTCTCCAGCTGTCTCCATAATAAACAATAGATTCATGAACATTTTGACCAAGGTAGATGAAATGGAGACTATGCATCAGTTCTACAACAGTCCTATCATTTCACCTATGCTGTTCTGTGTAATAGCACCACAATGTAGGAAATTTTCCTGAAGTCATCAACTTTGAGTTCATAAACTCTACAATGGTTATTATATGGACGTTGAGGAGTTTTATGGTATAGTAAGTGTCCCTTTTAATTAGATTAAATCACTTATTTACTCATTATGGGATATTCCTTCCATATAGACATTTTCTCTAATGGCATGTTGATACTACATATAGGATTTGGCAATGACTGTGGATGAGTAGCCTCCATATGTCACTACCCATTTTCCAAACAAAGATCTCCAGACTTCATAGAAATTCATGTTCTTTCAATAAATCATATTTCTACATAAGATGATTTTTTTTTTTTTTTTTTAGATGGAGTCTTGCTCTGTTACCCAGGCTGGTAACAGAGTGCAGTGGCACGACCTCGGCTCACTCCAAGCTCCGCCTCTCGGGATCACGCCATTCTCCTGCCTCAGCCTCTCGAGTAGCTGGGACTACAGGCGCCTGCCACAATACCCGGATAATTTTTTGTATTTTTGGTAGAGACGGGGTTTCACTGTGTTAGCCAGGATGGTCTCGATCTCCTGACCTCGTGATCCTCCCACCTTGGCCTCCCAAAGTGCTGGGATTACAGGCGTGAGCCACCGCGCCCGGCCAAGATGATCAATTTTATTCTCCATAGCTTTCAATTAAAAACTGCTACAGATACAATTTATTTTGTCTTATCTGGTTGACTATATCTAGATCATTTACTCTATTGGACCCTTCAGTTCAGAGTCATTTATTATGTGACTTTCATTCATCATTTTTAGGTTCTTGCTATTAATACTTATTAAACATCAGAACTATTCTCGACAGTGTGCAACATTCATGGTAATCAAAAATTTATTTAATGCACCAAAACCACTTAAAATTTGTTTTCATAAACTATTTTGTAAAAAATAATTGAAATACTATATATGAGAGAATTTACAATTGAATTATAATTATGAATATTTGACCACCTACTTTGGTACCATTCATAAATAATAAATTTGATACAGTAAAATGAACATTGACTATGATTCACTTAATGCTGTTTTTATACATGGGTGCCAGAATATTCATGGATTTACGTGAAGCTTTTTTAATGACTAAGATATCCCACTGTATCTTCAATTCACTTATTTTGTATAAAGAGTTATGCTATTCTATATCACAGATAATGTAGGTTTTTATTTTCAACCTAGATTTTCTAAGGATTAAAAGGTATAGGCAAGCACAGAAAAGATCCATTTATTCAATAGATATTATTAATCACTTAGAATGTTCCCAGCAGTAGCAGATTTAATGTGAAACCAATAGAACTTCAGCTTCAGATTCTATCACTTTATGTAATAAGGAATTTAACTTTGCCCAAAGAGAGGTCTAGTCTTTGTCCTTGGCTCCTGGGAGGCAATCTCTAAGCCTTTGTAATATCTGCCTGTTAAAAGTATCTTTAAACTGAGAGTCTTCGGCCAAGACAGAGAGTCTAACAATGTGACTTGTGATTCTTTGGGTCACCTGGGATTAAATCAATCTGGGGAAGAGCTGGAGACTTGGGACAGCCATGTGGAGAGTCAGGCACTTCTATATGACAGAGCTCCACTAATGAATCTGGAACCAAGCCTCAGGTAACCTCCACTGGTTGGCCTGAACATTGTCACATGTTGTTGCCAGGAAAGTTACTGCTGTGTACCACTCCACAGGGAGAGAACAACTGGAAGCTCCAAATATAGAGCTTTCCTGAACTCTGCCCCAGCTGTTTCTTCCCTTCACAGATTTTAGTGTGTGTACTCTCATTGTAAAAAACTATAACTGTGAGTATAACAGCTTTCAGTGAGTTTTGTGAGTCTTTCTACTGAATTACTGAAACTAAGGGTTTTCTTGAAGACCCATACACTTCTTATTGGATTCACAAGTGATGGTAGCCTTTGGGACCAACAAACTGCACTTGTCAGAAGTGAAGGTGGTCTTGTGGGGACTGTTTCCTAATTTTGCACACTCACACAGAGCTCATCCTACTGGAGGGGCCTTAGCAAAATGTTCATATGCTTACAGGTTTTTGTACAATCTATAAAAATAATATATTTTTACTAAAATTGATTAAAACTTCTTTATTTTCTAAATCACCTTCACCTCTATGGTGCTCTTTATAGAAATGTCCTTAGGAAAGTTTGGAGTCAGTTCAGGTAAATTTGAATGTCAGGATGTCTATCTCTCTACACACACACACACTCTCACACACACACACACTTTATACATATACCTCTGTATATTTATCCATAAATGTACATATGTATTTACTATGTTTTAATATATTTTGTAGTATTTCTATGAAAACCTTTCTATGCTAAACCTCCTGGGCTTAAATCTCTCTCATAATACCTCATAACACCTAGTGTGTTGTTTCATTTGGTGTTATTTTATTTGTGTGTAGCATCAAAGGTTGTAGCACAGTATACATGTGCTGTATGGTACTTAGCACTGGAAATATGGGGAATATATATATATATATATATATATATATATATGTATATGCCATATGGTATTTATATATGGTACCATATGGTACACACATATATATATGCCGTATGGTACTTAGCACTGGAAATACGGAAATGATAGAGAAAAAACTTGATACAAAGTGTTTGGTTATGAGAAAGCGGTATGTGGAAAATTCTCCCAATCTTCAGTCTTTTTTTGTTTGTTTGTTTGAGACGGAGTCTGGCTCTGTTCCCCAGGCTGGAGCGCAGTGGTGCAATCTCGGCTAACCACAGCCTCCGCCTCCTGGGTTCAAACGATTCTCCTGTCTCAGCCTCCTGAATAGCTGGGACTACAGGTGCATACCACCATGTCCAGCTAATTTTTGTATTTTTAGTAGAGACGAGGTTTCACCATGTTGGCCAGGCTGGTCTCGAATTCCTGACCTTGTGATCAACCTGCCTCGGCCTCCCAAAGTGTTGGTATTACAGGTGTGAGCCACAGCACCTGGCCATATTCACTTCTAATCAATGTTTAGCCAGAATTGAAACCAAAACAGAAAAATCTAAATTATGCAGTGTATATAATTATAAATATAAATAGTATATATTTTGTTCTTTTTTGCTAGGAAATTAAAAAAAAAACTTTATCAGAATTCCTGTGTGTTTAAGGCACAGAACTTTTAGAGAAAATACACTGACTTTATCTGTAACAGCTGAAAATTAAAAAGCAAAAATAAGTTGATATAAATTTTTCTAATTTTAGCAATAATATTGAAAACTTACATGACATCAACAAAAACTATTTGTGAAAGTCAACAAATTATTATTCATGTGACTAATAAAAATATATAATGGACATATAGAAGACTGACAATATTGTCTGTATAGAAATTGTCTTACAAAAGCATTTTTATAGGAAAGACAATCAAACAATAATTAGCAAAAAAATGAAGGATATATATTAAATATGTATTTCAAGAAGATGAAAGATTAAAGTTGTTTTTGCTTGTGGTAATAATTTCAATATTTGCCAAATTTAAAATTTATTGTGAGTTTTTGTTCTAATTGGAAACAAATACACGCTTTAGAACTTAATTTTTTATGCACAATAATGTATTCTTAAATAAGGCATCTCTACTGATGGAAGATCTAGTCTTGACAAAATTTGGGCCCATTCTAGACATTCACTCTATTCTCTCCTACTTATACTGACCGTGACATGAAGCTCTTAAGGTGCTAATGATCTAATATTAGGTATAACTCTTAACATACACTACTAGAATGTAGTAATTTTGTTGATAGCAATTACCTATTACTCTAACTATGAAGATACATCTCTCATACAGGGATGAGGATTTGCTGTACTGGCATATAACAGCTGCCTAATAAATATATGGTGAATTAGCCAAGGTTAGCAGTTCTTTTGCTGATTTCTTTCACACAGTTCTCTGTGAATGTAATTATAAGAATGCAATAGCTTCCAGTAAAAAATGTTGAGGCAAATAATGGTAAAAATTCTTCAAAATCTAACTATATGCGGGACTAACTTCGAATTTATGTTCTCTGGATTTTAATACTAGACCCTGTGCATACTTCCCGTGAAATTCTGGGTAAGTTATTTAATCATTGTACTTAATATGTAAAACTGGGATAATAAAAGCACCTAGTCTGTGGGGTGATTTTCAGCTTTAAATGAAGCAATGAATGTGACAATTTACATTCACATAGCTAAATAACTTGCTGACATTTTATGCTTCCCTCATATAATTAGGCTGATGCTGTCTTCCTGTTCTGCAGTATTTTTGATAGTTCATTTTTTTCTTTCTATTGATATTCAATGTATGGAGATGTATCAAAATTCAAGCTTTTCTAAAAATGTATCCTATTGTTAATACACTTGTTATTCTTTCTGAATATTGAAGTTGTGACCACGTAAGGTCTATCAAAAGGGTTGAATTGTTGTATAATTATTAGCCTAATTCCTGTGCTAAGTGGCTTTCTGGTAGAATATCTCTAACGGACTGAGGAATGACAGTTTCTTATCCTGGCTCATTTTCTGTTTCTCTTTCTGAGCAGATAGAAAACAATCCTTGACAATTATTTTATGAGTCTTAACAACAAACTTTTCTAAAATCCTGAAGCTCAAGAATACATTCCATTCTGTTCTCTGCCATTCATGTCTCTTTTCAGTTGATTGCTGAAAGCTACCCTCTTCTGCTAGAAAGAGAAAAGATAGCAATGTGGCAGATGTAGGGTGGGTTTGCAGTGAGGAGTAGGAAAAAAGGAATCACCATCCTAAGAATGTTGATTTGTGCATGGAGGTACAAATCCCCAGGTTTCTGGTTTGCAAAACTTTTGCATTTCTAGACAAGTAGAAAAATAATGAAGAAAGGACCATCCTGGGGCTTCTTATTTTAACAATGCCACTCTGTCCCTGAGTATAGTGCAAATGTTTTGTTTTTACTGGTGGTATAAACTGCCACCAGAGTCTAAGAAAAAATGCCTTATATGAAATCATGCAACCCTGAGTTATTATTTCTTAAATTTCAGACCCATGTATAAAAACTGAAGTTTTGAACCTCTTCCTTAGCAGCTATACAAGCTAGAATTTTGGGATACAGTTATATACTCTATGGACCACTACATAAAGAAGTTTTTCCATGTGATATGTAGAAATAGGGAGTCAAGTCACGGGAAAGGGAAGTAAAAGAACTCATACTCACAACACACCAATTGTGTTTCAGACACTGTTGTAAATTATTTGTGCAAATTTTTCATTAAATCTTTGTTGTGTTCTGAGGAAAGTATTATTATCTCAAATCTTAATTTAAGGAAGCCAAATAAATTGGTCCAAATTACATAGCTGTAAAGAATGCCTGGAACTAAGTAGCTATTGTGCACAAAGTAGAAATCTAAGTTAAATTAAATCTAAGCAAGAAAATGCATAATAAGGCCAAAAAGGTCTTAAAATAATGCAATATAAGTTGTAGCTTTAGTAGGAAGGAATCTTTAGATAGCTCAGAATAGTGTAGAAGTGTAAACATTTACCATAAATGCTGCCTGCAAAAAATTCATTTCCTTAACTGTAAACTCTATTGCCTGTACTTCTCATAAATTATATAATCTTTTCAAAGAATGTCATATTCAATTACTACATTTCTAATCAGAGTGTGAAAATGCCTTGGAGATTACAATAATTTTAAAACCAATAATTTTATCATTAATAATATAACATTAATTTAACAATAATATAATTATTATTGATTTAAACTGGGAACTTTATTAAATACTTTGAATGTTACTCTTTATCTTAGCATCATGTGATTACTCTCTTTACCGGATCCTTTTAATAATTTCTTTAGTGGAGTCAGATAGCGGTGTATTCTCTTGGAATACACCAAGAGAATTGGTGTATTTTTTCTGAAAACATTTGATTTTGCCTTGGTTTTGCAGGATATCTTCCTTGACTGTATAACTTCAATGATCATTTCTTTGATGTCCACACTTTCTCGATAGTCTTCCATTTTCTTCTGATTTCTGTCAAAGTCATCTAGCCAAAGACTACCAGGAATACACCCATAGATGATGAAAATTGGATTTACTATTTGTTTCAATGAAGAAGAACATGCACCATGAGGAACTGTGAGGCTTTGTAGTCAGAGGGCGTTAGACAAAACTTAAAGCATTTAGACTTGTGTAAAGTGGCTTTGTGGAGGAAGTAGTCTTCTACTCTGGCTTGCAACTGTGAAAAAGCCAGGGTAAATCTGTGAATAAGCACCTTAATAAATGTCGGCTAGAAGGTGAGAGGAGTGAACCAGGCTAAAGTTGCAATTACTAATGAAAAAGCATATACAATACAATACAATACAGTAATATTTAAAATAAGATATAACTATATGCAACATTGCAAAAGCACATAGTAATACGCAGCAATGATTATCAGAATTTTTTTTCCAAAAGTAAGCAATCTTTTCAAAGTTATTTGATAGCACGCCAAAAAACGTGGAGAGTTAACAGAAGAATTCTATGTCAAAAGGAACCGCTCCTAATCTGGGAATAAAATAATTTTATAAATTACTTAAATTTAAAATAATTTTAAAATCAAAATAGAGAAAAATTTTAATTTCACTCCTTTCCTACTTTATGCATATATCAACATAAAATTATTTGTTATTATACTTTCATATGTATGCGTTTAGACATACACAAACATAAGAGTATTCAAATAGGTAATTAGAAAATTTTAATTATAGCTTTAACATATATGAAACAATGTATATTTCATATTAAATTTACTGTTTGAAGGAACTATAATACTTTCAAATATAATTTTACACCTATTACCCTATAAACAATGTATGTATTAGTGTTTCTCTTTAATTATTATACCTAGTATAACAAGCCATCTTTATTAATTTTCACCACTAACCAAATAACCTTTTTTCCTGCAGAACAAAGATAAAACTTGTGAATATCAATAATTATTTAATTATTTTCTTTGTTCATGGGCAAATGTGTATGAGTATACAGGGTTGGATGTATATAATTACCCAAAGACACTAAAAGGGTAAATAAAAATCTAAAAAAAAAAATTAATTAATGTCCTTGGCTCTAGAAGGAGCGACTTTCCCCTACCTCCTTTTCTTTAAAATATTTCTTTTAGATACGTTTTTATTTTTTTTCTCTGACCTTTTGAGATCTAAGTGAACTTTTTAAAAAGCAAAATAAGCTTCTTGTCAGTTTACAGCACAGGAATCTTTTTCTCAGGGGCCTAAGAGTCTTCCTATTGAATTGCAATAAAGGAATATAGAACTTTTGTATCTCACTTTCCATGGGAGATGAGGCGCCTAATTTCAGCTATCATCCAACTTCAAGTTGCAAACCTATCTCCTCTCATGAGGTTATCAGAACTTTCGTTTTCCCTTTTTTTTTTTTTTTTTTTTTTTTTTTTTTTTTTTTTTTTGCGACAGTCTCTCTGTAGCCCAGGCTGCTGGAGTGCAGTGGTATGATCTTGGCTCATCACAACCTCTGCCTCGCGGGCTTAGGTGGTACTCCCACCTCAGCCTCCTGAGTAGCTGAGGCTGAGTAGCACAGGCATGCACCACCACACCCGGCTTATTATCTTTTGATTTTTGATTTTTTAATTTTTGTTAAGACCGGGTTTCGCCATGTTGCCCAGGCTGGTCTCCAACTCCAATTCAAGTGATCCACCTGCCTTGGCCTCCCAAAGTGCTGGGATTACAGGCGTGAGCCAATGCAGCTGGCCTCATTTTCCTTTGATAAAGGCAATTAGCAAACACACGTAGCTATTCCAATTTCCAGGTGTATTTAGGATGAAATATTTCTGACAAATTGTGTTATTAAGTCCTGTTCCTTGAGCACTAGTTGTTATTTATATTGAGAACATGTATGAAGTAAGAATAAATTGTATATATTTTGCTATATAAAATGGCAAGTTTTTGTCGTTATCGTTCTTTACAATCTCTTTAGCAAATTGCCTGTGATGCACTTCAAATTCTAGTTTAAAGCTTATTCACGAAATGTTTTCTTTCTTTTCCACTTCTGTGGAGAGGTTTTCTGGGCTGAGAGGAGAATCTTTTTAAAATTATATTTCCTCAAAACGTCTGACGATGAAGACAGGAGGTCGGATAGTTTCTGAATTGAGTGAACCTCTTTAGACACAGCAGTCAGGTAGGAGACCCTGAATTACACAGCATCTCCCTTCTAGCTTGTCACTCTTTTGCAATACTGAGCAGAAGAACCACCCTCCCCAAATGCAGGATTTTTACAATCAAATAAGCATAGGTAATTGAGGTTCTAAAATTTTATCAGGATGACTGTTGGCTTTGATGGAAAAATGTGGGAAGACAGCAATATTGGTGGTAGATCTTTCTCAAAAAAAGCTAATATTAGTCTGTCACATTGGAATGGGTATATGAAAATCCACTCTTGCAGTGGTCAAAGATGGTTCTTTTGATTTGGATTAATTAGCATATTCTCTAGGTTTCTTAATCAGGATTAATTCAAATCAAATGAATTACTAGTATTTATGGGATAAGTATCATTCTAAGAAGAAAAGAATGAAAATGATGTGTACAGCCAGAAGGAAGGAAAGATTTTTGAAAATGAAAGAAGAAATGCAAGAATTAAAGGTAGCTTCTCTCTCACTGAACCATTCTTCTTTCTGTCCCTACTCCCTTTGCTTCCCCTGCATCTCTTGGCTCAAAACGACTCCTGAGAAGGAGAAGGTGATGCTTTTAGATGTACAGGACGCTTCATTAGTGTATTTCTCTGCAAAGAGGAATGAGAGCACAACATTGTTAGCTGGTAAAGAGGATACAGGAATTGCTGGAACAAGGGAATCTGAAAACCCAGAAGGCTAAGGAGCAATTGTAAAATGGTTTAAAATGAACAAACTAAGGGAATTTTGGAAGTGGAAACCGGTGATACTTGTGCTACTTACTCTGAAATTTCCTTGGTAATTTTGCACTTTTCATGTCATGATAGAGAAATACAGGATATTGGCATTTTGGGTCAGCCTTTTTATTTTTATCCTACCTAATATGTCTCCTCTGCAGATTCCATAAAGATCAGTTCTTTGACTGAGAAACATGTTTTCTTACTTCATTTAGATTCTCCTTTAAACTCATTGAAGTGAGAACTGCTGGGCAATTTAAAGTTACCGTATTCTATACTCCAAAGGGAGTGTCTATGGAACTCTTTCAGAAAAAAAATCACCTAATTTGGTTACTATATAATAAGAGGCATCTTACTAAGTTGCATTGCGCCTTATGGAAGAAAATAGGCAGGATAGGGAATGGAAGTTTACACCATACTGAAAAGGCACACCTGGCTGAAATAACCTGTGTTGGTTTTACCCTACAGAATAATGATACTGGTTTAGTCCAAGATACAGAACCAATAAAAATAGCTTATCAAAAGTAGTAGCCGTGGCCATTTGTTAAACAATATCCTTTGAAAAGATCTCAATTAGAAGAAACAAAGCCAATTCTAATAAGAAAACCAAGAATTTTTTAAAGTGCACTCACACTGTAATACTCTCATATATCCAGTAAAGTTAAAATTAATAAGGATGTTTGATCACTATGTAGATTCACAGATCATAGAAAAATAAATTTGTTGTTCTATTAACTCCTGTATCTCTTAATCCTGCAAATATTCTGAACTCTTGCTTTCCTTGTGGTCTGCAAAGTTTTGCTTTATAAAACTATTTTTCCTTGCCCTCCCTGTCTCCGTCCTTCCCTCCCTCCCTCCCTCCCTTTCTTCCTTCCTTCCTTCTTTGCCTACCTGTCTCTAGCAGATGAATCTAAATTTCCAAATTTTTATTTGCATTAATTATGAAGGAGTGTTCTGTTTGTGGCAAGGGATTGCTCAAAAGTTTTAGGATTCCCAAACTATTTTCTTCAGTGATTTACTGGAAAACATAAAGAAGTTGGTTTTACTAGAGTGATTTATAATAATTCCATATATAAATTACTTTCTGGTAGCCTCAGAGACTGAAGTCCACTTTGGGTTTATTTCAATTCCTTGCTTTGCAGGGTAATAAGGCTTCACTAGACAAAATGCAATTGCCAAACTGAAGTAAAATATTTAGATGTCTGTTTTCAGCTGAAGACCCAATACGTTACACATAGGGGTAAGCTGCTTTTGCCAATAAAATGGTCTATTACAAAACTAACAAACACATTAAAAAAAGCCCAAAACAACAACAACGAACATCAATAATTTGGGAGACCAGTAGATTATTGCATATAGTGAAGTCCAGCTTTTGCTGGACATCAGAAAAATCCTCTGATGGGGAAAATGCATGAGAATTCTTCAGATCCTCTCATTTGATCATTAGAATCTGAAAAGGATTTGAAGAAATAAAACTGGTAATAGCTTTTCCCTCAGCGTTGAGGATTTTACATTTTGAAAAACCTTTTTAGCTTCTTTTGTCATGAAAATAAAGGGCTGGTAGTGGAATATTAACTCAGAAGCTGGAATTAGGCTATGGACAAAAAGCATATTTGTTATTTATTCCAGGTGCTCTGGCACAGGGAATGCCTGGAGGCCTCTAAGCTGTGGCAGCAGCCGCCACACTTACTGAAAGGCTCAAGCTCTTACTTTGGGTCACTTTATTTGTTTCCATGACCCACTTGCTGCAAGCGCTATTTTGCAAGTGCATGAAACCCAGCATTCTTCAGTTACCCATCAGATTGGCTTTTAACAGCATTATCCATTCCTAATATTGTGTCTGAGAAATGTGAAGGCCTAAACACTGCTCTTCTCTTACCCGATCCTGATCGAATAGATGATAATGATTGCACAATGGTAATAGAAGAAGTCACTAGGACCCAGGTTAATTTATCTGACTTTCCAGTTCAAAATCCTGATTTAATAATAATTACCGATGGGTCACATGTCAGGATAAAAATGGCTAAATTAAATTGTCTTATGATGTAGAGACATCTCATCAAATTTTGAAAACTTGTGTTTTCTCTAGAATTAAATAGCAAAAGTTGCTGAGTTAATAGCAATTACTAGAATTGGAAATTTTGGTCCTGAACTTAAAGTAAATAGGTTAAATAGATGGATAGATAGATAATAGATAGCTAGCTAGCTGGATAGATAGATAATAGATAGCTAGCTAGCTAGCTAGATAGACAGAAAATACATATGTGTTTGGTGTCTCACACAAAAAGGCAAATTTGGAAAAATGTGGGAGTTTTTTTACTTTGTTGGGTACTAAAACATTTCATTGAAAATTGATAGCTGATTCATTAGAGGCTTTACAACTGTCTATTCAAATACTAACAATTCATGTAGAACTCACACAGGACAGAATGGCAAAATTTCTACCAGCAATGATTTTGCTGACAGAGCTGCAAAGGTTGATGTTGGAATATAGCAGATTCCAATCTTGGGTATCCATTTTTAATACATCGGGAAACTTTTCTTTATATTTGTAAAGTATGCTTCACAAGAGGAAATGGGCAAATAAATTGTTAAAGGGGCTAAAATAAACTTTACTTAAAAAATAATTCCTGTATCATATTTCCTAAAGCTTATTGTATAAATGTACATTTCCATACATGTAAAAAAGAAGCAGAAGTTAATATATGTTTTACAGGTAGATATTTTTGACTGTTTATCTGAAGTAGACATTGCTAGAGTGTGCACATACAATGACTAAATTATTATTTAATTTTTATAAAGAAAACTTTATTTAGAAATACAGTATCATTACTTAAGAGTTGTTAAGTTCCTCCAACTTAGACCAGAAACCAGAATTAGTTGATTTTTAAAACAATCGCATTGTTGTTACATGGAGTGGAAAAAGAATTATTAATTGGGAGTCTATGAACAGGCTAAAAATATATCTGCCACAGTGAACATCAATAATCAGTTTACAATTAAAGGGCAATTTAAAACCCAAGCAGAGAATGCTAGTGAATAACTTAAATATTGAACAAAATCCAGAATTATAAAAAGAAGCTATAAAAATACAAAGCATTTAGACATTGTGTCTCGTGATTTGACTTTGTTGATTAACATGTAGGAAGCAATGGCAACAGTCGTTAATATTTTTTCATCATTCCATTTTCTGCACGCAAAATTTTTTTTATTTTATTTTATTATTATTATACTTTAAGTTTTAGGGTACATGTGCATAATGTGCAGGTTAGTTACATATGTATACATGTGCCATGCTGGTGTGCTGCACCCATTAACTTGTCATTTAGCATTAGGTATATCTCCCAATGCTATGACTAAATTGTTTTTTGATCATTAAATCTTTGACATTTTTTAACAGATGGAAAGAGAGAGGTCGAGGATCATTTCAAAAAGAGAGAACCAGCTGTATGCAGCCAAATATAAAATTTTCATTATAAAAGGTTAGTTACATTCCCTCTGCAAGGAAAGAGAAAAAAACTTAGATGTGAAATAAACAGATGTTGACATATATACAAGGTAGCTATTTAGAAAATAACCTGGGTCCTTGAAAATTTTATCAAGCTGTATGATTTAAAGGTCATAATTTATTAAGTTCTGATGTTTGGAAACAAAGGAGGGAACATTTCCTACAAATGATTTTTTAGATATAAACATAAATGATCTTTTCAAGAGAATTTCTTCATTTTTCCCCAAGTTATTTCTCAAACATACTTCAAAACTAACCCCCTGTTGATGACTAAATATCATTCTTATTGAAATTATATCATTTAGATAAATAAGCATACAATTTAGCATTTTAGTGAGAAAACATGAAGGGAGCAAGTGACTGGCCTCAAAGAAGCACAATATTAAAACCCCATGAAGACTAAAGTTTCGCAGAGATAGTGCTTTTCCAAGTTGACGTTTCTGGATTTTGATCAATGGTCAATTGTCATTAATCAAGGGTTGGATACATTCCCTTAATTCTGAGATGAAACTGAACTAAGCATTTGATTGGACACAAAGGCATGGCTTACGGTAAATGTCGTCAAAAACAGGTTTGAAATTGCCATCTGTGCCAAAATTTGTCCAATGATAGCCAGTCCAATGCATACAAAATTAATGTTTGTTGCTGGTATGTATCTAAGCTAGGGGCATTTGTAATCTCAGAACATTATAAAACAGATCAGCAATCTTTTATGTGAAGAGTGAGAGAGTAAACATTTTAGGATTTGTGGGCAAAGAGACAATTCCTGAACTATGTAAGCAAATGTTTTTGCCAAAAATCTAATACTCGTTTTTAAAATTTTGAAAATATAGGAAAAGAACTTTATGGCATTGGTCTGGGCAAGGGCTTCTTTGGATAAGACTTCAAATACACAGGTAACAGAAGCAAAAATAGACACATGGGACTATGTCAAACCAAAAAACCTTCTACACAGCAAAGGAAACAATCAACAGAGTAAAGAGATAATCGGCAGAACAGGAGAAAATATTCAAAAACTATGCATCTGAAAAGGAGCCAATATTCAGAAGTCAGTAACAACAACAAAAAAGACAAGAAAGCAAATGATCTAATTAAAAATGGGTAAAATATCTGTAAATCTTATTTTTTATTAAAATAAGACATACAAACAACCAACAGGTATCTGAAAATATGATCAACATCACTGATCATGAAGGAAATGTGAATCAAAACCGCAGTGTTATATCATCTTACTCCAGTTAAAATGGCTGTTATGAAAAATACACAAAAATAATGAATGCTGGTGAGGATGTGGAGAAAAAGAAATTCTTATACGCTTTTGATGGGAATGTAAACTAGTACAGCCATGATGGACAAAAAAAGGAGATTCCTCAAAAAATAAAATTATAACCACTATATGATTCAGCAGTCCCACAACTAGGTATGTATACACAGAAAATTTATCAATATGTCAAAGAGATATCTGCATCCCCATGTTGAATGCAGCACTATTCCCAATTACCCAAGATGTGAAATCAACATCCATCAGTGGATGAAAGAATTTTATTTTATTCTTATTTATTTATTTATTTTTATTTTTATTTTTTTGAGGCAGTGTCTCACTCTGTCACCCATACTGAGTGCAGTGATATGATGCCAGATCACTGCAACCTCTGTCTCCTGGGTTCAAGCGATCTCTGCCTCAGCCTCCCAAGTAGCTGGGATTACAGGCATGTGCCACCATGCTTGGCTAATTTTGTTTTGCAGGTGGGGGGGATGTTTTTTCTTGAACTCCTGGCCTCACATGATCAGCACATCTCTGCCTCCCAAAGTAATGAGATTACAGGTGTGAGCTGACACTAAATTTTATAAGTGATATGTATACACAATGGAATACTATCCAACCAATAAAAAGGCATAAAATTCTATCCAGGCACGGTGGTTGAGGCCTATAATCTCAGCATTTTGGGAGGCCAAGGTGGCCGAATAACCTGAAGTCAGGAGTTTGAGACTACCCTGGCCAACATGGCCCAAACCCTGTCTCTACCAAAAATACAAAAATTAACTGGGTGTAGTGGTGGGCACCTCTAATTAAGACTACTCGGGGAGGCTGAGGCAGGCAGGAGAATCACTTGAACTCAGGAGGAGGAGATTGTAGTGACTGAGCCAGGATCTTACCACTGCACTCGAGCGTGGGCAACAGAGTGAGATACAGTCAAAAAAAAAAAAATGAAATTCTGTCATTTGTAACAACAGGGATGAACCTAGAGGAAGTTGTACCGAGTGAAATAAGCCAAGTAAAAAAAAAATAAATAAACAAATACCACATGATCTCACTAATCCATGAAATCTAAAAAAAGTTCGTCTCATAGAAGTAGAGAACAGTGGTTGCTAGAGACTAGGGAGAGTACGGTGTAACAGGGATGGGGAGAGGTTGGTTAATGGGTACAAAGTTATAGTTAGACGGGAGGATTAAGTTCTGATGTTCTATTACGAAGTCGAGTGACTATACCTAACCATAAAGTATGTGTCAGAATAGCTAGAAGAGTCTTGAATATTCTCATCACAAAGAAATGACAAGTGTTTGAAGTGATGGATATGCTAGTAATTGTGACTGAATAATTACACAATGTGTACCTGTATAGGAATATCACACTGTACCCCATACACATGTATACATATATATAACTGTATCTCAATTAAAAACAAAATGAAATGTGAAAAGATAAAATATAAAGTTTTTACAAAAAAATTAAAAATAAATAAAAATCAAAAAATCATTTTTATCTTACCACCACAAATGTGGTGGGCCCAATTTGATTAACGGATCATAGTTTTGTAGACTTCTGCCTTAGAGGCAAAAATCAAGAAGCTTCTAAACTGGGCTTTATACTTTTGAGGGTTGACCTTTTTCTGTATCACCCTCATAGAATAGAGCTTTGAGGTTTTATACTAAAAAATAAATTGGTTAAAAGGTACTTCTCTTTGGTATGCTCTGATTCCCTTTTTTTCCTCTTCCAATTTTTTTTTTTGAGTCTACTACTAACGTATTTGTCCAACTATTGGATTTCCTATAAACTAGTTTAAGATTTAGTCATTGTCTTCAGGGAACAGGCCAAACCACAGGGCATTCCACATTTTCTAGCCTTTCTTACTCTTCTTCAATCTTGACAAGGCAAATCCTCATTTCATTGTCACCAATCTGATGCAATCAAATGGTTCGTCAGTTTTAATATTTAGTCTGATTTCCGAATTGTTACCCAAGAGACAATAAACAATTGTTATCCAAGAGACAGTAAAAAAAATCTTTCCTGCCATATATTGAAGTGTAATTAGCAGCTATATCTATTTTTAGGAGAAAAATAATTGTCACACAAATCCATTATTCTAATAGAATTTTATTGACTCATCTCATTTCAAGATTTCATCAAATATCTTTAGAGAAATTTGAATATTTTTACACCTAAGATTAAGAAAACATTAGATAGGCAACCCATACTTACTCTGAACTTCCAGCACCCTTCACAATTAGAATACCTATTTCTTTTCCTAAATATTAAGAACAGACATATTTCCATGCTCTTTGTCCACAAAAATATGCACACACTTATATACATAAAAGCACATAAAAATACATGAAATACGTCATCTTAAGAAACGTGTCAATGCATATTTACTAACCATTATATGTTAGGCTATTTGGCATGCCCTTAAAATAGTATGATCAATCATATTTACTAACCATTATATGTTAGGCTATTTGGCATGCCCTTAAAATAGTATGATCAATCAATTGGTAAGAATTTTCTAAAATTTATCGTATTTGGAACCCATGTAACTGAGTTATTCTTACAATACCTAGTCCTCAGTTTTTACTCAACTATATATTGTATTGTAATAAATGTTTGTATTTTATGTTTTTCACATAATCTCTAGTATGTTGCTGTAGATTATAAACTAAAAATTTTACCATTGTCTCCCAGGACACAGAGGCATATATTAATGTTTTAATATATATCTCTACTAAACAGCCTCGATTTAATGACTCACTCTGCCTATGAATTTGACAGACATTTACAACAAAGCATTGACAGAAATTGATAGGTAAGATTAATAATCAATTATTTTACTTAAACTACGGTTATAGACCATTATATCATTTAATTCTCAAAATTGATTGCTATATTAGTTAAGATGGTATATATTTGTGTTTTTAGGACTCCTTATCTAAATTAAGGCAGAGAAGTTACAGTATTTATATCTGCATTAAATCTCAATTCCAGAAAAACCTTTTGAAAAATTATTTAATCCTCTGGAAACTATTGATATGATACAGGAGAAATTTTCAGAAGTTTATTGAATAATTTAATATCATTTAATAGGACACTCTGGCTTGTATATAAGCAGATACGTTACTCAGACTTCTTGGCTGTACTCTAAAATAATATATGTACTAGTCTCCTAAATATTACTAGCTCACCTTTCAAAATGCATACTAATATTTCAATGTCTTTCTTCAATTTGAAAAGCTCTTGAATATCTACTTGTGATAGCCCTAAGAGCTGAGATAATTATTTCCAGGAGGTTGAATCCCTGATTCTTAACTGTTCAGCAATGCATAAGCAAGAGAGAATATGACATAAGAGGACCATTTCTACATTAGCCATTTTTTTTCACAAGATACCTATGTGAATACAGGGCACCTGGGAGGGTAAGTGGAGGACTATTTCTAACTATATTTATAAGCACATACTGATATTGTTGAATCAAAACCTACAGCAGTGCTTCTCAGATGGGAAGGGAGACAATGTGTAAGGAGATCAGGAATATCATTAGTCACCTTTCAGATGTTTTAATGCATACAGCTGTAACTGAAAGGTTATCAACATCCAGATAGGAAAATGGGAGTGGGCATTATATTCAGTATGTTATGAAAAAAATCTTCCTAGTTGATTCTCACATGCTGCAACTTGGTTAAGAAACAATGCTTTACTAGGAGAAGCAAGGGCAACTGAATTTTTATTTCTAGACTAGATATAATATAAATATTTGCAAGCAACATTGTACATGATATATAATAAATGTCTTTATAAGTAAATAGATCTTGATATATAACCTTGTTAAAGAAATACGTGTAAGATGGCAAGGTTCTTTCTGAACCTAATATGAGTGTTTTCTGCAAAGTTTACCATATGAAATTAAGTATTTTATATTATGTATATAATATATAGGAAATTACATTATACATAAAATTCGCCACATCATTACATAATAGGAGCACAATGTGATATCATTGGATATTTTTATCAGAATGGCTTATTATTATTTATTAAAATAAATGCATTCAACACCTACAGATTATTTAGGTTATTTGCAATACAGATTATGCACCTTAAACTGTTTCTGGATTTTTAAAACACGGCATCAAAGACATAGGCACTACTTTCTTCTACACAATGAGAGTAAGCAGTTGTTCTTTATTTATTGAATATTAAACGCACAACTTCTTAGCCAAGTATATGCTTGGCAACAGACTAAAAGGTAAGGTAGTAATAAAGGGAAAACACAGCTTTTTTTTTTTTTTTTCGAGAGGGAGTCTCGCTCTATCACCCAGGCTGGAGTGCAGTGGCGCTATCTCGGCTCACTGCAAGCTCCACCTCATGGGTTCACACCATTCTCCTGTGTCAGCCTCCCGAGTAGCTGGGACTACAGGCGCCCGCCACCACGCCGACTAATTTTTTGTATTTTTAGTAGAGACAGGTTTTCACCGTGTTAGCCAGGATGGTCTCGATCTGCTGACCTCGTGATCCTCCCGCCTCAGCCTCCCAAAGTGCTGGGATTACAGGCGTGTGCCACCACGCCCGGCAGGGAAAACACAATTCTTATTGCTGCTGTAGGTTACTCATTGAGCATCCTAACAAAGCAGCAGTTATCAAATATTTTCCAACATACATACAGTCTTATGTTCAAATTAGACCATGGTAGTGAATTTAGTCATTAATATCTCTACTTTCTCTGCTAACTGCTACATCTTTATTCCTGAGACCTACTGTCTGCTAGGCAATTCTAAAAATATCTGTGAATGTTGTAACGTATTATAATGTTGTATCTGAGTTTTGTAATGGTTTTTTCCTATTGAGTAATATACTTTAGTAATGTGGAAACATAAATGCCTTTCTCAAATTTTAGATACTAAAAAAGAGGAGATTATATTTTCTTGCTCATATTAACATTCCTGTCAGAGAATTTTCTACACACAAGTGCAAGGATTCTTTTTAGGCAAATATGAAATCTGAAAAACAAATTGGCATGTGCAAGCATGTGCGCACACATACACACACTACAGAGTGATTTGCTGATTAATTATAAATAGAGAAAAGTTTTAAGTATGTAATGACTTTAACACATTTAAAAACAAATTATATCGCTGCATGGTATTCCAGTGTGTATATGTGCCACATTTTCTTTATCCAGTCTATTATTGATGGGCATTTGGGTTGGTTCCAAGTTTTTGCTATTGTGAACAGTGCTGCAATAAACATACGTGTGCATGGGTCTTTATAGTAGAATAATTTATAATCCTTTGGGTATATACCCAGTAATGGGATTCCTAAGGTCAAATAGTATTTCTGGTTCTAGATCCTTGAGGAATTGTCACACTGTCTTCCACAATGGTTGAACTAATTTACACTCCCACCAACAATGTAAAAACGTTCCTATTTCTCCACATCCTGTCCATCATCTGTTATTTCCTGACTTTTTAATGATCGCCATTGTAACTGGCATGAGATGGGATCTCATTGTGGTTTTGATTTGCCTTTCTCTACCGACCAGTGATGATGAGCTTTTTTCATGTTTGTTGGCTGCAAAAGGATGAGTTCATGTCTTTTGCTGGGACATGGATGAAGCTGGAAACCATCATTCTCAGCAAACTAACACAGGAGCAGAAAACCAAACACCGCATGTTCTCACTCATAAGTGGGAATTGAACAATGAGAACACATGGTCACAGGGAGGGGAACATCACACACCGGGGCCTGTCAGAGGGTTGGGGACTAGGTGAGGGATAGCATTAGGAGAAATACCTAATGTAGATGATGGGTTGATGGGTGCAGCAAACCACCATGGCACGTGTATACCTATGTAACAAACCTGTACTTTCTGCACATGTATCCCAGAACTTAAAGTATAATAATAATAATAATTATTATTATTATAAATTATATCTAAGCCAATTAATAATATTTAATGGATTTTAAATGAAGCAAACATTTTGCTGGGTCCTAAGCAAAACACAAAAACAAGCAGACTGGTTCCTGCTCTAAAGTATGTTACATCACACAAGTGAAGAGGAGACATAAATCACACATATTCAAGAAAGGAAATTTTAAAATATTAAAAATGGCATCAAAGAAGCCAAAGTGCTCCTGAAACAAAGACACAATACAATGGTCAAGTGGATATGTCTTCACAGAAGAAATTTCATTTGCTTTGATACTTGTAAGTTGACAGTCCCACATCTAAGCCCTATACCATTTTCAGAGAAGCAGCTATTTTGGAAAGTTTTCATCTACTAGGGGATTTTGTTTTACCCTCCAGCATGTTCAAGGAATGTGCAGGAGGTTTTGTTGATGACTTTCTTACTCACCAAAGAATCCATTCAAATCATACTCCCCATTTTAACAAAACTCAGCTTCCAAATGCTTTTTAAACTCTACTTGTCAATAACCCTTTCTCTTTAGTTGAAGAAAATGAGAGAGAGTATTGCCTTGTAAGAAGTCTTAAAAATAAATGCAAAATAGTTTTATTAAGGAAAACTTCACCCCCATTTGGTTTCATGTGGGAGGTTGTTTCACTACATGTATGTATTTATCTCAATCAAAAACCTCCTATTTAGGTACCCAAAATGATCTATGATCTCTATTTATTGCAATGAAATCAATGGCTATGATCAACGTGTACAATATCTATTTACAAAGACGGAATCAATGACTATGACCTCTGTTTACTAAGATGGAATCAATGTCTATGATCTCTGTTCACTAAGATAGAATCTGATCATGGCAAAAAGAACAAATTCTGCAAACTATTACCTCTCTGTTACAGTCATCATCTTTTCCACCTGATTTTACAATGCTCTTGCATGAGAAATCACTATTTCTTAGAGCCAGTGTTGTTTATCACATTTGTTGATGAACAAATACTTTAAGGATGTCAATATTAATTACCTACTTCATAGAATTTGCATTTCTTTTTTTCTTTTTTCTTTTTTTTTTTTTTTGAGATGGAGTCTGGCTCTGTCGCCCAGGCTGGAGTGCAGTGGCGTGATCTCGGTTCACAGCAAGCTCCGCCCCCTGGGCTCACGCCATTCTCCTGCCTCAGCCTCCGGAGCAGCTGGGAATACAGGCACCCGCCATCACGACCGGCTAATTTTTTTTTTTTTTGTATTTTTAGTAGAGACGGGGTTTCACCGTGTTAGCCAGGATGGTCTCGATCTCCTGACCTCGTGATCCGCCCGCCTCGGCCTCCCAAAGTGCTGGGATTACAGGCGTGAGCCACCGCGCCCGGCCAGAATTTGCATTTTATGTTATCTGTGAGCGAAGTGCTCCTCCACCCAATATCCACACCACTTAGTTCTTCAACCTCTTCCAGTCTTTATTCCAAAGGCACTTTTTCCAAATGGAGAAATAACAGATTTTAACTTGTAAAAATTTTATTTGCAGTTTTAAAATAATTGTATTTTCTAATAATCTATTTGCCACAAAATACCCCATCAGATAAAAGAAACTCCAAATCTCTTTGTGTATGACATACCTTCTCATTTCTTGCAAATATTTCTGCTTTCATGGAGTAAATGAAAGGCATCACCTTGTGGGATACACAGCTATTGTCCATATTTGAGTCTGTGAAAAAGACTAATATGAGCCATTGTTCTTAGAATATAGCTTTCTGCTATTTTTGTCTTCCATGTGTCTTGCTTTGTGATATCTATGTTACATTAAAGTAAATAAAAAGTGCTCACAGTTGCACAACAAATGGTTATATTCTACCTGGTTTTCTTCTTACTGTATCCAAAACAATATTTTTATAGGTCGAACAGAGAGAAAATAAATAGAAATAAAAAGCAACTTATATTTCTGAATTTTATTATACAATTGCATCACTAGCAAAATATCTGCTTGCTGATATATGGAAAATTATTGTACTTAAGTATAGTTTATAAAATATCAACATGTACTTAAAAAGTATTCATTTCCCCAGTAGGGCTTAACATATATAAAACAAAAGAAATCACAACCTCATAATCACTGAAAAACCTATGCCAAAATATGAAATATCATATGCAAAGTTTGTGTAACTATTGGTCACACCTGATACATAGGTACTTAAAACATTAATAAAATGAATATAAATATTCAATTTGACAATATTTACTGCTAAATGAAACATTAAAATTTGCTAAAAGGAGGCTAGCTATATCTGAGTAAAAGTTTAGAAAGCTGATACTGTATCCTGCTCAAGGTTAGACTCCTTACATTGAAGATTATTGATCTTGCATTTATTTCTACTAAAATTAGGATTTGCTATAAAAGTTTTATTACTATCATAAATTAATTATCCATAAAACTGTAAGTGCTCTACAGTTACGGGAATAGATGAACGACAGAATTATGTTGAAATTTTTAAAATTTTCTTAAGCTTTTCAAAAGGGAGTGGCATACTAATTTCAGTTAGTTAAATTTTGTTACAAGCAAGAAAAAATATACCTACCCTATCACAAAATATTCTTTTTTGTATATCACTTAATTAAAAAATGCCTACAGATATCAATTGTACAACATGTTACAATATGTTATACCAGAACTAAAATGACCTCTATTCAGAGTTGGCAACACTTCAATTAATGCCAGGAATGGGAAAAGAATACAAATCATTATTACATTCATTACAAACTAAATCTGTAATATTTTATTGGCAGGAAAGTTTTTAAGAATCCAAACCATTTAAGGATTGTTATTTATACAAAAAAGGAAAATATTAAAAATAAATGATGGAGTCTCTTTTACTTTAGAGAATTCAGTAGCATACATTTTAAAATTATTGGCACACTTTTCATCATTATTACTTTCAAAATGTATACTAGATTGATGGAACATTGACAATTATAGAATTAGGTAATTAAAGAATGATATATTATTAGACACCAATTTAACAATATTATGTGCAACAATGGACTTTAACATTATAAAAGCATAATTTATCAGGCAGGTTTATTACTCAGAGATGCATGAGACTTTTTCAGGGTTTTTTCAGCTTTTAGAAAAAAATATATTATTATGACTAAAAAATAAAATCTTAAAGCAAGAAAAGGAAGAATGGTGACATATTCTTTACTAAATGAAATACTTGAGTTTAGATTTAAAAAGTTTTATCAAAAATTAATGATGTTGAAATTCTTTTCAAGTGCTTATTTACTAGTTATTTGTATATCTTCTTTGGAGATATGTTTATTCTGCTCATTTTTGAATCGGGTTGTTTGTTTTACTGCTGTTGTTGAGTTTAGGAGTTCTCTGCATACTCTGAATATTTCTTATTACATATATGACTTACAAATATATTCTCCCTTTCGTAAGTTGTCTTTTTATTCTTTATATTGTCTTTCAATGAACAATTAAAAAATTATAAAGTCTAACTTGTCTGTTTATTCTTTTGTTAACTGAGCATTTTATGTCATATTCAATAAATCACTGCAAAATCCAATATCATGATGATTTTTCCCTATGAGGTCTTCTACATATTTTGTAGTTTTAGATCTTACATATAGATATTTGATTCATTTTGCACTAATTTTTGTATATAATGTTTGTAAGGGTCTAACTTAAATGATGACTAAATGAGAAGACTGTTTTTTCCATATTGAATGGTCTTGTCAACTTTGTCAAAAATAATTTTACAGTATATATGAGGGTTTATTTCTGGGCTCTCTATTTTCTTCCATTAATCTGTATATCTATATTTATAGAAGCACTAAATATTTTAATTACTGTAGATTTGGGATAAATTTTGAAATCAGGGAGTGAGAATTCCCAGCTTTGTGTTTCTTTTTCAGTTCTGTTTTGCCTATTTAAGGTGCTGTGAAAATCCATGTGATTTTTAGAGAAAGTTTTTCTGCTTCTGGAAAAAAAAAGTCATTGGAATATTAAAGAGAATTCACTGAATCAGCAGCTTTTTTTTAAGTAGTATTGACATCTTAACAATATTAACTTGGCCAGTCTATGAACATTGGACATATTGTTATTTATTTATATCTTCTTTCACTTCTTTTAGCATTGTTTTGCTTTCATTGTGCAAGTCTATCATCTTCTTAGTTAATTCCTAAATTTTTATTTTTTTCGTGCCATCGTAAACAAGAGTTGTTTGCAATGTATTTTTCAGATTGTTCTTTTTTGAAGAAATGTAAGTAAGTTTTGTGTATTGAATTTGTATCCTGCTGCTTTGTTTAGTTCATTAGTTATAACAGTTTTTTTGTGGAATACTTAAGCTTTCATAAAATAAAAAATCATATCATCACTGAGCAAAGATAATCTTAGTCCTTACTTTTCAGTTTGACTGCTTTTCAATTTCTTTTACTTGTTGAATGGCTCTGGCTAGAAATTCTAGTACTATGTTGAAGAGAAGTGGTTGTATCATTCTGCTCTGACACTGTTATGAAAATACTACCTTTGACTGGGTAATTTATTTATTTATTATTTATGTATTTATTTTTCTCGAGATGGGTTCTTGCTCTGTCGCCCAGGCTGGAGTGCAATGATGTGATCTCGGCTCACTGCAACCTCCGCTTCCTGGGTTCAAGCAATTCTCCTGCCTTAGCCTCCTGAGTAGCTGGGATTACAGGTGGGCACCACCGCATCCATCTAATTTTTTGTATTTTTAGTAGAGATGGGGTTTCACCATGTTGGCAAGGCTGGTCTCGAACCCCTGACCTCGTGATCCACCCGCCTGGGCCTCCCAAAGTGCTAGGATTACAGGCGTGAGCCACCGCGCCTGGCCGACTGGGTAGTTTACAAAGGAAAGAGGTATAATGGGCTCACAATTCCACATAGCTGGGGAGGCCTCAAGAAAATTACAGTCATGATGGAAGGCCACAGGAAAGCAAGGACCTTCTTCACATGGTGGCAGGAGAGACAAGTGCAAGCTGGAGAAATGCCATAGGCTTATAAAGCCATCAGATCACATGAGAACTCACTCACTGTCAAAAGAACAGCATGGGGGAAACCACCCCCATGATTCAATCACCCCCTTTCATCAACACATGGGGATTGCAGGTCCCTCCCAAGACACATGGGGATTATAATTAGGAATGAGATTTGGGTGGGGACATAGAGCCAAAACATACGAGTGAAAAAACTGATATCCTTGCCTTTCTCCTGATCTTAGAGGAAAATGCTTCAGTTTTTCACCAATGATTATGATCTTGCTGTGAGCTTTTCATGTATGTATTTTTTTTATTCTGAGGTAGTTTCCTTGTATTCCTAGACTTTTTAATGTTTTTTTATCATGAAAGGATTTTAAATTTCTTCACATGATTTTTATGCATTAAGTGAGATGATCATGTGTATTTTTTTATTCTGTTAATATTATGCATTACATCAACATCACTGATCATTAGAAAAATGTAAGTTAAATGTACAATGAGAGACCACCTCACATTGGTAGGCTGCTATAAAAAAAGGTGTTGGGAAGGATGTGGAGAATTTGAAACCCTTGTGCACTGTAGATGAGATTGTAAAACATCATACAGCTGCTATGGAAAACAGTATGACAGTTCCTCAAAATTAAATACAGAATTACCATATCGTCCAGTAATACCACTACTGGGTTTACACTCAGAAGAATTGAAAACAGAGTCTCAAAGTGATGTTTGTACACCAATATTCATAGCAGCATTACTCACAATAGCTAAAACATGGAAGCAACTATGTTCACTGATAGATGAATTAATAAGAAAAATGTGTTATATATACACAACAGAATATTATTCAGGCATACGAAAAAATCTCAACATATGCTACAATATGGATGGACCTTAAGGACATTATTCTAAGTGAAATAAGCTGATCATAAAAATACAAATACTGTGTAATTCCACTTATATGAGGTACTTAGAGTGGAAAAATCATAACAATAGAAAGGAGAACGGTGATTGCCAGGGAAGAGGAGAAGAGGGGAGTGAGTAGTTATTATTTCATTTTTACAAGATGAAAATTGTTATGGACATAAATGGTAATGATGATTGCACCCAGTATATCTATATTTAATACTACTGAACTGTATAGTTAAAATGGTTAAGATGGTAAATTTATATTATGTACATTTTACTGTAATAATTTTTTAATTACAATAAATTTATAGCAAAAAATATGTTTAACAATTTGAAATGTAGTTATACATAATATTTAATTATGTTAAAGGTTTTAGGACAACAAATTCACTTGTTTTTCCTTAAACTTTTTGGTCTTTTCTTCATAGTCTCATTTTATCTTTCATGTTCTCATGTTGAAGTGTTTCAGAGTTTATTCCTTGAACAACTTGTTAATCTACACTGATACCTTAGGTGATTTCATTCAGTTACATGACTAGAAATATAATTCCATCTTATTTTCATGATTCTGAAAATCTATATTCAGCCTTGAGACTTTGCCTGAATCCAGTCTCATTTATCTAACTATGTACTAGGCAAATCTACTTGAATTTTTAAAAGGCAACTCCAAGGTACATGTTCAAGTGTGAGATCCAAATATGCTTGTTTTGCCATTGCCAAAAATGAAACAACCAAACCAAAATATAAACAATAATATAATTTCTCATACAGGCTTTGTAATTATAGTTAATGATAGCTCTATTCTGCCATATGCTCAGAATGTAGGCCTTGGCAAAAAATTTTTGTGATACTGTATTTTATGGCCATTATTATTTCCCATGCCATTATCATCTCCTTGAATTTCAGCAAAAGCCAGCCAATTGTCTTTCTGCTTTTTATTCTTCTACTTCTTATTGTTACTACACAGCATCCAGAATGGTCTTGCGATGATGTTAAGTCTTACCTTCTCACTTCTATAGGTATAACATTCCAATGTCATTCTAGTTTACGCAATCAAAGCCTTTAATATGACATACAAGACTTTCCATGACTGACATCTCCCCTTATCTTCCTGACATAATATTTCACTACTTGTCGCAATTTTTTTTCTTTCTGAAATAATGTTTTTTAAAAATCACATTTCTACTTTCTATATTATTTTATTGGACAAAGGTGTCATTTTATCTTTTAATTATACATTATTTTATATGAACGAGGTTCAGTCAAGCTACAATATGCATGAGCAATAACAACAAGTATACATTCAGATTATCTCATCCATTAAAGGTGAATTGAGTAATTATTTCATGAACCAGGAATATCTATGAAGCATGAATGTGACTGATACAAGAAAAAACAAATTTATTTTTAAAAATAAAACAAATCATATTTCCTATTGGGGTAATCTATTTATTTGATTCACTATTCATGTTGGTTGATTTTTTTCTATAAATTATGCTGATTTGATGTTCAATTAATGTATTTTATTCAAGGTAGAAAAAGTAAAACATACTACATGTTCAGAAACTTTTGCATGTTACTTCAAACAGTATGTTTTTATTAATTATTGCAGGTGGAGTTTACTATGGCATTCAGTAACATTATCAACTAAGTTTTATTCAGATTACAGACTTTAGACAGAATATTGACTTTGTAAGAGGATCAACTCAAAACTTGCCAATAATATAGAGATAGAAGGAGCTATAAAGCATGAAAATTCTACTTCAGGAATTGTTTTCCCTCGCAGTGAGATACAATATGATGGACTTATTTTTAACATCATTAAACTGATCCACTAAAATAACTGTAACAATTTATAGTTTGGCCATAAAACATGCAACATTTACATGCTTTGTTAAAAGGTAATCACCACATCCAACTGAATAATGTATTCAGGACAGTTCAAGAGTATTCTGAGGAACATAGTGAGACCTCATCTCTATAAAAATATAAAAATTAGCTGGGCATGGTGGTGTGCACCTATAGTCCCAGCTACTTGGGAGGTTGAGGCAGGTAGACTGAGCCTGGGAGATCAAGGCTACAGTCAGCTGTGTTCGTGCCACTGCACTCCAGCCAGGTAATACAGCCAGACCCTGTATCAAAAATTTAAAAGATAAAAATAAAAAAGTAAAATCTTAAGGGAATGGTAAACATGGAAACAAAAGAATAACACCTCCTACCACAAAATTCCACTTAAGAACACAGATCACGGACACTATAAAGCAACTACCCAATCAAGTTTACAAAACAACAAGTTAACAACACGATAACAAAAAATCAAAATAATGACTAACTCTGAATGTAAATAGTCTAACACTTTACCTAAAAGACATAGAGTAGAAAGCTGGGTAAAAAGGGCCAGCTGCGGTGGCTCACACCTGTAATCCCAGCACTCTGGGAGGCCGAGGCGAGTGGGTCACTTGAGGTCAGTAGTTCGAGACTAGCCTGGCCAACCTGGTAAAACCCCATCTCTACTAAAAATACAAAAATTACCCGGACATGGTGGCACGCACTTGTAATCCCAGCTACTCAAGAGGCTGAGTCAGGAGAATCGATTGAACCCGGAGGCTGAGGTTGCAGCGAGGAGAGATCACGCCATTGCACTCCAGCCTGGGAGACAAGAGCGAAACCCCATCTCAAAAAAAAAAAAAGCAAAAAAAAAAAAAAAGCTGGATAAAAAGACAAGTCAAACCATCTGCTTTCTTCAAGAGACACATCCCACATTTAATAACACACATAAACTCAAAGTAAAGTGATGGAGAAAGATCTATCATGCAAACTGAAAAGAAAAAAGAGCAGGAGTCATTATTCTTGTATCAGATAAAACAGACTTTACATGAAAAAAACAATTAAGGACAAAGAAGGGCTTTACATAATGATAAAGGGTACAATTCACCAAGAACACTTAACTATCCTAAATATATATGCACTTAACACTGAGACACACACCAGTAAAAGAAATGCACTTGAACTATGAAAATATTTAGACAGACACACAATAAAAATGGGAGACTTCGGCACCCTACTGACAGGGTTAGACAGATTATTGAGGAAGAAAACTAACAAAGAAATTCAGGAATTAAACTCAACACTCAAACAATTGGATGTAATACACATCTGCAGAATATTCCACCCAAATATTACAGAATATACATTCTTCTCATCTGCACAGGGAATGTATTCTAATATAGACCACATGCTTGGTCATAAAGTCTCAATAAATTAAAAATAAATAGAAAATATACCAAGCATACTCTCAGATCATAGTTGAGTAAAAACAGAAATGAATCTCAAAAATATCTCTCAAAACTAAATAATACATGGAAATTAAACAACTTGCTCTTGAATAACCCCTGGATCAACAATGAAATTCAGAAGAAAATAAGAAAAAAAATATTTAATAGGGACACAACTTACTAAAGTCTCTGGGATGCAACAATATCAGTGGTAGGAGGAAACTTGGTAGTGCTAAACACCTTCATCAAGAAGTTAGGAAGATCTCAAATTAACAATAGAACTATATAGTCAAAGAAACTAGAACAAAATTTTAAAAAGCTCCCCCCAAAAAAAGAAAATAAATAAAATTACAGAAAAGCTGAACAAAATTGGGATGTAAAAATCCATACAAAAGATAAATGAAACAAAACATTGGTTTTTCAAAAGAATAAACAAAATTGATAGACTGCTGGCTAAATTATCAAAGGAAAAAAGGAGAGAAGATCCTATTAAACACAATCAAAAGAACAACAATGACATTACACTCAATCCCATAGAAATGCAGAAGATACTCAGAGATTATTTTGAACAACTCTATGTACACAAATTGGAAAGTCTAGAAAAAATGGATAAATTCCTGGAAAAACACAAAACTTCCTATGACTAAACCAGGAAGAAAGTGAAAAAGTCAACAGACCAAGAACAACTTTTGAAATTGAGTCAGTAATACAAAACTGCCAACCAAAGAAAGTCTTGAACCGAATGAATTTATAGCCAATTCTATTAGACATACAAAGAAAACCTGGTACCAATCCTACTTAAACTATTCTCAAAAAATTATAGCAGAGAGGCCCTACCTGGCTCATTTATAAACTCAGCAACAGCCTGATGCAAAAATCTGGCACAGGCACAATGAAAAAAACAAAACAAAACTTAGGGCCAATATTCCTGATGAACATATACACAGATTTTCTCAACAAGTTACTAGCAAACTGAATCAGCGGCACATCCAAAAGTTAATACGCCATGATCAAGTAGGCTTTGCTCCTGGGAATGAAGGCTGGCTTTACATATGCAAATCAGTAAAAGTGATTCACCACATAAACAGACTTAAATAAAAATCATGTGATCATCTCAATAGACTCAGAAAATGCTTTTGATAAAATTTAACATCCATTCATGATAAAAGCCCTCAACAGACTACACACTAAAATAACATACTTCAATACAATGGTAGCCATCTATTACAAACACGTAGCCAACATCATACTGAACAGGCAAAAGCTGGAACCATTTCTTGTCTGAAATGGAACTAGACAAGAATGCCTACTCTCACCACTTCTATTGAACATGCTATTGGACATCCTAGCCAGAGCAATCAGACAAAAGAAAAAAATAAAAGACATCCATTAGGAAAAGATGAAATTAAACTCTTTACCTGATTATATGATTTTATACCCAAAAAACCCTAAGACTCCACTAAAATGCTCCTGGAACTGGTAAATGGCTTTGGTAAAGTTTCAGGATACAAAGTTAATATACAAAATTAGTAGCATTTCTATGCAACGACATTCAAGCTGAGAGTCATATCAGGAACACAATTTTATTTAACATGGAAAAAAAAAACCCTGAAATACATAGGGCCTAAGACTATATCTAAACAAGGAAGTGAAAGGGAAAGATCTCTATAGGAACTACAGAGCATTGCTGAAAGAAATCAGAGACGATGTCAATCAACTGAAAAACAGTCCATGCTCATGGAATAGAAGAATCAATATTGCTAAAATGGCCATATTGCCCAAAGCAACCAACGCTATTTCTGTCAAACTACCAAGATTATTTTTCACAGAATTACAACAAACTATTTTAAAATATGAAGTTGAAAAAGAGTCAGGATAGTCAAATTCATACTAAGCAATAAGAACAAAGCCAGAGGCATCACATTATCTGACCTCAAAGTGTACTGAAAGGATATAGTAAACAAAAACACCATCATACTGGTACAAAAACAGATACATGGACCAATGGAACACAATGGGAAACCCAGAAATAACGCTGTACACCTACAACCATAGAATCTTTGACAAAGCCAACAAAACCAATTAAAGGGGGAGAAACTTGCTATTCAATAAATGATGTGTGGATAACTGAGTAGCCACGTGCAGAATAATGAAACTAAATACCTACCTTTCACCATGTACAAAAATTAACTCAACATGGATTAAGTAATCTTATGTAAATATAAGATCTCAAACTATAAAAAATCCTAGAAGAAAACCTAGAACACATCATTGTGGACATGGACCTTAGCAAATAATTTTTTGCTAAGTCCCCAGAAGCAATTGCAACAAAAACAAAAATGGACAAGGAAGACCTAATTAAACTAAAGAGCTTCTGCAAAGCAAAGGGAATTATCAGTACAGTAAACAGACAACCTAGAGAATTGGGGAAAAATTCTGTAAAATATGCATCTGACACAATTCTAATATCCATAATCTATAAGGGACTTAAAGAAATCAACAAGCAAAAACCAAATAACCAAATTAAAAAATGGGCAAAGGACATGAACAGATGCTTCTAAAAAGAAGACGTACAAGCAGGTACTAAACATGAAAAAATACTCTGCATCATTAATCATCAGAGAAATGCAAGTAAAATCCACAAGATACCATCTCACACTAGTCAGAATGGTTACTATTAAAAACCATAAAATAACAGATGCTGGTGAGGCTGTAGAAAAAAGGAACACTTATATATACTATTGAAAGAAATGTAAATTAGTTCAGCTACAGTGGAAATCAGTTTTGCAATTTCTCTAAGAACTTAAAACAGAGACACTATTCAACCCAGAAATCCTATTACTGAGTATATACCCAAAATAAAATAAGTTATTCTATCAAAAAGACACATGCACTGGTATGTTCATGGCAATGCTATTCACAATAGCAAAGACATGAAGTCAACATATGTGCCCCTCAATAGTGGGTTGGATGAAGAAAATGTTGTACATTTATATCATGGAATACTATGCAGTTATTAAAAAATGGAATCATGGGCCTGGCGCGGTGGCTCACGCCTGTAATCCCAGCACTTTGGGAGGCCGAGGCGGGCGGATCACGAGGTCAGGAAATCGAGACCATCCTGGCTAATACGGTGAAACCCCGTCCCTACAAAAAATTAGCCAGGCGTGGAGGTGGGTGCCTGTAGTCCCAGCTACTTGGGAGGCTGAGGCAGGCCAATGGCGTGACCCCCGGGAGGCGGAGCTTGCACTGAGCCAAGATCGCGCCACTGTACTCCAGACAGAGCGAGACTCCACCTCAAAAAAAAAAAAAAAAAAAAAAGAAGGAGGAATCATGTTCTTTGCAACAACATGGATGGAGCTGGAGGCCATAAATCCTAAGTGAAGTAATGCAGGAAGACAACACCAAACACAACATGTTCTCAGTTATAACTGGGAGTAAAACACTGAGTACTCAGGGACGTAAACATGGGAACAATAGGTCCTGTGGACTACTAGAGGTGGTAGTGAGGAAGTAAGGCCTGGGTTGAAAAACTACCTATTGGGTACCGTGTTCACTCCCTGAGTGACGAACCACACTCCAAACCTCAGCATCCCTCAATATAATCATATAACAAATGTGTACATGTACCCCCTGAATCTTGAAGTTGAGATCATTAGAAAGTAAATAAAGTTACTGTACATAATAAAACAGAGATGTTAGCTTTAAGTTTTTCATGCAACATAGATGGATGTTAAACTTTTTCAAATTGTTTTTCTGTATCTGTTGAGATAATGACTTTATTTTCTTTTTAAATGACAAATGAACCATTTATTTTTTGAGATAAATCTACTTAGTGATGAGGCTTTCTGTGTATATTGTTGTCTTCAATTTACCAATATTTTGTCAAAGATTTTCACATCAATTTTCATGAAGGATATGGCTTTGCAGTTTTATTTTCTTGTAATGTTCTGGTCTTCATTTGATATTAGGTATTAATTTTAAGTAACCTTTTTTCTTCTGGAAGGAACAGATCATTGAAATAGCAAATTTCACTACATCAAATTCCTGAAAGAAAAAGCAAATTTACAAAGAATTTTGTAGAAATAATGAATGTTATCATAGGGTCAGAAATTTCCAAAGATTGATAATAATAAATTTGTAAAATATCAAGCAAAAGCAAAGTCAGAGCACACCATTTTTGAAGCTCTAGAAGTGCACTCTATTAAACCAATCTTTATTAAGTTATAGATTTAATCATGTTTATATTCAGAATGATAAAATGTGACTATAAAATTATGTACTCTAGCAAAAAAATGCTCTGACATATACATGAACACCTTCATTTTGAAAAATATTATTAATTTCATTAATATTAATTTAAATTTGAATGGATGTATTCTATATATCATGTCTATTTTCTCCAAAGATGTGCATTAAATTGAAAGGTACAATGGTGTATAACAGTTAAGCAACTTATATAAATAAGTATAAATAACACAGGTAATTGTAAGGATTTCTTTTAAGTAAACATGCTTTACAATCCAGAATATGTTCAACCACTCTCCTCAATACAGCTTGCTCAGAAGTGTGGCATTTATACATCTGTATATGAAGAACAGCTTTCCTTATAAGTTGGCTCAATTAGATGAAGTTGGTACTTAACTACCGAGATAAAACTAACAGAATCCTGAACAAATAAGCCAATACATAACCTGTATCTCACATTACGTTTTCTCTATCACCCCCCACCCTCAAAATTTTGTAGAGCTAAAATGAACAGTTTTTTGGGGCAGGTACAAAGAGGTGATATCACGTTCTCTAATTTATTTAAGACAGTAATTGATACCAGTACACATTCACTGTGCATATCTTATCTTCTGGAAATAGATGGAAGGCACCCAAAATGTACCAGATTGAGAATAAATTATATCTCATTTCCTAAAACCAAAATGAGCCAAAATGCTGCAACTCTGCAGATATTTATGTTTGCATCAGCAATTGTGCAATAACGTTTTACTTGAAATATAGAAATTGTCAGTGAGTACTATTAAGAAAACATCAGAGACAAATCACAAATACTTTACTTCTTCCTAGCCTCCCCAGAGATAAGATCTTATAGCAAGCAAGAATGATCAGCTCTCTCAGGAGTGGTCAGATTATCATGCACTTCTCTTTTGTCACCCACAATTCCATATCATTTCAATATAGCCCACGAAATTGTAAAATGGGAGTCATATGTGTCTGGATTTTTCACTTATCATAGGCTTTCATTGTGATGTGTATCAGCACTTATTCTATTTTATTTTTGTGTAGTGTTCTACTGTGTGAACAAAGAAGATTTTTTATCTATTCATCAGTAGATGTATAATTTAGTTTTTTTAATCTATACTTACACCTAACCATATTCCTTTATCATAAAATGTTAGTTCTTGCTGCTGCATCATTCTGCATGTATATTCTACTTAACTCCTATAGTGATGGAAATACAGATAACTGATGACTTTTTGATATAGTCAATAACATTGATATCAATATCTTTGTATTAACACCTAGCACCAAAAGAATGTTAAGGTATTTTTGGATGCATATTCCTACTCAGGTATAAAATTACAGATTATGTGAATGCTTAATTTTCCATCATAATAATGTATTCATTGTTGTGTGTAACTGTAACATTGGACATTTCTAGACTTTTAAAAAATATAGTTACACCTAATGAAATTTAAAAAGACCAATAATACCACAATTGTCATTTCTCCTTATAATCTTACCAGTACATGAATATTCAGCTTTATAATTTGTCAGATTAGATTAAAATATAAAATTATTTTGTTATTGACTTTTCAAAATTATTATCTTGATGATTTTAGATACTCCAGTATCATTTCCTAATATATTTTTCTGGCTAAAAACTTTGTCTATTTTGTTCTTCATTTAAACCCTTACTTTGATGTAATTATACTAATTAATGTTTGTTGCACTGATTCTTTCAGCATTGCTTCAAAGGTATTATCCCCTTCCTAAGCTACAAGAACATTTTTTCTGCATTTTGTCCTACTAGTTTAAGATAGCAACTTAATAATTTAATGGAGAGATACATTTTTTTCACCTGCGTATTCTGAACACTTTTCTCAATTAGTTGTGGAACCACATTGATCACGTTGTACATACACACACAAACACAAATATGTATACATATATACACATACATAAACACATATCATACACACACACACACACACATATATGGTGGTTTATGTGTTATACCTTAATAACTAATATGGAAGATCATCCCTAGTTACTCATAACTAATGTATACATGACTTTAACACACATTGCTACTTTTATTGTGAAAGTCACCAGCCATTGGGTAAAGAAGATTTAAAAATGACAAATAAATACAAAATTTAAGATCAAAAATTTTAAATGAATGAAGACAATCTCAATCTGGAATACAGAATAATACTTGGTAACTCTAACTAAACACTTTGATTGGATACCAACATTGCAACTTTCACAATTAAGATAAAATGCAGAAGATAAAAAAGCAAGGCATATAAAAACAAACATCTTGCCCTGATACATAGTTCTAACTATTTAAATTATAAGAGAATTTTAAAAGGAAAGAAAAAAATAAAGGCCAAGTCCTGATCCAGGTAGACAAGACAGAGATTTTTTATGCTGAGTAAATGGGATGTGATTGAAATAGTTTAAACATAGAAGTGACATCATGATGTGTGTGTGTGTGTGTATCACTTTTTACAAAAAACACTTTTTTTTTCAGTTAGAAAAGAGAGGTTGGAAGGCATAGGATTCTACTACTATAGTTAAATAAGATAATATTTAATGTTGGTTTAGGGTAGAATTTTGACAGTGAGAATGAGGATATGCAAGAATGAGTTAAATACATTTTTATATAAAAGTGAAGGAACCAATAAAACATTAGATTAGATGGATGTTAATGGTGAAGAAGTAATCAAAGAAGATTCTGAGATGTCTAGCTTGATCAACTGGGTGGATGATGGGGCCATTACTTATGTGGAAATAGAATATGGAAGGTATAGATGAGATATTGGCCAGTAAAGCAACTTCATTTTAGATACATTAATGAGAAAGTGTTAAGAGAGTAGTCTAATGGAATGGATTTATTTATGGAAATAAAAAATATAAAATTGGTGTTAATAGATAACACTTTTGATAAGAATCTCTGTTAATGGGATTATTAAAAATAAAACAAAACAAACAAAAAAACAAAAAATACCAAAACCTTGCTCTATTCTGCTGTCACTTAACTACCGAAGAGTTTTGTCCTGAAGAAGGAGGGGCTGTGAAAGAACTGGAACTGATTCCTCCCGATTCTAAGGTTTTGAGCCATTTAATGGAGAGAAAAATATTTTGAACTGAGTTTAAAATTCAATCTTTGCCCAACTAAATTTTTAGAAATGGAAATCAACTCAAAGGTGATAAGCTCTCCTTGAAATGTCATTGTGGACAGGAAAGAATGACTATGCAACATAACTTTGAAAGTACAGAAAGTACTTTAGATTCACATCCCAATTATTCAAGGTAACTTAGTCAACGAGTTAGTTGTTTTCCCTTTAAGATGCTATGCAATCTTGATATGGGAAGTCTTGTTCCTGTCATTACATTAATTATTTCATGTATTTTTTAAAATTTTTCTGTTTATCTGCATAGTTTGGCGGAGTTCTGTCATGTTGACATTATAATTATCTTCATCTTTTATGAAATTGTTTTAAGACCTGTGAACTTTGTACTATCATGTTTTTATGATGACAACTATTGATCTTTCATTTTTATGTTTAGATCTCCTTTGAGAATTTCTGGTAGAAACTATCTAGTGGTGAAGAACCCTCTCAATGTTTGCTTGTGTGGAAAAGACTTTATTTCTTCTTTACTTATGAAGCTTATTATGACAGAATATAAAATTTGTGGTTGATTTTTTTTTCTCTTTAAGCAACCTGAAAATAATATCCCAGTCGATTCTGGCTTATAAGGTTTCTGCTGAGAAGTGTGCTGTTAGTCTCACGTGGTTTTCTTTATTGGTGAGTAGCACTTTTCTCTTGTTGATTTTGTATTCTTTTTCTTCATGTTGACTTTAGATAGTCTGAAAATTATATGTCATAGTGATGATCATCTTGCAAAGTATGGGCCTCTTGTATCTGGATGCATAAATCTTTTGCCTAAAGAAATTCTCATCAATTATTTCCTTAAATATGTTTCCTAAATTTTTGCTTTTTCTTCTCCCTAAGAAATATCAATTATTTATAAATTTAGTTGCTTTATGTATTCTCATATTTCTAGAATGCTTTTTTCTTATTCTCTTTATTTTTTTCTGACTAGCTTAATTCAAAAGACTTGTCTTCAAGGTCATAGAGTCTCTTCTGCCTGGTCTATTCTATGGTTAAACCTTTCAATTTTATTTTGTAATTCCTTCAGTGATTATTTTATTTCCAGAAGTGATGAACTGAGTGAAGAGACAACATACAGAATGGGAGAAAATATTTGCAAACTATGCACCCAAAAGAGAACTGACATTCAGGTTTTATAAGAAGCTTAAATAACTCAACAACAAAACAACAACCACAAACCACAAAAAACTCCATTAACAAGTAGACAAAGGACATGAATAGACATTTCTCAAAAGAAGACATACAATGGCCAACAGACCAAAAAGAAATGCTCAATGTTACAAATCGTCAGAGAAATTACAATTAAAACCGCAATAAGATATCGTTGTACATCATTACGAGTGGCTATTATTAAGTATACAATAATATAACAAATATTTGTGAGAATGCAGAGAAAAGGGAATGTGTATACAATGTTGGTGAGAATGTAAATTAGTACAAACTCTATGGAAAACACTATGGAGACTTCTTAGACAGCTAAAAATAGAACTATCCCATTTGATCCATAAACTCCACTACTGAGTATCAACCAAAGAAAAAGAAATCATTTTATCAAAATGATAACTGAACTAGTATGTTTATTGCAGCAATATTCACAATAGCAAAGATATGGCATCAACCTAAGTGTCCATTAACAGATCATTGAATAATGAAATATATAGATATATATGAACATTATTCAGCTATACAAAATGAAATAGTGTCGTTTATAGCAACATGGATGAAATCGTAAGATGCTGTCTTAAGTGGAATAACTCATAAACAGAAAATCTAATATCACATGTTTTCACTTGTAAGCTAAATAATGTTTACACCTGGATACAGAGTGTGGAATAGTAGACATTGGATACTCAGAAGGCTGGAAGAGTGGGAAGGAAGTAAGGTATGAGAAATTACTTAATGATTCAATGTAAGGTTCCATTCTATTCAGGTTGTGGTTACAGTAAGTGCCTAGACTTCACCACGGTACATTATATTCATGTAACAAACTTCACTTGTATGCCTTAAAATTACATTTTAAAATGCTGTGGAATTTTTTTTTTGTCATTGTTGTATTCCACTCATGACTCTTTGGGGTAGCTTCCTTGTAGGTATAGTTTCAGCCGTACTGTCAATAATGATTGTCCATAAAAATTCTAATTTCTTGCATTTTAGGCTAATATTTGTTAACAGGAGAAAAGTTAGTTATTTCTCAAGGAAATGTTAACCCTATCAAATATTTCTGAGAAAAATAACACCTGAGACCATTGACTTGCATTTAGTCCATTATATGAAATGACTGATAGAATACCCTTTTTGATTTAGGGCATTGGACATGGAAAATTGCATTCATTTCCCAAACTTGTTTAAAGCAGGCAGAACAAAGAAAACTGTAAGCATCAAAAAAAAGTTATTTATTTAACAACATTAGTTGGTGTTTTTTTTTTCTTTTTTGGCTGATTGTTATTTTTGGTTTTTACCTCAGTCTCTTACTGTGACTACTGGAATCATATACACTTTTTAAACCTTATCTAGTTATATCGATAAAAACGCTGACAACAGTGTCTGCCTTAGATAAAGATAGCTGCAATGTTATCCAAAGTTACTAGGATAAATCACAACCTATTGATAGCCATTCTCAAATTCACCTACACTCTTAGAAACACATAAGACGTAGAATTTTGTTGTTATTCTGTAGGGGTTTTCTGAAATACTAAATCTTCAGCTATTATTAATTACATCCCTAATGTATCAGAAACAATATTTTTCAGGGGCAACATGCAATCTTGTCAGAAAGACTGCTTTATAAAGTTGCTTTTTCTATCTTGAGTGCAAGTTATTGATCCAAATGCCATAAACAACCTGGATTAAACTTGTTTCTTATTTATCTTCTATACTTTCTCTTTACTGCAGTGGGGGAAAAATAATGGAGAACATTTGGAATGCTTGGCTGCTACAAGAAATTTTAACACTAAGTGCTGTGGTAGAAATAAATGTACAGCTAAGAATGGTTGATACCAGGCTTAGTCACAGTGTTTAAATGTCTTCCTTATTCTTTGCTAATCTGTTAAATAGAGTTATTTACTCCTATCTGTTACAATATTAATACTACCATATCTGAATATCATAATGCAAGTACTTACAAGAAGAAAGACACATGATGACTAGCAGCATCTTTCTTCCCAAAAAATCAACAGCGTGTTATTTTACAGAACAAGCAGAAATTTATATTCCCAACATGAGAAAAAGCCAGAAAAATACCATCATTTTAGGCTCTTGTTAACTCTGAATTAGTTTTAGCAATACTAAAATTGCTATTCACAATATTTACAAATATTGTGCATTTTAAGTCATTTTACATTTCCTAAATTATTTGAAGTTGCTCTAGAAATGCACTTATTAAATGGATATTTTCCCATAATGAAAAATAATGGCTAAAACCAAGAAATATAACTTTTGTAATTTTCTATATTATCTAAACATAGATTTAAGATTTTGAAATACATATACCATTATAAAATTCACACAATTTGATTCACAAATGTGATTTATAGGAAGTAATTACATACTGTTAATGCTAATTACATCTTTGATGACTGAAGAAATATCTACACATTTGTTTAGTTTTTAAAATACTATTGGAAAATTGTTTAAAAGTTTAAAAGTGAATGAGAATTTCAAAACAAAACAAAATGAAGCTATTTCAGGGCAAAAAAAAGTTAATCTATTAGATAAAATATATTATATGAGGTCAAAAGGGTTTAAATTAAGAGCTACATGATAACTCCAGGCTTTCATAGGTTTGCAGACTTTCTAAATATTTTTTTTAGCTTTCTCTTTTTATCTAAGACAAAAATTTAAAAAGAGTGTGTTCTCATTGAAAGAAACAATTTCCTTGATGAAGTCCTGTCTTTGATGGAGAAAATCAAAATGTTTTCATAAATATTATTTTATTTAAATTTACATCTTATGCATACTAATAATGGCAAAAAATAATGGTTATTTATTTCAACATTATTTAACTGGAATACATAATGATTTCACTTATTAATATTTTAGAAAAAATTTTCCTTCTCTAAAATAATATAGTTAAAAAACATTATAATGTTATTTATTATCAAACAAAGCCTTGAATTCCAGCACACACAACTTATACAATTCTAGAAAATATTTATAATCTCTTGCAACATATTTCTAACTTTTAAGTGAGATAATTTTATTTTCCAGTATAAGAACACTGTAAATCTATACATATATATAAATAACAAAAATACAATTCATTTTATAACTACAAATTAAAATACTTATTAGGCTGATAAGGGAGACTGGCAATTTGATACTGAATATAAGCTATATTCTATACCAGGAGTTGGTGACAAACGTGTGTGAGTCTGTGTGCCTGTGTGTGTGTGTGTAGCAAAGACCTTAGGTTCCATAGAGTAAGTGTCACAATTTGTGGCCACATGATCTTTGGCACAACTCCTCAGTTCTGCTGCTGTAGTGTGAAAACTTCCCTGGACAATTAATAAATCAAAGAGTAGGATTGTGCTCCAATAAATTTTTATTTACAAAACAGATAACAGGCTGGATTTGGTCCATAAACTATAGGTTGCCAAAATCTGATCTCCACATTAAATAGATTAACTCATTTTCACAAGATTATTTTGTATTACAAATAGCATATGTGTTTGTATGTATATGTATTTAAAATCCCTGAAGTTTTGAGAAAGTGAATAATTATCATTAATGTACCAAGTATCATACAGTTCGATCCAAATGTCACAAACATTGTAAGTTTTATACTCACACATTCCTAGGCAATGTATATCACTATTATCCTCAGTTTACAGCTGAGGAAATTGATACAGCAAGTGTCATTTCAGCTTTAGAGTCATACATCACACAGAGACATTTATTCAAGGATACATAGGCTCCTTTGTCACTTATAAATGTGGTCAGTGCTAGCAACATTGAATACTGTAACTATTTGGGTCTCATTGTAAAGTTTCTCCACATTTTTAACCTTTTGGCATTAAAACAAACAAACAAAAAGCATCTATATTTCAATGCCGTGAAGATTTGGGATCTGAGCTGCTGATGCTATCTTGGATGGTCAGTGTCATGGGATGTAGAAGAATATTATATTTTTCTAACATACTCAGAGGAAATCTTATATAAAAGAAAAACTTGTTTCCAGATTCCCACGTATTTCACTATAAAATCAGACCATGTTTCAATCTCAGTTAATTACATCAATGTAATTCAATCGATTTTCATTGATAACCATGAGTTTAGATGTTCAGTGTGTAAATTAAGAGAAAAAACCACCACAGACTTCACTCTTTAATAGATGATATCACTTCAAATATTAAGGGCATATGCATTAAAACTACTAAAACAGTAAATGTATACATAAAATTGTATGTGATTAATTACCAGATGAAACTATTCAAAAAGTGGGATAGAATTTCATTGGATACCAAGCAAGTAGTACAGATAAGCATTAGCAGGGGAAAATGTTATATTGAGAGAAAGTTAATAAAACTTTTATCTCTTGGTAGTGGTTCACCAATATAAACAAGCAACATTTTATCAAAATTTATTAGATGATGGAACTAAAGCACTTCTAAGAGGAAAATTTATAACACTAAACAACTATAATATGAATAAAAATATGAGGTCCATAATTTTAGCTTCCAATTTTAGAAACAAAGAAAAGAATCATATATGATTGAAAAGAAAAATAATAATAAAGACCAGAGAGGAAAGCCATGTTTTGAAAATAAAAATAAAAATAATCAATGTGGCAATTAAAATAAAGCTGGGATTTTGAATAGATTCATAAAGTTGTTGACTATCAAGAAAGTCTGCAATATAAGAAATGAGAGAGTTGGCACCACTTCAATATTTAAAGTATTAACAGGTTAGTTGTGATAATATTAACAACAACTTCATTCCAATAAAGTCACCAACTTAGATGAATTAGAAAAATTATCAGAAAAACATAAAAATAAAACGTATTCAAGAATAAATATGAGGTTATACATTTGTTAATTAGCTAATTTTACTTTAAAACATCATATTATACATAAAAACATACAATTTATTTGTCAATTTAAGAAAGACATTTAAAAGAAATAGATGTAATTAGGATACAATTTAATAGCCTCAAGGCTGTCAACTAAACTGGTTTTATAGTTTAAAATCATTGCACAAAAGAAACTCCAGGAATAGAGGCTATCACTGGTGAATTCTACTACACACTTTAAGAAAGTAATAATTCCTGTTCTACACAAAGTCTCACAGAATTTTTGAAAAAGGAGGACTTTTTAAGTAGAAACATTTCAAACTCCTTTTTGACTTATAAATGTGGTCATAATAGACACTATACTTATTGCGTCTCTCCTGTGCAAGAAACTGTGCTTTCTACATATGAAGATATAGATGGAAGTGTTTATACTGCCACTGCAATTCATAAATATATATTTGATAAGGGATTAGGAAAACTAGATACATATTTGAAATGTAATATGTGGTCATTACTGTCAGCAATGAGCAGAAAATAGAGTACTATAGAAAAGATTACCATGAAAGGAACAGAATTGTGTTTCAGTTTTATATTTGATTTTTCAAAGAGATGGTGGAAAAGGATAGTTCTTACGTTTTGCATAATAAGAACAGGGCAAGAAAACTTTTTAAAATACTTGGACTATGGTGAAACAGAATTTTGGTAGAATATAATTTGAGGACAAAATATAATTAGTGGACTGAAAGAAAACAATACTTTGATCAACTTCTATGATGACAGCATGAGGCGTTCTACTGATCAGCTCTCCAAAATAACTGGTAAGTGGTGAAAATTCCAAAACTCCTCCCCATCTTTCAGCTGTAGTTTTCTGCTTCCCAGGAGGAGCGGGGCTTCATCATTTCTCGTTCTGCCCTTAGAAGCTTGTTGCTGAGGCTATGTTTCAGGGGAGTATGATGGAGAGCTATGGGCTCCTTTCATTCATCCAGCCTCATGCATGAATCAGAGGTTCTTCTTTCATGCAGTAAGCAGAGAGTACTCTGGGCCAACAGCCCTTGCTTTGTGAGGCATGGTTCCACGACAGGAGAGAGAAGCCAAGAGGACCCCAGGGGGGCAATTCTGGGGTTGAAAGAACAATAGTAAAAATAAAAAAAAATTCACTAAAGAAGCTCAACAAAATATATAACAGGTAAAGGAAAAAAAAAGTGTGAACCTGAAGAAACAAAATAAACATTTAGGAAATTCTACAAATTCCATGTAGATAAAAATAAGATACTCATAAGCATGCACATCAAGGTAAAATACTGAAAGCTAAAGCCAAGGAGAAAACCTTGAAAATATGCAAGAAACAATATACACCATTTGAAAGGGATAGTCAAGAAGATTAACTGCCTACAACCTGAATTTTAGTTTGGCAGTTTTAGTGATTCTGAAAAGAAAACCAAAGGATAAGATTCTAAGGTCATGAAATATTTGCCTGTTTTACTCTACCTTGTCTATATTGAGATGTCATTTATTTACTCCTGAAAATCGAGAATATCAGTTGATACTCTTGGTTAATCAATAGTTTTATCAATGAAGTATATACTTTTGGCTTTCTATCGATGTCACCCCGGTTATTTGTTAATTACACATTGAAGTCAGCTGCACATCTACCTTGGAAGACATTTACGTAAAAAGCTTGTAATAGTTTCATTAACAATGTCTGCTTTTCTTATCCCCACACCAACATCATACTGGCTGACATAGTATAAAGAACAGGTGTTTCTTATTTATCTTCACCAAAGATGGCTTTGTCCTGTGGATAAAAGTAGAATAAACATATTTGAGAAGCCTTACTGAGGAAAAGGCCATGTGAAACCCTGACACAGACTAAACTTTCCTCCACATTAGAGGAGAAATTCTGAGAGGAAATTCTTGGGACTACCACTTTCAGAACAAAGCTGAAATTATCCGACTATTTTGGGAAACTTTTGGTGATTTCCTTGGACATTTAATTTTATTTATTTTTTTTTTGCATTACCAAAATCTTAATGTTTCCTATAGATCTCCTGGTTTTCCTTTATATTTCATATGGAAAGAACTGTTAGCACTTGCATAGCCATCCTATTCCCAACATTTAAACATCTGTCTGAGTCACAGAGCTGTTGGGCATTTGGGGTTACTCTGCTTTGTAGCAGCTCTCTCCATTAAAGAGGAAAAAAAAGGTATTATGCAGAAGCCTGAAAGGAATGGATTCACAAAACATTTGTATGTTAGTACAACCCACTAGCCTGCTTCTTCTTTCTCCCCAAATTCTAACTGACAATAGTAGTTATTGTTATTTACAGTTTAAAATTATGAATGCAAAAATAGCAGAGCATTTGTAGTGAATTAAAGAATTCAAAACACAAGTGTCTTATGTCTTCTGTTATATTGATTGAGTTTGATTATATAATTACAGAAACTACTGTGAAGGACAGAAATGGTAGGTATTTGATAAAGGGAAAATGAATTGTTATAAGAAAGACAAAGTGTGTGATTAAAGATGAGGTTTGAGAGGTGCAGCAATTTTGAACAACAGCAATACCCAAGGCGTGACAACAGAAGTGCAACCAAGTTATGGGGTTTAAGGATTTAGCCAACCATAAATTAAAGAAATTAATCACGGAGATATATATGTGTGTGTGTGTGTGTGTGTGTGTGTGTGCGCGCGTGCGTGTGTGTCATTATTACAAGGCATAGACTACAGCTTAAGAGTAAGGGAAGCTTTTGAAGAATTTGAAGAAAATTGAATAATATCATGAAGTTCTTTAGAATACTGACAAGTAGACAAGACTTTTAAAAAAAAATCCGATGTAACAATCTCTTGAACAAGTTTTCTTTAGCTCACTGTGATCCTCAAGTTAAAAAATGAAGTTAAACTTCTTTACAAAGGTAATATTTTATTTTTTTTATACTTACATGTATCTCCTTCTTCTGACAGTGACCTGCTTCTCAAGGGCTCTTAATGTCACTTGTCACTTAGAGTTCATGTTACTGAGTTGGCTGAAAGTCATGTTCAATTTTCACAACCTCTTTATTAATAATCAGTGTGTATCTCAAGAGACAAATCCTCATACCTGCTCTAATTTTTTTTAAAAGCTAATGCCTTTTATATCCATTGCAAAAGCAAGTCATTTAGGAGAGAAAAAGCTATCTAATTGTTTTAGCCAATTTAAATTAAATTGAAATGCCTTTATATGAAACTCTGGCAGAATGTGCTTTGAAATATGAAGGTGCTTCAACTTAAAGCATGGGGTTAGTTTGAAGAAATGCCAACATATCGTCTGATTTCCATTCATCAGTAAAATTCTAAGTTCCTTTTTGCCTTTTAAACCTATAACCCCATGATTCATAATTCTACATGGTTTTCCTTATTTTCTTTGTTAAAATAATTTGTTCACCAGGTAGTATCAATAACTGAAAATAAAACTGCAAAGTAGTCAGTTCATTCCATGAAAAATTATATGTATTTTGCAATGTAGAAGATTCAGGGGCTTTGGTAGATATATAAATATATCTTCATTTGTGAGGTATCAATGTAAATAACAGTATAAAAGCTCCCTTAATTTTCCTCCAAATGTATTTTTTTTCTCTCTGAGAATCATTAAATACATGTTGGAATGTTTTGAAAAGCAGGAGGAATGTAGATTTTACTTGGGAAAGAGAATGAAGACTCTGACTGGTTTGTTTTTGTTTTGTTTTGTGATATAGAGTCTCGCTCTGTCACTCAGGCTGGAGTGTGGTGGTGCAATCTCAGCTTGCTGCAACTTCTGCCTCTTGTGTTCAAGTGATTCTTCTGCCTCAGCCTCCCCAGTAGCTGGGATTACAGGCACCTGCCCCCACCCTCTAATTTTTGTATTTTTAGTAGAGACGAGGTTTTACCATGTTGGCCAGACTGGTCTCGAACTGCTGACCTCAAGTGATCTGCCTGCCTCGGCCTCCCAAATCTAATTTTTGTTTGTTTGTTTAAACATAACAAAATAATGAATAGTTTACTTGGAAAATTAGTTGGCATTTAGAATAGCCCAGAGTCTTAGAGAGAGCATACGTTTTCTGAAGGTTATAATTACATTATCAACAGTTATAACAATCATAACACTAACTTATTGAATTATGTGTCAGGAATTATGCCAAGTACTTTATATGCATAAGTCTAATTTAATATTCTGCAAATCTGTGCTTAAGATATTACCCCAACTTGCTGTTCAGAAAACTGAGTCTACTAGAAGTAAAGCAAAATATCCAATATTTCACAAGAGCATTAGGAGACTTAAAATCCAAACTCAATTATCATATTGTAGCACTTGCTCTTAAAAACTATATTATACTACTTCCTAGTAAAAATTATTGGTACAGTCTTGTGCTGGAATATTAAAAAGAGGTACATGTCAACTAAAGACATACATTTAAATCTCTGTTTTTACCTCCTGGCTAATTTTGCTTACACAGCAATTTAATTATCAATTTGATTCTACAGAGAGATTATGCCCCCTGTAATCCATGCCTATTGGCCTGTCTGTTGTTAATGTAAAAATAAAAAATATGTTTTTCAAAGAATAAATATATTATGTTCTTGAAACTATCTTTGAAAACAATGTTTGAAAACAGTCTCTAATTATTCATTAGGAAAACTGAGCAGAAAACTAAGTACATGTTTTTCATTAAAAATATATATATTCAGTTAAAAACCATTATTTTGATATAATTTATTTGTAAAATATATCTAAAAGCTTATGCAGAAAATAGTGATTTCATCCAAAGGGAATTATGTTTTTAAAAGTATCGTAAAATTATCATCTTAATACAAGCCTACAGTTATTTGTTTTTAGTTTCTTTCATTTAAACTTTTAATGATTGCCATTCTAACTGCTGTGAGATGATATCTCATTGTGGTTTTGATTTGCATTTCTCTGATGGCCAGTGATGATTAGCATTTTTTCATGTGTCTGTTGGCTGCATAAATGTCTTCTTTTGAGAAGTGTCTGTTCATATCCTTGGCCCACTTTTTGATGGGGTTGTTTTTTTCTTGTAAATTTGTTTGAGTTCTTTGTAGATTCTGGATATTAGCCCTTTGTCAGATGAGTAGATTGCAAAAATTTTCTCCCATTCTGTAAGTTGCCTGTTCATTTTGATGGTAGTTTCTTTTGCTGTGCAGAAGCTCTGTAGTTTAGTTATATCCCATTTGTCAATTTAGGCTTCTGTTGCCATTGCTTTCGGTGTTCTAGACATGAAGTCCTTGCACATGCCTATGTCCTGAATGGTATTGCCCAGGTTTTCTTCTAGGGTTTTTATAGTTTTAGGTCTAACATTTAAGTCTTTAATCCATCTTGAATTAATTTTTGTGTAAGGTGTAAGGAAGGGATCCAGTTTCAGCTTTCTCCATATGGCTAGCCAGTTTTTCCAGCACCATTTGTTAAATAGGAAATCCTTTCCCCATTTCTTGTTTTTGTCAGGTTTGTCAAAGATCGCATAGTTGTAGATGTGTGGTATTATAAACAACAGGTGCTGGAAAGGATGTGGAGAAATAGGAACACTTTTACACTGTTGGTGGGACTGTAAACTAGTTCAACCACTGTGGAAGACAGTGTGGCGATTCCTCAGGGATCTAGAACTAGAAATGCCATTTGACCCAGCCATCCCATTACTGGGTATATACCCAAAGGATTATAAGTCATGCTGCTATAAAGACACATGCACACATATGTTTATTGCGGCACTACTCACAATAGCAAAGACTTTGAACCAACCCAAATGTCCATCAATGATAGATTGGATTAAGAAAATGTGGCACATATACACCATGGAATACTATGCAGCCATAAAAAATGATGAGTTCATGTCCTTTGTAGGGACATGGATGAAGCTGGAAACCATTATTTTCAGCAAACTATCGCAAGGACAAAAAACCAAACACCGCATGTTCTCACTCACAGGTGGCAATTGAACAATGAGAACACTTAGACACAGGAAGGGGAACATCACACACCAGGGCCTATTGTGGGGTGGGGGGAGGGGGGAGGGATAGCATTACGAGATATACCTAATGTAAATGACAAGTTAATGGGTGCAGCACACCAACATGGCACATGTATATATATGTAACAAACCTGCACATTGTGCACACATACCCCAGAACTTAAAGTATTATATATATATATATAAAATATATATATATATATATATATATAAACTTTTAAGATATATTCAGGGTTTTTAAAAGTTCTTTTATTTTTTGAAGTGAAAAATAATAACTGAGTTTGCGTAGGCGTGTTTTTGAATCTTTCTCAATTAAACATGGTTAAGAGCTTGAAAATATTCTGAGTGCTCCCTTTCTTTCATGAAGACATTTTAATGATAAAATCTCTAACTAATCAATTCCTTATCCCATCATATTTTTTTCTGCTTTTCAAGAAGTATGACAACTAAAGCCTTTCCTCAATAACTTTTCCTAATTTTATTTCAAGCTTACATGTGTTTAGTTTAAGCTGTTTCAATTGCTAACAAATTACCACAAAAATAGCAACTTAAAATAGCAATTGTTCATTATCTTATAGTTTATGTGGTAAAATGTCTAAGCATGGCATAGCTGGTTCCTCTACTTAGCATCCCATAAGACTTCAATCAAAGGTGTCAGTCAGGTTGCATTCTCATCTGGAGGCTCTGGGAGGAAATAATTGACCTCTATGCTCGCTCAGTATATTGAAAGAAGTCATTTTCTTTAACTGTATGTCTGAAGGGCCCAGCTTCTTGCAACTGGGGTTTCAGACCTGCCTAAGCTCATGGGGGCTGCTTGTGGTTCCTTGCCCTATGGGCCCTCCCAACGTGGCTACTTCACCACTTCAGCAAGGATAGCCTCTCTTACATGTCCACTAGCAAGATGGAGCCGTACATAGCAGAACATAATCATGGAGGAGACATTCATCACTTTTTCTTTATTCTATTGGTTGAAAGCAAATCACAGGTCCTGCTCCTATAATAGCATGAGCACTGGGAGGCAGAGATCATGAGTGGCTGATTTAGAATTTCTGTCCATTACATTAAGCACAAATAAACAAACCTTCTGAAGACATCTTTAAATATATTCTCCTAGATATTTAAGAGGTAATGAGAACTTGTTTAGTGCCTAGGATGAAAAAAAGTCGTGCCTAGGATGAAAAAAAGTCATACCTAGGTGATGCCAAATAGAGGACAGATATATTTTTAAATGTTAGCCTTGAGCATTCTTGTGTTTACCACAACCATTCTGTGTAAGTTTATTATAGACATAATAAAGCAACACACTTTTGTTGCTTGACTTGCAAAATGGTAGAATTTTAAAACTATACTTGTTGGGAACATGTGTCTAGTAAAATCTTTAACAGTGAACATTTGCGAATGAACAAATCAATGACTGACTGGCTGACCAACTGAATACATTAACTTTTTAAAAAAGCAATTATCTTAGGGGACACAGGCACACATATTCATTCTCCTGCCTGACATGCACACAACTAAACAAAGATGATTTGTAGATTTTCATAATTACTAAATAGGTTCTACAAAAAGCCCTAATTTGGATTTTCTAGTATTAAGCACCTGTTTAATTTTTATTACTCATTTAACTTGAAATCTACAAGGGGAAGAAAAAGCCTAAGATGATCAGATCTAGAACATTACATGAAAATATGATAAGGAGGGGAAAAATTAAAAGGAAAAAAAGACTTAGAATATAAGGACAAGCAATACTTCCTGACTTCCTGAAGATCTGTCATGATGAAAAGATAAAGGAGCCAAAGTCCTTTCTATATTGCTATCTGAGGAAAGGATTAGGGGATTATGATGATTGTGGAAAACAAAAACAAAATAACAGCACCAGTGAAATGTGCTAAGGAAAAAGAAGAGATAATATGAAAAAAAATCCCGTAATTATTACGGAAGACCACTTATTTCTTACTAAAATTCTTAAGGTTTTACAATTTTATATCAGAGAAGTAATTTATTGTGAGCCTTTGGTCACAATATTTTTATTAACTGGTTATTACATAGCTTTGTTTTGTGCGTGTTTCTATTTGAAGACACCTATATTTAAAGACACATATTTTCTCTGTAATATTGCAGTCCTCTTGTGATTAAAACACTAGACATTACTTCAGCGCTACATGTAGGGGCAATTTTAAACAGTGAAATTACTAAAGCAAAACAGAAAATTACACAAAGAATGACACTAAATATACCACCAAAAGTACACTGCATTTCCTATGAGAGTTGAACCAAAAAGGCAGAGTATTCCCTTGTTCTACTTATGTGGTAATGTGTGCATAGGGTGACATAAATGTTTCATCACTCTGTACCTTCAATGACCACAAAAGTGACATGAGTAAAAATTTGGAGGATAAAAATAATTGTCAGCCTGCAGGTGAATTCACAAATATAGAATCCATGCATACTGTATCAACTGTATTTCTGATTTAATTTTGTCATCTTTTCCTCCCAGGTCTATGAAGAATACTATAATAATCATCTCTCAGGGTTTATAATTCTACTAATAAATATTTATTTTAAATATTAATAGAAGAAAAATAAATATAATTCCTTTTCACCAGTAAAAAACTTAAAATCTATGTAAATAGATCTTGATTTCAGTGAAATGCAACATTAGAAAGCTATTATTTTCAAGACTAACATATTATAGAAAGAAACTTTATACCATGTTAGATCTCTAATACAGTATATTAATCATACATCAATAGTTGTATAAAAATCACTGAAATTTAGTAGCTTAAAAATATTATCCTATACAGTCTTTAAGTTAGTAGTTTAGCAGAATGGTTCTTGCTCAAGTTATTTGATAAGTCATCTCAAGGCCTGAATGAAACTGGAGAATTACCTTCCACTCACTCACTTGGTTGTTAGCTGAAGATCTTGATTCCTCTCGGCTCTTGGTAGGTGGATTCTGATTCCCCAACAGGGACTCTCCATGGAGGACATGGTGACTATCATTAAGCAGGTGATAAGAGAGCAAGAGAGACAAAATATATACATGCCTTGCATAACCTAACATCACGAGTGACATATCATTATTGTTACCTTCTTTTGGTTACACAGACTGAACATATTATCATATGGGAGGAGCCTACAAAAGAATTTGAACATAAACAACACCAGGATCAATGGGGGATGCCTTGGAGGGTGGATATCAAATATAGATTTTGTTCAACAACCTTTTCAATAGTTCAGCTAGAAACCTTATGCTCAGGTGAGAACAGAAATGTCTACAAAGCATATCTACCATACAGAATAAAAAATTTAGAGTTAAAAGAAATATGTTCTGAGTAGATTTATGATATGTTCTGTAAAGATTTCATGTAGTATATTGGGGTAGTTTTGTCATTCACTCAGAAAAAAGTCAAACAACTAAATATCATAATTTTTATAATAATCTGTATTTACTGCTGATGTACAAATGATGCTTTATTAATGTATAGTTCTAAAATTGCATTCAATTTCATATATATATAAAGAGAAAGAGAGACAGAGAAAGAAAGAGACAGACAGGCAGAGATAGAGAGAGCTTTTTATGTCTCTTGGTCACAGAATATCAGGGCACTACTAATGTAAAAAAATACACTAATATTCTAGATCTAATTCATGTTTGTGTATTTAATATAAACTGTTTAAAGTATTATTACATCATGATGACAATATAATTCAGATCCATTCATATTTGCTATATTACAGATAATTGATAAATTTAATTTAGAAAAACATTTTAATAGTAATCTTTCAAAAGCACTTTCATAGATCATCATATATAGATCCTCTTATACAAAGTAAATCATATTAATTCATTTATGCATCCACTTAGCAATCAATTTTAAAGTGCCTACTATCTGTCAGATACAGTTCTAAGAACTGAAAATGTGGCAGTGAATAAAATAGATGAAAATTGCTGCCCTCATGTAGTTTTGTTCTAGTGAGAAGAGAGGAGTAATAAGCACGTTAATAAGTAAAAGTTACTTGGCCCAAACTAAAGTCAAAAGGTAAAAAAGATACTGTTAGAGATAGGTGAAATTTTAACCAAATTGTTGCGCAAGACTATCAAAGGAAACACCCTTAAGATCAGAGGAGAGGAGTGAGAAGTAACTTTCCAGACATGTAACAGGTTAACGTTACATCGAAGAGACTCTTTGGCGGGAACAGAGTAAACAAGAGAGAAAAATTGGAAATAAAGTCAGAACTGGATGTTCACCTTATGTTGTAGGACACTATCAACTATTTCTTTATTTTTCTTTTTGTTTCAGAGTGAGAAGAGAGCCATTTTGTGGAAGGGGGGACATAAAACAAAGCAATAGTGAAAAGTCTATTAAAATATCCCTGGTGAGAGATGATGATGACCTGTGGTGTTAGTAGTAACTAATTTACATCCTCAATATAATTCCAATTAAAGCACCAACACGTTTTTGTAGAACCCAGCAGAGCGATTATGATTATTATTATGAGGGAAAAAAGTACAAAAAACAGCAAGTGTTTGAGAAGCAGAACAGGGTAAGTTCCTGTCATGTCTACTATCAATAATGATTTTGAAGACGTACTAAATTAAAGTAGTAAATTAATGCTAGATGATATAAAATTTAGCCTAATAGAATGGGTGATAGGTGTAACCTATCAAGAAGGTTTTGGATCATCTTTTATTAGAAAGGTTCTCATTATAATATGGCTTTAAATATGCATATATTTTCATGCAGTATTATATTTTATTTTGCTACAAAATTAGAACAAATACAATAAAATGTTGACATTGAATAAAATACCTGATATGTTAAAATACATTAAATTCCTGGCTATCTCTCTAATATTATTTCTCCTATTTGCATTTTGATATGCTTCATTAAGTTGGAACAAAATAAATTAATTTATAGGTAGGATAGTAGCAGTCACAATTAATCTAGATATACCAATTGGAATAGATATTTCACTTTGAGTATTGTAACGAAATCATTGAGAATTTGCTTTAGTCTATTATTTGCATTTCTAAACAATACTATTTTTATTTCAATCTTTGTGATTTGTTCACATTTATTTTCATGTCTTAAAAGACATGAAAATTTGTACTTGATTTTGGTAATGGCAGGAGGAGGTGAAATGAATAAAAAGTAAGTATTTAAAATATACTATATGTGTTTACTGTTTTATAAATACTCATTTGTTAATCTGAATAGTAAACATAATTATAACATCTTGCATTTATTAGAGACTTTATGTCAGGCACAATGCTATATATAGTATTAATGTAATCTCTTATATATGTATTTAAATCTCTTTTATTCTTGGAAATCATCATGGTTATTTTGGTTTATTAAATGAATGACATGTTAAAAAACAAGCCTTCATCTCTCTAAAAATGTCATATTAATGTACTCACATAAAGAAATAATGGAATGATTAAAAATTGACAATTTTTCTTAATGTATTTGTATATTATAAAACTGGTAGTCTGTGCACCTGCCACCAGTAATCTGCAATTATCCATTGCCTGAAAGTCTGCAATATGCTTTATAAGCCAAAAAGTAAAGCTGTTTTCAAAAGAGAACACAAAATAGAATGCAAGTTGTCACTTTCTTTGAGCAGCCATCTGTCTTAGAACTACTTTTCTGCAACTGAATATAAAAGAAATAGAATTGGCCGGGCGCGGTGGCTCACGCCTGTAATCCCAGCACTTTGGGAGGCCGAGGCGGGTGGATCATGAGGTCAAGAGATCGAGACCATCCTGGCTAACAAGGTGAAACCCCGTCTCTACTAAAAATACAAAAAATTAGCCGGGCGCGGTGGCGGGCGCCTGTAGTCCCAGCTACTCGGGAGGCTGAGGCAGGAGAATGGCGTGAACCCGGGAAGCGGAGCTTGCAGTGAGCCGAGATTGCGCCACTGCAGTCCGCAGTCCGGCCTGGGCGACAGAGCGAGACTCCGTCTCAAAAAAAAAAAAAAAAAAAAAAAAAAAAAAAAAAAAGAAATAGAATTGAGACAAATTGTCTATTCAGGATTATAGCAGGTTGTTATGATTTTAAATAATGAGATAGATGTATAAAAGTATTAACTCCAACTATCATATAGAAGATTGCTTAAATAATATACATTTAAAGTTATTAGTAACACTTTATAAAATCTTTCAGTTTGATCACAGTTTTAGAGTATAGATACACTCTTACGATTAGCATGTTATCTTTGCAAATTATCTGCATATTTGTAAAAAGCCAAATATTCAACTGCATGAGGATTGGCATTGCAATATAAGGATTGAAAGTTAGATGCGTGGTCAGAAGAATGTCATTTTCAAATAAATTGAATTGTTTGTGTAAGGGGGGCAACAAAGGCGAATGAGTAAGTGGCATTTGGTTTAAATTTATTCCACATTTTTTTTGTTTTTTTTTTTTGGTCAGATGGTGGCAATAACTGTAGCTACATCACAGGGTTTACACGATAACTGAATTAAATAATATGATTAAAATAAAAACCCTAAATTAACATTAAAAGTGCATAGAAAATATTCAATAGATATACTAAAATGAAAATAAAGAGTAAATAATAAGTTAGTGCTTACTGATTTTCTTGTTGCCAAGCTAAATTTTTCTGCATTTGGAATACATACGTTTTACATAAATAATTTTATTTTCTTTTCCAATGCAGAGGTTAACTAAAAAAATATATATTTGTAGCATACAAATAAATATGAATATACATATGTGTGTGTGTGTATGAGTACATGTGGAGTTATTGAGGTCATTTGGTTAATATAAATGATATATAAATCATAGAATACAATGAATGCAACTAAACTATTAATTACAATATTATGGCTTCACTTTGTAGTTCCTTTAACCTTTCTGTACATAGTAATGAAAGTTGGCCACACCTTGGACGTCAGTTCTATCTAGGATCCTGTGTGCAGGGGACAGATAATGACACAGTAGAGATACAATGTTCTACAGTGTTCACTCTTGAGGAGACTTTAATCCAACTGGTGAAGTAAGATAGAAATAGGTAAATGCTTCTAGAGAGCTAACAATTTGGATCCCTGAGAAAGCCAGTCTTACCTGCAGTTCAGGCTATAACCCAAGCATAAAAATGACAGATATAGACAGATTAGATAGATGATAGATAGATAGATAGATAGATAGATAGATAGATAGATGGATGATAGATAGATAGATAGATAGATAGATAGATAGATAGATAGATAGATAGATAATAGACAGACTGCGGTTTTCGCCATGAAAAGCATGGTAAAAACCACAAATACTTTTGCACCCACTCGATAGATAGATACATAGACAGAGAGATGACAGAGTAAATTCACTTCACAGCACACTTCAAATTCTCACTGAAGACATTAAAAACATACATCTTGGCTGGGCGCGGTGGCTCACGCCTGTAATCCCAGCACTTTGGGAGGCCGAGACGGGTGGATCACAAGGTCAGGAGATCGAGACCATCCTGGCTAACATGGTGAAACCCTGTCTCTACTAAAAATACAAAAAAATTAGCCGGGCGTAGTGGCGGGCGCCTGTAGTCCCAGCTACTCGGGAGGCTGAGGCAGGAGAATGGCGTGAACCCGGGAGGCGGAGCTTGCAGTGAGCCGAGATCGCGCCACTGAACTCCAGCCTGGGCGACAGAGCGAGACTCCGTCTCAAAAAAAAAAAAAAAAATTATACATCTAAATTTCTAAGTCACAGAGTCTGTTTATAGCACTGACTCTATCTTTCAAAAGTATTTTTCATGATGGTCCTCTTTTTGCTTTCTCTCATATTCTGTCTCCGTGACCTCGATAATTTTGGACTTCTCCCCGTGTATTTGGCTAGGCCTTCTTGGGGGCCCCTGTATTACACTATCCTTCTCTTCTCACTGTTCCCTACTCATAAAGGAAACCCATTACTTTCCCAGCATGTTGTTACTAACTTAAATATACCTAATTACAAAATCAACATCTCCGTTTAGACCTCTCTGAATTTCAAAACTGTATATTTAGCTGCCTACTTTGCTTTTCCACTTAGAAGTTACTAAGGAACCTTAAAGTAAACATGCTTGAAACGTGACACAGGAATTTCCCCTCTATAGCTAATAAAACTCTAGAGTACACTATTTTTTTTATTTTTATTTTTATTTTTTTGAGACTGAGTCTTGCTCTATTGCCCAGGCTGGAGTGCAGTGATGCAATCTCGGCTCACTGCCAGCTCCGCCTCCCGGGTTTACGCCATTCTCCTGCCTCAGCCTCCGGAGTAGCTGGGACTACAGGCGCCCGCCACCACGCCCGGCTAATTGTTTGCATTTTTAGTAGAGACGGGGTTTCACCGTGTTAGCCATGATGGTCTCGATCTCCTGACCTCGTGATCCGCCCCACCTCGGCCTCCCAAAGTGCTAGGATTACAGGCGTGAGCCACCGCAAGTACACAATTTTATACTCTAGGTAAAAAACAATAATTTTACCTCTAGCCATGAAGGAGGTATTATTTATTATTCTGACAGTTTTCATTTATCAGCCATTCTAGCTTCCAAATATCTATGTCCACTCACATTTCTGTATTCTAGCTAACATCACAATAACCTGAGCTAACAAAGTCTCTGACCAATGATTTAATTGTTTCCCAGTATTTCAGTGGCATCTTTCTTTCTTTTTTTTTTTTTTTTTTGTGAGACGGAGTCTCGCTCTGTTGCCCATGCCGGAGTGCAGTGGCACAAGCTTGGCTCACTGCAACCTCCGCCTCCCAGGTTCCAGTGATCCTAGCAACTCAGCTTTTCAAGTAGCTGAGATTACAGGCGCCCGCCACCACGCCCGGCTAATTTTTGTATTTTAGTGGACACGGGGTTTCACCATGTTGGCCAGGCAGTTCTCGAACTCCTGACGTCAGGTGATCCGCCTGCCTTGGCCTCCCAAAGTGCTGGCATTACAGGCGTGAGCCACCGCACCTGGCCCATTTTTTTCTCATATAAAGCATTCTCCATATTCTGGGGTTATTGTATCATAAATTTTATTCTCAAACAGAAAAAGAAAAACAAAAATGCAAAAGGCTTACTAGTGCACATAGAAAACACCTCAATTCCTTACACAATCCAGAGAAGCATTGCTTCAACACATTCACATTAGCATCTGGAAATCAGCATTGTAAACAGATACCTGTAAGGATGTTTAATACCCTAATGTGTAAAAAACATGGATATAATTGATTAGGCCTTTCATGATCCTACTTATCACATCATTGTTTTCCACACATATATTCTAAATGACTTATGCCTTTCCTTACATATATTTTTTTCTGCTTAATTTGCAAGAAATCATTTTGAAAATCCATCCCAGTTCACCTAGTAAATGTATACTTACCCTTGACATCTCAGCTTAAATAGTATTATCTTTTAAGATAAAATTCCAAGAGTTTTCTATGCTCACTGTATCCTTCATTTCACCTCTAACTCTCTTTGGAACACTTGCCGATCAGTTCACTATTTCCAATACATCACATTAACTTCTCTTTCCAGAGTCATAGCTTACATGGTGTCTGTAAAGCAAATGATATCCAAGGGAGAGGTCCCACTGCGTGGAAGATAGTAAAGAGCATGATAATGCCCACCACTAGGAGCAGCCGTTCTGGGATATCAACCGAGTGCATGGTTTGCCTGTGTCAGGGTCAACAAGAAAGACATGACTCTCATAAACACTGGAGGAGGTTCATCACATAGAAAAGAAAGCAAAACACCATGGATAGTGAGTATCAGTCCACAGCCAGTGATTCTCACCCAGCAGTCCACCAAAGAGATGGTCTACAGGCACCTTCTTGTCCTGCAGACAATACATCCCATTCCCTCTTTACCAGAAACAAACAGTAGTGGGGTTGACCAGGTAACCCTGATGCACACCCTTCAGCAGACCAAAGTACTACTTTTCAAACCTGGAACAGAGAAAGATACTAACAAACAAAGTGGTAAGCCCAGCCACAATATGTGAGCTCTCTTTACCACCGTATAAGAAAATGCTCAAGGCTGGAGACACACGTTTGTGACACAATGCGAGTGTCAGCAAGCTGCCAAGATGTATGACTGCCTTTCCCAAGAATGTCAAGAATCAAAAGTTGGTGCTAAGTTTTCACCTTTCTCAATTTCTCGATGGCATTTGGCAGAATGTATTATTTGCACAGTGACATTCTTTTCCACTTTGTTTCTGAGATAATATTTTAAACTCAATTCATTTGGATTCTACCTCGGTAAAATGACCTGCTGTAACCAACTTCTCTAAAGTAGCATCCTTGCCATTCTCTTCTAGTCCTTATAATTTATTTTCAATAAGAATACTTATATTTGCACAAATATATAAGCATAATATATTGCATAAGATAATCTAAATTCACCAGAAATGGGATTTTATTTTTATTTTTTGGTTTTATTGGGCTGTGTGTGTGTGTTTAGAAAAAATTTTGGTTTTAGTACAGTTTTAGATTTATAGAAAAACTGCAAAAATAATAAAAAAGTCCTATATACTGCAAAACTAGTTTCCTCAATTATTAACATTTTATATTAATATGACACATGTGCTACAATTAATGAACAAACACTGATACATTATCATTAACTAAAGAACATACTTTATGCAGATTATCTTAGTTTTTAACTTAACATCATTTTTCTGCTCCAGAATTATATACAAGATACCACATTACATTTGGTAGTTATGTCTCCTTAAGCTCCTTGTGACTGTGACACATTTCTTAGACTTTCCTTGTTTTGATGACAGTTATGAAGACCACTTGCCAGGTGTTTTGTAGAATGTCCCTCAACTAGTATTTGCCTTGATTTTTTTTTCTCATGATTGGACTGGGGTTATATGTTCTGGGGAGAAACACCATAGAAGTAAAGCGCCATTGTCATCCCATCACATCAAGGGTACGTACTATCTGTTAACTTGACTTTTCACTGTTGATGTTGACCATGATCACCCAGCTGACAGTGTTTGTTAAATTTAACTACCGTAAATCTATCATTTTTTTCATTGCCACTCCATATTCTTTGGACAGAAGTCACTATATGAAGCATTAATTTTCATTTAAATAGTAAGGAGTTATGCTAGAAGATGAGGTATCTTCATACATTATTTAAAATTATTCTCTTCCACATTTATGTGTTTATTCAATCATTTGTTTATATCAGTATAAACACACAGGTATTTGTTTTATCCTTTTGAAAATAATCTAGCACTACATTATTTATTTTATTCCTGTTTTGGCTTTTGGAATTGTTTTTGATAGGCTTCTGTGTTCCCTTGATGTAACCCCATCATTTGCGGGTTGTTTTTAAGGACATCCTGAACTTTTGTATGTTTATCTTTTATAATATAATCTTTAAGCTTGTTTTGCATATTCTTCCTCTTATTCCCGAATTACCCATTTCTCAAAACAACTCTGGATTCTTTTACTGAAAAATTGTATTAGAAAATAAGATCTGGGCCCTAGATGGGCTATGCCTTACTGGGGTGTTATCATCTTTGTAAATGCTTAGGTAACAGAGCAAGGAAATACACATGTGTATACTAACCTGTGTTTATATACACCTATATAAAATATTTCTATATGTCATCACCTATATATATTAAAATAAATATGAATGTATATGGATACACCCAAGACGATTATATTATTTCATTAAAATGGTTATTTCTAGTCACCTACTCTTGATTATATGTAAATTTTTACTCCAACATTGAGAGGTCTGACTCCCACCATCTGTCACACATTACTTAATTATGTGTTTCTATTATAGAAGTATAGTAGTATCTACATACATGTACAGCAGTATCATAATCATTAACTCATATCCCCATTAAAAGCAACTTTATAGAGTACGGTGCTTATGTATAGTTCCTTTTGCTCTTAATCTTTCAGTCTCTATTTATTTTCAAAGTTACTTGAATTAGCATTTTCCTCATCCCATTCAGTGAGATTGTCTTACATATACATAATATAGTTAGATCGTTTTGTTATGTTTTTTATTCTTTTCTGGACCCTCCAACCTCCAAAATTGTTTTATTTTAATTTGTGTACATTAAGGTTTACTCTTTGCATTGTAAAATTCCACAAGTTTTCACAAATGTATAATGTTTATATAATGTACCCACCATTGCAGTATCATACAGAATACATTCTCTAAAGAGTTCTGTTGTGTTGACACCATTAAAATCCTGTCCACTTTCCCCTGGCAATCACTAATCTATTTGCTGTCACTAGAGTTTTAATTTTTCCAAAAATCATATAATTGCAAACATACAGTATGTAGCATTCTCAGAGTGCTTGTTTCTTTGGGAAATGCATTTAAAGTTTGTATTTGTCAGGGTTCTCCAGAGGGACAGAACTAGTAGGACATATGTATATATGAAGGAACTTTATCAGGGAGAATGGGCTCATATGATCACAAGGTGAAGTCTCACAATAGGCCATCTGCAGGCTGGGAAAGAAAGAAGCTAGTAGTGGCTCAATCTGAGTCTAAAAACCTCAAAAGTAGGGAAGCTGACGGTGCAAGCTTCAGTCTGTGGCCGAAGGCCCAAAAATCCCTGGCAAGCCAATGGTATAAGTCCAAGAGTTCAAAGGCAAAAGAAACTGCCGTCTGATGTCCAAGAGCAGGAAGAATGGAAGGAAGCATCCGGCGCAGGAAAAGACAATAGCCAGAAGACTCAGAAAGCCAGTTTATCACACCGTCTTCTGCCTGTTTTTTCTAGCTGCCCTTGGAGCCAACTGAATGGTGCCCACCTACATTGAGGATGGTTCTTCCCCTCCCAGTCCACTGACTCAACTGTCAGTCTCCTCTGGCAACACCCTCACAGAAATACCCAGAAACAATGCTTTACTAGCTATGTAGGTATCCTTCGATCCAATAAAGTTGACACCTAATATTAACCATCACAAGGTTCATCCACATCTTTTCATGACTTGACAGCTTATTACTTTTATTTCTGAATAAAAATACATCCTGTGGATGTACCATATTTTGTTCACTCATTCATCTGCTGGAAGTTACCTTGATTGCTTTCAAGTTGTGGCAATTATAAATGAGTGTGAAGGATTTTGTGTATAGATAAGTTTTTAAATAATTTGAGTAAATACCTAACTAGGAACACAATCACTTAATTATATAAGAAGACCATGTATGTCTGTCTATGTAAGAAACTGACAAACTGTGTTCCAGAGTGGCTTTGCTATTTTTAATTTGCTCCAGCAATGAATGAGTTACTCTTATACTGCATCCTCTTTAGCAGTTAGTATTATCTTTTTTTTTTTTTTTTTTTTGAGTTAGGGAAAGTTAGCCAATCTAGCAGAATAGACATTCTAATAATGTTTAACAGTATCTCATAATTGTTTAAACTTTCAATTCCCTAATGAGAAACAATGTTAAGAATCTTTTCTGGTTGGGCACGGTGGCTCACACCTGTAACCCCAGCACTTCCGGAGGCCAAGGTGGGCGGATCACGAGGTCAGGAGATTGAGACCATCCTGGCTAACAAGGTGAAACCCCATCTCTACTAAAAATACAAAAAAAAAAAAAAAATTAGCCGGGTGTGGTGGCGGGCGCCTGTAGTCCCAGCTGCTTGGGAGGTTGAGGCAAGAGAATGGTGTGAACCTGGGAGGCGGAGCTTGCAGTGAGCCGAGATCACGCCACTGCACTCCAGCCTGAGTGACAGAGCGAGGCTCTCTCAAAAACAAATAAACAAACAAACAAACAAACAAGAATCTTTTCTTATTTTTTTTGCATGTGTGTGTGTGCGTGTGTGAGTGTGTGTGTGTATGAGAGAGAGAGTATGTGTGTTTACCCATGGTAGTTCCTAGAAGAGTCACCAGCATAAAATAGATGCTCATTAAACATTGTAAAGACTTTTCAAACCAGAATTTCATATCCAGCCAAACAAAGATTCATAAGCAAAAGAGAAATAAAATCCTTTCCATACAAGCAAATGCTGAGGGATTTTGTCACCACCAGGCCTGCTTTATAAGAGCTCCTAAAGGAAGCACTAAATATGGAAAGGAAAAACTGGTACCAGCCACTATAAAAACACACCAAAATATAAAGACCAATGACACTACGAAGAAACTGCATCAACTAATGTACAAAATAAGCAGCTAGCATCCTGATGACAGGATCAAATTCAGACATAACAATATTAACCTTAGTGGTAAACAGGCTAAATGCCCCAATAAAAAGACAGACTGGCAAACTGGAAAAAGAGTCAAGACCCATCAGTGTGCTGTATTCAGCAGACCCATCTCATGTGCAGAGACACACATAGGCTCAAAAGAAAGGGATGGAGGAATATTTACCAAGCAAATGGAAAGAAAAAAAAAGAAAAAAAAAGCAGGGGTTGCAATCTTAGTCTCTGATAAAACAGACTTTAAACAAACAAAGAACAAAAAAGACAAAGAAGGGCATTACACAATGGTAAAGGGATCAATGAAATAGAAGAGCTAACTATCCTAAATACATATGCACCCAATACAGGAGCACACAGATTCATAAAACAAGTTCTTAGAGACCTGCAGAGTTTTAGACTCCTGAACAATATTAGTGGTACATTTAAATCCCCATTGTCAGTATTAGGCAGATCAATGAGGCAGAAAATTAAGAAGGACAATCACGACTTGAACTCAGCTCTGGACCAAGAGGATCTAATAGACATCTACAGAACTCTCCACCCCAAATCAACATAATGTGCATTCTTCACAGCACCACATAGCACTTATTCTAAAATCGACCACAAAATTGAGGGTAAAACACTCATCAGCAAATGCAAATGAACAGAAATCATAACAGTCTCTCAGACCACAGTACAATCAAATTAGAACTTAGGATTAAGCAACACACTCAAAACTGCACAACTACATGGAAATCAAAAAAACTTCTCCTGAATGACTCCTGGGTAAATAACAAAATTAAGGCAGAAAAAAAGAAGTTCTTTGAAACCAGTGAGAACAAAGTGACAATGTTCCAGAATCTCTGGGAAACAGCTAAAGTAGTGTTAAGAGGGAAATTTATAGCACTAAATGCCTACATCAGAAAGCTGAAAAGATCTGAAACTGACACCCGAACATCACATTAAAAGAACTAGAGAAGCAAGAGCAAAGAAATTCAAAAGCTATCAGAAGGCAGGAAAAACTAAGATCAAACCAGAACTGAAGGGGATAAGAGACATGAAAAACCCTTCAAAAAATCAATGAATCCGGAAGATGGTTTTTTGAAAAGATTAACAAAATAGGCAGCCCACTAGATAGACTAATGAAGAATAAAAGAGAGAAGAATCAAATAGACAAAATAAAAAATGATAAAGGGGATATCACTACTGATCCCACAAAAATACAAACTCCCATCAAAGAAGAGTATAAATACCTCTACATAAATAAACTAGAAAATCTAGAAGAAATGGATACATTCCTGGACACATGCACCCTCCCAAGACTAAACCAGGAAGAAGTCGAATCCCTGAATAGGCCAGTAACATGATCTGAAATTGAGGCAGTAATTACTAGCCTATCAAACAAACAAACAAAATAAACAAACAAACAAACAAACAAAAAAACACAGGACCAGACGCATTCACAGCGGAATTATACCAGAGGTACAACAAGGAGCTGGTACCATTCCTTCTGAAACTACTCCAAAAATAGAAGGGACTCCTCCCTCACTAATCTTATGAAGCCAGCATCATTCTGATAAAAAAGTTGTGGAGAGAAGGGAATACTTATACATTGCTGGTGAAAATGTAAATTAGTTAATCCATTGTGGAAAGCAATGTGATGATTTCTCAAAGCACTTAAAACAGAACTACCATTTCACCCAGAAATCCCATTACTGGGTATATACCCAAAGGAATATAAATCAGTCATAAAGACACATGCACGTGTATGTTTACTGCAGTTCTACAAACAACAGAAAAGATAGAATCAAACTAAATGACCATCAACACTGGACTGAATAAAGCAAATGAGGGACATATATACTGTGGAATAATACTATGCAGCCATAAAAAAGAATGATATTATACCCTTTTCAGCAACATGGATGGAGCCGGAGGCCATTATCCCAAGGGAAATAACACAGGAATAGAAAACCAATTACTGCATGTTTTCACTTATAAGTGGTAGCTAAACTGACTACACATGGACACAAAAAAGGGAGCAACAGGCACTGGGGCCCACTTGAGGGTACAGGGTAGAAGGAGGTGAGCATCAAAAAACTACCTATTGATTACTATGCTTATTACATGGGTGATGCAATAATCTGTACACCAAACCTCCATGACAGGCAATTTACCTGTATAAAAAACCAGCACATGTATCCCTGAACCTAAAATAAAAGTGAAAAAATATATACAAATAAAAATAGTTTTCTTGTTCAGAAGGTCAGCATTTTATTTAATATTATAGCATAATACTGGTAGTGCAATCATGGCATGAAAAATGAGTAAGTAATATGAAACACAGTTAAATTCTCTAGAGTCAAAAACTTTATTATTTCTGTCATCCATGTCTGTCAACTGAGTATACACTGGAGACCGAAACCATGATGAAGTCAGTTAAAATCAGAAGGAAGGTTATATATCTTTATGACCTTCTTTGTCTCTTCATCTGCACTGCTGATATTTTTATGTTCCACCGCCTCTAACTCAAATGTGCTGCTTTCTTTCTAAATCCTTTCGGAATTTAAATGAATTTATCCCCTTTTTTTTTAGTCAGAACTCTCTGGGTTTCTAGTTACATAAAATCAATTCAGACTGCCTTAATATTAAAAAAAAATCTATTTTATCAGCATCTCTTATATCAAGGCTTATACTGACCCAAGGGATTTTTTATCTTTTATTTTAGATACAGCTGATTTATTTAAGCTCAGTTTTTCTTTCTCTGTCTCTCTCTCTCTCTCTCTCTCTCGCTCTTTCTGTTTCTTATGCCTCTGTGTGTCTCAACCCCCATATTTCTATTTCTTACCATATTGTCAGAGAGGTACTTCCTTAATATTGATCTCTGGTAACCATAAGGGAGACATGTTTCTTTTAGGTTCTTAATTTTATTTTTTAATTTACAAATAAACGTTGTCTATATTTGTCATGTATAGCATGGTATTTCGAAATGTGTATTTATTATATAATGGCATTTAGCTTGAGCAAAATTCCTATCTCCAAATGAGCAACTTGGTGAAGTTTACACTTCAGTGAATCACAGTGATCAAGGTGGATTATGTCTTTTGAGACTGAGGTCTAGAAAATATTTTTGTAAGGAAAATCAGGTCACTGTTAACAGAAAAAGTGAAAATGGGTATTAGGTAGACAAAAGCAATGAATATTCGCTACACTTTTACCACTGGAAGATAAAATGACCTTTTTAGTTTATTATAGATTAAACTGGTTGTTTTATTAAACTTTCTTTATCCTCATTTCTTTCTACTATAATATGTACACTAAAGCTGGCAACTTACCAGCTACTTTGAAGCAAACATTGCCCTTTCAACTCTTGGTTTTACCCACTTATTTCTCGTGTATCTCACTTCTTTATGAGTTGACTATCTCTCATTTAAATTCTAAAATTTTATTCAATTTCCATGAGTCTAGGAGACAGTAAGTTCTTTATTAAAGTTTGATATAATCCATCCAGGTTTGAGAATTCATTCCCCTCATCTAAACCACATAAAATCTATTTTTTAAACATTTAGTTGATTTTTATCACCTTAGTAACCAAAGAGAGAGTAAAAATACACTTGATATGTGGTGTATGTTGGAGAAAAAAGGAGCCCATTAATTTTGTAATCTCTTTTGAGGTTTTTTTGTTTTCAAATTTTTATAAAAACTTACTCTTGTCTAAGCCAAAGAGTTCAAGAAGGATGAACAGTTGCAAACAAATGAATCAATAAACACTTTCTCCCCCAATATATGTGTTGATAGATAGTAACTAAAGCGTATTTTAACAAATTTACTGAATATTTATGCAATATAATATTTTAAACTGAATTATTATGGAGAAATTTCTTATTTGAATATGCCAATGCCATTTAACATTTTTTATTACCAAAATTATTTTATCATTATTTTAAAAATAGTTCATCTTATTGAATATTTTTACTTTTTCAAGTTTTTTCTTATTATTTTGACTGCTTTGATGCATATTCTTTGATTTGCATGTATCTACGCATTTTCACATTTCTTCTCGATGTAAGTGTTTGCAGAAAAAGGCTCAAAATGAATTTTCTGGTGTCATTCATTTTTTCTCTCCCGGCCAATACTACACCCTTGTATTAGTCCATTTTCATGCTGCTAATTAAGACATACCTGAGACTGGGTAGTTTATAAAGAAATTATACAATAAGGAGATTAACAAAGCTAGCAAAATAAAACAAGACACCACACAATGCAAAGCAAATACATGACATTCAGGAATAATTTTACAGAAAATATTTAGTAAATTTATTTCAGCTGAGTATGTGAGGAAGACTGACAATCTCAAGGAACTACTACATATCAGGATGTTAGAAATAGAAATGAAATTTTCATTGTAACAAAATTATCTCATGAATTAACATACTGTCAACCATAAAAACTACAAAAACTGAAAAGTAGCTTTGAATTCATTGATTTCCACCCCCTTGGTAATTCAGCCAGGTCAGATTTAGAAACAGAGCCTCTTTAATTTCTTCAAGGGAGAAAAAGAAGAGATTAATGATTTTTCTATTTCAGCAATATCTCAGAATTAATGAATGGGCATTTTCTTCTAATTACATTAAGCAAACCATAAGAAGAACTCTGTGAAAATGCTCACTTAATTTATTCTACAGATGCTGTTATTCATTGTCCTCTTGGTTACCAAATTTTTGCTGAAAGAAGACTATTACAGAATATTTCTCTCATATATAATTCCAACAAGACATTTGTGTCTTTGAAACAACAGATAGAATGATATGTAATACATTTTCTGTAATTGTTCAGTTATAAGATTTAATTTAATTTTTCTTTGGATCAAAATTCAATGACAAGCCAACTTTAAAAACTAGGAGCTTCTCACATTATTGTCAATATATTGATTGTACTCCTACTTTTTATTTTCTGGGCTATTTCAGGATTAAAATATTTATTTTATGGACATATGAATATTTTGTACACTTCTTATAACATTTTTGAAAAAATAAATGAAGCAATGTGTATATATGTATATAAATAATGTTTTAAACTATTAGTGCTGTTGTGACTACCATGATGCTTTAATTAGAACTGTTTCTGCTTGTATTATTGTCACCACGGCTGATATTATTTCTAATACTATAACTGCTGATGATATAGATCCTATTGATCCATAGTTAAATCGCTGACATTTTCATTATATATGAATTCTTGATTTTATCAATTTGTTAAGCATTTATTGAAATCACTGTACTATTTTTCTTCATTATATTATTAACACAATAGACTACCTTTTCTGGTTTCCAAATTCAACATTTTTTAATACAATAAATAATTTTGTTCATGACTTTATTATTATTTTAAACTACTGCCGGATTTAATTTGCTTAAATTTTGGTTATAATCATTATACCAATATTTATGAGATATATTTGTCTGCAATTTCCCCTAAATATAATGTTGCTATTAGGTTTTCATCATCAAGAATAAACTGGATATAATTTGAAAAGTTTATGTCTCTTTCTGAGAGAAATTTAAGTGATTATTATTTATACTAGAAATATGTGAAACAAATTTCAATGAACCATCCTTCCCTGATGTATTTAATTTCTTGTATTGTTAATATGCACAAGACATTTCTAATTTTCTATGACTTCTGTATAATAATTTAAAATTTGTGTTTTATAAAGAAGGTACACATTTTATCTAAATTTATCCAATTTACTTCTCGTTGTTCTCGTATTTATCTTTATAATGCCTTTTTGATCTCCTTTTATCATGTCTGATACTAGCCTGTGTACTCTATATCCTTTTTGCTGATTCAATTTTCTATGGGATTATGAAAATTTTTGTCTTTTTTTAAAAGAGGAAATTTTGCCTTTATTGTTTTGTTTCTATGTTGTATTGATTAATGAATTGGTTAATTGGTTGATTGATTCCAGAGGCCATTCGCTATTCTTTTACCAAGCAGTTAGAGTAGGGGCAGGTTATCTTGATCCAATCTGGCACTGAGATGATTCCAAAATTTCTAAGTACTTACACTGAAAAAAACTAAAAGAGTCAGACTGAAATATGACACACAATTGATGTATGAACTGCCTACATGAAGCACACCTTGAAAGTAAGGATACAGAAAGATGTAAAGAAACAGTCCAGTTTCAATTTTTCTAAGGGGTTTATGTTTTCTTCACTCTTAAGTGAGAACTATACCTTAGAGTATAGCTCACCAGCAATTTATGCTGAAAGGCTACAGCATTTATTTTGTCTTTTCTCGTCGCCAAACATAAACTACATTTTTTTTCCCAAACCCCACATTATTCAGTATTGATAAACAATAGTGAATAATAAACTCATTTGTTTTAGCTTCCTTCCACATACTTTCTGCTCTATTTTTAACATTCTGGTGCTTCACAAGTTAGGAAAAGGATATATACATTCAGGGAAAAATTGGACTGACTTTTCTTTAGTTATATTTTCTTCAAGATACTGATTGGCATCTCAAGCTCTGATAGCATTGGAAATTCTAGAACTCCAAAAATATGTCACCAGCTCCAACATACAGCAGAATGTTCTGAGGGACCACTTTATTCTGGAACTCATAACTCCAATCTGTTTAAGAATGTGGAAATTTGTCAATGAAAAATTTAATGGAAAAAGGACAATTTGCCTAAATTCAGTGCCCCTGTGTCCATTAACTTGAGCCCTTAAATCTCTGCTGCTTTGGTTCTTTCCAATGTCTTTAAATATCAATTGTTTGAGTTTCACCTTGACTTTTTATTTTTTCTCTGCAATAGAATTTATTTGATAAAAGCTGTCATACGTTAGAAGTAGACACATTTTTCTAATTGATTAAACTGGAAATAAGATTATTTTTACAGAAATAACACTAATATTGGATTTATAGATATTTCTCATTTTTCACTATTATTATTCTTTCAGAAAAAAAGAATAGATGAGTCTAAAATTAAACTATCATTGACCTAAACATATGTATAAGTGTATGAGCTGTGTTAATTAGTCATTTTATACATTTAAAATGCATTTTCAAATGTAATACTACATTTAGGTTTTTTACTACATTCAGATTTTATTTTTATTAGATTCTTTTTTTTCCAAGCTTTAAAAGAAACCAGTAGATTATGACTATATGTGTATTTCATTGATCAATATCAAAAAGGCATCAGATTTCTCTCTGACATCACATACTTTATATCTTATAAAACAAATTTCCTACTAACGAACTTGCCCTTATTGAACATTAATTGTATTCACTGAACTGTTCTTATAATAACCTGTTATCAGTTTGGAAAGTATAGAACAACACTCACTAGAAAATGAAAATGATGGTTAACTTTGTAAATCAGTGATAATCACTATGAAATGTACAGAAAATATGCATATGTATTTCTATATTTGCCTAATACATCTATTTAGTTACATATGAAGATGTATAATTTTAAAATATGGTTTTAACATTTTAACTAATCTATTTTGTTAACCTAATAATATATTATTTACATATACAAACTAGTGTACTTTCCTTTGTATAGAATTGGTATATCACATTTATTTGAAAATCTCCCAAATTTAACAATATATAATCTCTAATGTTTGACATCATAAACACTAATGTAAATATCTTTGTAGACACAGAAAAACACCTATTCTTGTGTGTACACACACATTTGTATATTCCATGATGATATTCTAAAGATAATTTATGATTCTAGGTATACTGTAAATCTTTGATGCATTTGGAATTTATTTATTGTATGTTGTAAGGGAGAAACTATACTTAACAAAGGTTGCCAATATTTCTGATATTTTGTAATAGACTGACATTCTTACTTCTGCTTTGAAAGATAACTTCTTACAATAAATTTAAAAATAGTTTCTCTTTGCTTACATATATATATTCTTTTGCCAAAATGGCACTATTTTATTTATGATATTTTATAACACATTCTATAAATTCTAGAGCTCAATGAACCATTATTAAGCATGTATAATAAGTAGGTTATCAAAATAATTATTAAAACCCTAATGGTTATTAAAAGTTATTAGGCTATCTAAGAAAAATAAAGTAGGGAAAATAAAAGAGTGAGGCAAAAATAGCTCAGAAAGAAGTAAGGTAATTAGGAAATAAAAGGAGTGACTTTCTGGGAAAAGGGAAAAGCAAAACAGTGAGGTTGGGACAGAAAAGAGAGACCAATAAACAGTTGGGGATAAGGAGAAAGAGTTACAAAGGCTACAAGGAAGTAAAGTTCAATAACCTTTTGATTTTAACTTGAACATTGTAGAAAAGATGGTCAGTGAAAATTAATTTTTAAAAAATTAAATATCATCTTGAGACAGATGAAAATATTAGCAGACAAATTAATGTATGTTAATAATATGTGTGTGATGAACATTATTGTTGCACACTATATTTCTGGTTCTCTTTCCTGTGGACACATAGGAGAGTTTCAACTCTTCACTTTATTGAACTTAGGTGTACATAACTTGTTTTAATCAATGTCACTTATAGGTAGAAACACTTGATACCTGGTGGGTAATTCTGTAGGTTTTCTCTGCTTGAGCAGTAGTGATTATAAATGTGGTTTTAATGTGAGGATGGTGAAATTGGAAAAGCAGAAAATAACTAGACTGTAGAGTGACTACCTGCGGGCAGTTCCCTGGAGAGGAACTAGTAACTGAAAATTTAGTGAATTATGTGTGAACAGTAAATACATTTGTATTATGCCAAGCCACTGGGATTTTGCCATATTATAGCTAACTAACAATTGAATTAAGCCTGCATTGCCTATGAATCATTTGGAAGCCTGTTCTGTTATTATGATTATGAAATATTTTAAACTGTTAAATATCCTCAAATTATACTACACTGTTATAGTTATATTTTTGGTTAAATAAATTCTTAAATATTATGAAGAAAGAACTACTGTTGGCTATCCTCCAATTTTATTTTATATTTTTACCTTCAATAACTATTATTAATAGTACTTTAATTTTAGAATTCCACATTTTAAGATGTTATATTTTATTATTAACAGAAAGAAACACATAAAACACATAAAATAATGTTGTCTCCATATTTGTAAGTTTGAAAACTCCACTTTATGTATTCACACAAACCAATTCAAATTGTTGAGAAACAGCATCAATTTGCTTATTCATGCAATGGAGCAATTAGTAAACCAAAGGTGAATTTATTAATTTGTAGTGGATATTATAAATGGTAAACATCCCAGAATACTCAATTAATTATGTTAATGCTTGTTCTTTTCTGCAGGAAGCCAAAATTACAATGATGTTTTATTAACAACTATATTATAATTAAAGACAGATCTTAATTAATTTAACCATCTTAAGATGTGATTCTGATACCTCTAAATCAATGAAGGCATGTGGTTGAATATTAGAATATTTCTAGACTGTTCATATCATTTGCTTAATGGTGCAGAAATCATACTTAAAAGACTCAGTTTATTGACTACTTTTTTAAATTGCAAGAAAATCTTCAATAAGTATATTATTACTTTTGTAAATAGACCATGAGTAGGTAACCCTGAGTCCTCAGAGATCCTCATTACATAGGCAAGTGCTTCTTGGAATGCAGAATTGCTTCTGACTCACCTACTCGGTTACCTTCTTTTAAACAACCTCAATAGGTACTACTATCTGGCCCGTCTATTATCATACCTAAATTGCTGAGAACCTTTAGAAAAAGCACAAGTAATCTTCAGTAATGCCCCAGGAATCCTACTCCACGATAAAATTCAGTTCTCTCTCATATTCTATTAATTGGTTATTCCAACATTTCTCTTGTGTTGAGACTAATTTTTGTCTCTTTACTTTCATAAAGGATATTATAACTCCTACTACTTAGAAAATGTAAATACCCAGCAATTACTCATTATTTCTTATCATCTACTATCTGTATCTGTCTTTTCCTACATTTTCCTCCTGTTTCGCTACAGAGACATGTGTCCTCATAACCAGAGTTAACTCTCTACTTCTGCCCATGTTCTACGATGCTTTGTTAAATCAATGATCTTATTCTTCAATTCTTCAACTACTCCTTCCATACTAGAGTTCATCTTTCATAATGCCAGCATATTTAAATAACTTCTCTTAAAAGGAAAGCAAACTCTATCTTCTGTAGCATCTCTGATTTTATTTCCTTGATAAAAATGTATCTATATTTTCTGCCATTAATTTCTTACTGATAACATATTATGAAAGCCAGTTTCTTTTTCTAACACAGACTTAGTGCGGTAACATTGATACTTCTCTGGTAAGTTTACCTGTGGGTCACATTTTATCAAAACAAGTGGACAATTTCTGGTTTTTATCTTATTTGCTCTATCTTTTACATTGACTAAACCGTCTTTAAAATTTCACACCACTATTACTTCTATTGCACCATTTGGGGATATTTCTATTTTTCAATGAAGTATTGTTTTTTTATTACTCTGCTGTGTATTTTTACTTAATTGTCCCTTAAATTGATGTCACTCAGACATTCATTTTTAGCTTTTAAATCTCCTTATGCCATTTCTTAATTGTCTGATTCATCATATTGTTTATTATCTTCAAGTCCCCCTTGAAATTTTTTCCTTCATTTTATTCATTTATTGACAATTTACTAAGTGCGAAGCAATCATCTATGGGATGGCAGTGCTGTCCAAACCAAAATATTCTTATCCCCAAATCCCATCCCAATCATAAAAAGTAAGTAGATTAGGATATTAAACAGTTAAAAATGCATTATTGACTACACCTTATTAGACAAATTGTATTTATTTTAAGGTAGTAAATTGTAATCTTCCCTGATATCAGTCATTTGTTCTTAAAACTATATTTGAAGTTGTTTTGAATATTGTAATAAGACTGTTAACAGCAGAGACTGCTCACTTGAGCATTTTCAACCTCGTGAAAATTTTTTTATCAGCTTTGATAAATTTAGTGAAATGTCAGCTATTCCTTTTTAGCAAAAAAAAGAAAAGAAATCATTTATGATAACATCCACAAATAATTATTTTAAAAATGTTCTCTCCACAGAACAAAATTTTAGGTAAATATTTTATCATCCATTATTTAAATTTTATTTTAAAAATTAAATTAAAGAGACATATTAGACATATTTCTCTTTCCAAAAATCCCTGCAAGTTACTGTAATACTAATAAGATTTTCATAGGAAAGTAATGGTCCACACATTTGAAATGGTTGATATTTGTGTGAAAGATAAAAATAGATGGCATTTTTAAGCTTAAAAATACTTTATAACATTCCACAAGATAATTAGAAAGCCTCTGAGCAATGAAATGTTTTCTCCACTTTCCTATCTCGTTTCAGTTAAAAAATAATATTGTAAATATTTTGTTTAAACAAAACCCACAGAAACCACATTGGAGGGTTAGAATGGGCTAAATATTAAATATTGATAAATACAATTACACACTTATTTTTTATAGGTAAACAGTAGTCTTGTTACATTCCTTCCCTACTCAGTGGGTTTCTTTGCATATCTGCTGAGGGAAGACATGCTCTAAACGCTGTCATGGTGTTTGGTAAACTTAAGTCTCAGCATACTATTTTAAGATTTTTAAATAGCTTAAGAATTTCCAAATTGTTTGGGCAATATAGTTAATCTCTTTAGCTTGGCAAATAAAGATGCCAACCATATGGCCATATATATATGTGTGTGTGTGTGTGTGTGTGTGTATATATATATATATATATATGTATGTATGTGTATATATATGTATGTATATATATGTGTGTATATATGTATGTATATATATGTGTGTGTGTATATATATATGAGTTTGTTTTCTTTTTAAGAGAAGTTATTTAAATATGCTGGAATTATGAAAGATAAACTCTAGTATGGAAGGAGTAGTTGAAGAATTGAAGGATAGGAAGATCATTGATTTAACAAGGCATCATAGAACATTGGCAGAATATATATATATATATATGTATATATATTTTTTTCATCTTGTTTCTACTGACCTTTCTAAAGTGTATCTCTAAATCTTTTCACATACCAAGTTCCTTGCAGTTTCCCCAAAAACTCTTATACTTCTATGTATCTTTATATGCCCTTTGCTCTTCCAATAACTCTTCCTGACCCAAGACTTATTTCACCTAGCTACTTCTCACATTTAGTGAACTGTTCAAGCATCTACATTCTTCTAGGAGACATTCCATGATAGCTGGATATGAGTGCAATGTTCATGCTTTGCCTTTTTGGCTCTCTGGAACATCTGTAACAACACTTTCACATTGAAATTTAGTAACTGATCTACTATATCTTATCTCCTACCTTTTAACAAAGTGCCTAAAACATATCTGTTTTTCAACAAATGTAAATGTCTCTCCATTCCACATGTATTTATGTTTTGTATTCATTCTTAGAAAATTATAGTGTCCTAATAATTAAGAGGATGATAATTTTCCTAATCTAATTCTCAGTGTTTAGAATTGTTAACTCTTATCTTATGTATAACAAGAAAAATATTGAGAGTAAATTATAAAAACTAGCAAACTTATTTTTTAATTATCTTTCTCAAATTGCATACAATAATTTTTAGGAGCACTGCATTAGATTATCAGATTGAGGTTTACCCTTGGCACAAGAAGTACATATCATAGTTTATAAAACTACAGTAAAGTCAGTATCATTCCCTTTAAACATCTGCTTAACTATATGTCCATATTTAATAAATAAATGAATTATAATTTTGAATGCCTAATCCTTTTTGAATCACCTACATATTAGTTGAAAATATGACCTCTCTTTGCATAGTTTTATGTGGCCTTTTTCCAACACACATAAACACAGATACAGAGTTATTTTACTATTATCTCGACCCTCTCTTAGCATAATTATGTTTCAGTTTCACTAAGAAAAAAATAATTTCATCAGAGAATTTCTTGATGTGTATTAGAACTTGTTACTGTACTACATTCAGTCTTGTCTGAACTGGCCTGAAAAATTTCTTATTCTTTTATCAAGATACAAGTAACAAAATATCAATAAAAATAGGGCTGACTCAATGTTTTCCATTTTATGTGCTTATTCTGAATTTACAGCTCAAGGCTTTCTTCTTGTCACAGAACTATGCAATCTTGTTTGTTTTTATTTTTTCCTCAGTGTTCCTGTGTCTAAAAATAATTTGTAAAGCACTATAACTGTGTTGATGAGAATGTGTATTATATATATATTGAATTTGTGTATATATATACATAAAATATTTTTGTATATGTATATACTACATATATAGAATATACATAGTGTATATATACATATAATAGTCTCCTAATTTGCCACTAGTGACCACCAATGCCACTAATAACCAGATGTAACATTTTAAAATATATATAAACACTATATAAATTCTCCATATTTTTATATATAATATATATGTATTATAAAATATTACATTTATATAACTATAAATATATTACAAAGATTTTGTTTTCTATATATACATGATATATATATATTTTGTATTTGGCATATATTTGTAATATTATGAGAAGTGCAATATGTTATTAGGATAAGTAATTTGGATATACTTTTTTATCTGAGCCAGAAAACACTCTATACCAAATTTATAAAATCATACTCTAAACTATATACTTTATTATCAAATTTGAGTTATTTATATTTGCGTGTTTCTCTGACATGCTGTGGTTTACATATCAACTTTATTATATAATTATGTGAGAAAGCTATAACATCTTTAAAATATTAAACACAGAACTCTTTTATGTCTAATATTTGATCACTGTGTTATCCTTCATAGATGCTGAGATCTTAACTCAGGGAGAAAATGTTATTGCAATTTTTTGAGTGTCAAAAAATGCCAGGTGTTAGAAGTTTTTCCTGATAAATTGGATTCTCTATTTCTACAATTCCATGAATCACACTATTTTTTCACCCTTACTGACATAGTTTGTGATAGATATCCTATTTTTTGTTGTGCTTTTGCTTCTTTTTCTTTTCCTTCCTTAATACCTTTAAGACAGGTTTCTGAGTCAATGAGTCATGAAACTAAAGTGTCTACTTCTGATCTAACATACGATTTGCCTGTTGTAGTCTGGCCAATTTAGTATTCAACTCTTACAAAATCCTCATGAAGAAGTCATTTTGCACACTTGAATAACATGCATCTCAGCTCTCTCTTGGAATATCTTACAGCTTTACTTTCAGTGTGGAATGCAATTTGTTCCTGAGCATTAGTTCTTGGATTTTATTTTCAACATATTGGCATGCTTTCAATACCAGGGCTAAGTTCTATCCCTACCCCCCATCTAAGGATGTAAATAAATGACATTCAGAATAAAAAGAGAAATCCAGTTCACAGTTACTACATATTTCATATGGTTTAATTCTACAGTTTGTCTAGCATTTGTTTCTGATAATGGCATTAATGAGAACTTGGAACAAGAGAATGTTACATGTCTAATATAATATCAAACTCAGAATAACAGGACATAGTCTGAAGTCTCCTAACTTTAAAGATAGCCTCTTTGATCCAATTCGTCATTAATAAACAGAATTCAGATATTTTTAGACATATTTATTTGTCCACTATGCTTATGAAATCATATAATTTTATATAACTTATTTTTATAATATTCATAATGTGTTTTTCATTTGTTCAAATATTCTCTATAAATTTGCTATTTCACAATAACTCTATGAATTATTAATATAGTAACATCTTAGTGGCACAAAACAATGACCATTTTATTTTGTTCGTGAAATCTGTGGGTCACTTAGGAAGAAATGAATGGCTCCGGGCTGAAATCATTGATACTAGAGGATCCACTTTAAACACAGGTCTTTCAATTATGTGTCTGTCATCTGGGCTGAGAAGGCTGGAAAATTGGTTTATCTGGGACTCCTAGACTGAAAGGAACATGTAGCCAATCCATTTAGGTTGGATGTCGCACAACATGCGTTCTGAGTTTTAAAATGGCATAGCCAGCAAAGGAGCCTGGAGATAGTGAGAATATCAAGACAACCAGGTGAAAGCTACATGCCATTTGTGAGAGCCTCAGAAGCCATTGAGCAACACTACACCATGACCCATTGTTTAAAGCAATTGGAAGCCAACTCTGATTCAACTGTATGGGATCAAGAACTCACAGATTCAAATATAATATATATATCTATGATCTGCATATTTGAAATACTCAGAAGCTAGATGCTATAGTCCTATTTTTTTTTTTTCAGATGAGGGAAATTGTACCTAGAGATTTTACAGGACTTCTGTAAGTCTATTAGACAAGTAAAGTTAACACCTTCATTTGAAATTCTGATATATTCAGCTCCAAACCCTATTTTCTTTCAGAAAAATAAGGTTCAGAGAGGTAAAATAATTGTCAGAAATTGTACAGATAGCATTACAACCCACTCACTATATGATATAGACACCTTATTCAAGAGAAAACAAAGCAAATATACCTGTAAGATATAGAGTAATTTTCAGTTTCTAGGCTATAATGTACCACAATCATTTCTTACATATGTATCTTGTATGAACTGTTCCTGCAGGACTCTCAGACCAACACTAATCATATTTTTTATTATTTAAATTAAATTACAACGGACTCTGCCACTAATGACCAGATGCAGCAAGTCTGTTATCATCGTCTTGAGGATCTTCTATCCTTTACACAGTTGATGAAGCTAGCTTCAAAATGGTTCAAAATTATAGCCTTATTTCTATTCCAAAAGGGTAGCATTGCCTAGGGCTTCTCACTGCTGCATGCCTGCTACTACTTTTTTCATCCACATGAATCTACTATATCAAGTACTCATTCTGTAATGTGTCTCTAGAAATACCACTATCTGGTCATTGAATTGCAGCTTTGCATGAAAATTTGAAGAATTTTTCAGGTTATTTTCTCTGATTTACATTTCTGTATTTTCTGTTTTGCTAACTCTATTGTATTCAATAATCAAAAATTGATATTAATATACTTGAACATGAATTGAATGATAATCTGGCATAATCTTTGAAGCCACATGAAGGAACTTTTTTCAATCTTTAGAAACACTCGGTAGAACAAAGAAAGTAAAATATCAATCATCAGCCAATGACTACTTTGTGGATACAAATTTTAATTTAAAATCACATCGAAGTGATCAATAGATTGCAAGCAATCTAAAACAAGCTTAATTTTCCAAAATCTATCAGCCAAAAGAGATATAATCAAAGAAACAACGTAATGATTAAATTAAGTTTTGAAAATACCTTTGCTTTGAGTTCTCACTCATTCTTCATTATATATTTTGACCTACTGATGTCTTTCAAACTCTTGATGTCTCACAGGTGACATATAATTTCTGTTAGTGATATTTAAAGACTATTTCAATTTTTTCCTCATTTTTCTTTGCTCTCACTTCAAGAAAATGTTCCTTTCTTATCTGGCACTAAGAGGATAAGGATATTGTCCACTTATCATTAAGACTTCTATGTTAGCAACAAATTGTGGCATTTGCTATGTCCCATTGATTTTTGTTCTTTCATTACTATGAGGTAATCAAAAGTAGAATACCTAAAAAAATTACTCTCATCAATAAAAATTTTACATGGGATCAATAATAAGTGAGAAGATCAATTTATTACTAAATATCTGTGAGGCATGCTTAGAGGACTTTGAAAATTTTAGCACTCAGAATGTACAATCTTCACTGATCATAAACAATATTATATAGCCTACATTAATAAAAATTTAAGAAATGAGAATACTAGGTTGGGAAATAAAACCCACTAGTCTGCTTTACATTTTCTTCTTCTTTATAAAGGCTATTTCTCCAATACCCTTTATAAATTCAAAGATTCTTATAGAATGTATCTAATTGATACTAATTTCAGAATCATTGTTAAAATAGTGTTCTTAATTCCATATTACACAGATTTGATTTTATAATACTTAGAAAAAATTAGGCCGGGCGCGGTGGCTCACGCCTGTAATCCCAGCACTTCGGGAGGCCGAGGCGGGCGGATCACGAGGTCAGGAGATCGAGACCATCCGGCTAAAACGGTGAAACCCCGTCTCTACTAAAAATACAAAAAATTAGCCGGGCGTAGTGGCGGGCGCCTGTAGTCCCAGCTACTTGGGAGGCTGAGGCAGGAGAATGGCGTGAACCCGGGAGGCGGAGCTTGCAGTGAGCCGAGATCCCGCCACTGCACTCCAGCCTGGGCGACAGAGCGAGACTCCGTCTCAAAAAAAAAAAAAAAAAATTAGTATTGCATCATATAGTGCTAAAGGTTTAAAGTCTACTCTGCTTAAAATCAGATGCTTACCAACATACAGTAAGAGTAATAAATGGCAATGTATTTTATTAAAACATTATGATTCCCTTGGAGTTAAACACTCAGTATTTCAATTTCGTTAGTAGAAAAAAAATACAAAATTAACAGTGAAGTCTACTGTGTAAAATCACTTTTCAGCTGGGCGTGGTGGCACACGCCTGTCATCCCAGCACTTTGGGAAGCTGAGGCAGGCAAATCACGAGGTCACGAGTTCGAGTCCAGCCTGACCAATATAGTGAAAACCCGTCTCTACTAAAAATATACCCCCAGCCGGGGGTGGTGGCACGTGCCTGTAATCCCAACTACGTGGAAGGCTGAGGCAGGAGAATCACTTGAACTCCAGAGGTGGAGGTTGCAGTGAGGCGAGATGGCACCATTGCACCCCAGCCAGGGCAACAGTGCGAGACTCCGTCTAAAAAAAAAAAAAAAAATTGCTTTCCACATTTTTATCAAACCAACTCAAGTAATATTCATATTATCTAGAAATTAATGTTTCTTTTTTCTTTTTTTTTTTTTGAGACGGAGTCTCGCTCTGTTGCCCAGTCAGGAGTGCAGTGGTGAGATCTCCGCTCACTGCAACCGCTGCCCACTGGGTTCAAGTGATTCTCCAACCTTAGTCTCCCACGTAGCTGGGGTTACAGGCACGTCCCATCACGCCTGGCTAATTTTTGTATTTTTAGTAGAGACAGGGTTTCACCGCGTTGGCCAGGCTGGTTTCTGTTTCCCGATCCCAAGTGATCTACCTGCCTCAGCCTGCCAAAGTGCTGGGATTACAGGCATGAGCCACTGTGGCCAGCTGAATTTGATGTTTCTTAATGTGCGTTACAATAAAGTATTTTTTAGTCCATGTTAAATCTAATAGTTATCTTTTTCTTGGTTTCTACCCAAGTACCTCATAGAAAATTGAAAACAGCAAGAAGCCATGAAAGTACAATCTCATGTATGTAAATTATGTGTGCATACTTTACAATTTTTGCACATAACTGGTTACTCATTCTTAAAGATTCAAGAGTCTAAAAACTCACTGTGCCATTTTTTAACACCTTCATCATATAACTAGTTACCATTTTCGCGTATGTATGTGATGAGAACACTTAAAATCTACCATCTTAGTAAATTTCAAATATACAACATGGTATTATTAACTATAGTTAACCATGTGCCATTTTTAAAAATCACAATCTAAATTTCGTGGACATGCACACAGATAAGCTAATGGTTTGTTAGATGTCATTTATTTAAATCTGGAAGAATGCATAATTTGACCATATGGTGAAGGACAATTTTGCCATATGTGGACAGTTAGATATGCTTTGAGGAAAGCAGGAAACTAGTCGCATATCTTAAACCACTGATAAATGGAATGCAGGTTTAAAGCCATCCCCAACAAATCAGTGTTCCTGAATTGGATAAAACATGTCCATTTAAAAGTACACATAAGTTCATTTTTCTTTGCCTAGAGAGAAAATGATGTGTATGATTTGTTTCTGGAGCCTAGAAGACTGTCATACTCAGACTCATCCTCAAAATCACAGATCAATAACAGAATCAATTTTATATGTATAATTAATCAGGTTATTAAATTCTACTCTGCAATAAAATAATGAAGATCCAAATGAGAATAAAATAGTACTTTTTCCATTCACGTCAAGGATTCTGTCATATGACATACTAATTAGTTGTCTGTACTATATTTATAAATACCACTTTTTATATAGACATTATTAGATGTTTTTCTTCTAAGGTACAAAGCAATAAACTCTACTCCATGGTAAGTACTTATTGCATAATAGTCCCTTTCTTGTCCCTTAAAAATAAATATTACACGTTGTTAGCAACTAAAGGTATCCTCTCAATATTCCCTTCCAATGCTTATTCAATAAAACATTAATCTATATATTGCTGTAAAAGAATTTGCAGACGCAGTTAAGGTTACTAACCAAGTGGATTTAAAATAAGGAGATGTCATACGGGTTAACGCCTTCTTATGTGTGTAATAACTGTCAATTCAATGACATGAAATGCATAATGCGTACAAAGAGCAAGAGAATATATTTTAAAAGGAATAACTGTATTGTTAAAAATGATGCAGATGGCATTTTATTGTACTTGTAGCAAGCACCGTGCTTTCAATTATTGTTTCTGGATATATATTACTATCATAACATATAATTTATTGACTTTAGGTTTATGATATTTTCAGAAAATGTGGTGCAAAGTGAAAGGCATACTATAATGCTTTCTCATTCATATTATTCCTACAGTTTCTTCCCATGATAAGTAGATTATTAATATTATGATATGCATGATTTACAACATATTGGTATTTAGATGTTCTTCAGTGTACCTTACTTGGCATGCGTTCAAACTCTTTGCCAGTCTAAGACGGTGCTGGCTTAATATAGCAGCAACTACGTACTTGTGGCTGTCTATATTTAAATTACTTACATTTAAATAAAATTAAGTATTCTGATTTTTAATTATGCCGATCACATTGCAAGTATTCAATAGCCAAATGGCTATTACTTAGGGTTACAGGCAGCAAAGATTAGTCAACATTGTCTTCAGGGATTGGACAATGTCCATTTAAGGAACGTAATTGCCTAATCAGTTTGATAATAAATACAGGCATGCAAAATACGGCCTCACACGTCCTTTTTTATAAATATAATCTACATTTAAGATAAAAATTAGTGGAGTTTATCCATGGTATTAATCATTATTTGAGACAAGTTATTTCTGCTATAACTTTAAAAAGTGCACAAAAAGGGCGGGGTGCGGTGCCTTATGCCTGTAATCCCAGCATTTTGGGAGACTGAGGCGGGCAGATCACTTGAGGCCAGGAGTTGGAGACCATTCTGGCCAACATGGCAAAACCCCATCTCTACTAAAAATAGAAAACAATTAGCCAGGCGTGGTGGCACATGCCTGTAATCCCAGCTACTCGAGAGGCTGAGGCAGGAGAATTTTTCTTGAACGCAGGAGGTGGAGGTTGCAGTGAGCCAAGATCACACCACTGCACTGCAGCCTGGGTGACAGAGCAAGACTCTGTCTTTTTTTTTTTTTTATTGTACTTTAAGTTTTAGGGTACATGTGCATAACGTGCAGGTTAGTTACATATGTATACATGTGCCATGTTGGTGTGCTGCACCCATTAACTCCTTATTTAACATTAGGTATATCTCCCAATGCTATCCCTCCCCCCTCCCCCCACCCCACAACAAAAAAAAATGCACAGTAACTTCTTCAACCAGTTAACATACATGTGTACATGTGATTCTGTGAACAAACAGAAATCAGAAGTACCAATCATTGAACTCCCAAGAAGTGGACCACAATGAAACCTTCCAGACCTTTAAGACTCAGTTTATTATATCATTTTTTAGATAAATCAATTTACTGAATATTTTTATGAGTCTTTTTTAAGCATGACAAGATGACATTTTGCCAATTAAATGGCCCTTTTTTTAAGTTACATGTATTAAATCATTAAGAATAGAAAATGTAATAACAGGAGCTTACTTACTACATCTAAAAGGGCAATTCAGTGAGATAATATACTTATATTTATGTTGCTCTAGTCAAAACCACCTACATAAAATTATCAGAATACACTATGTTGGGCACTGTGGTTACCTTTCCTAAGTCCATTCACTTTATACCACTGGGCAAAGCAAGTTGTGATTTGAAGAACTGACCTTACATCAAAAGCAAGGATTTATTGTTCCAATGACCATGAAAACCAGCAATGCCATGATTTGTTTAAGAATGCCCACATGACTCAACCTGTGCTGATGATTTCAAGGACAGGTTTACTGGAAATCTCATCAGAAAGGTTTCCCTCATGCTTATGAGAGACAACTAAGAAGCAAAATTACTTTTCTGTCCTCCAAAGAGTTCCCTTTGCTTCTCATGTCTATGAGAAGAACTGTCTTTAACATAGAGAGAAAATATGAATTTGTAAAAAAAAAAAGACACTAAATTAATTGCCACTGAAACCCACCATAGCAATTAACTTTGGTATGTAAGAATTAATGGCTTTCCTTATTGTATAAGCCAGTTTGGTTTCAATTTCTGTTAATAATGTCACCAAACATGATAACGACACCATGTATCTTCCAATTTTCTCCTTTCTTCTCTAGTCCTCATTTATTCTGCCTAGGAGGCCTATGTAACATCTTTTCCTACTTAATTACTACTCATTCATTAGATCCGACTCAAATATTTTACATCAAATTTTAGTATATGTGCTGGCAAAGGGAACACTCTACATCCATACAATATTTTCCAATGACACGGTAGAGAAACCTATACTATTTGTGAAAATTATGCATCTTTTTTTCTGTACTCTTATATTTTATTTTATTGATATATAATAGTTGTACATATTTGTGGGGTACAGGTTATATTTTTATACATGAATGCAATGTGTAACGATCAAATTAGGGTGACTGGGTTACCCATCATTACAAACATATGTTGAGACATTTCAAATCTTCTCTTCTAGTTATTTTGAAATATCCTATCAATCCCTCTTAATTTCATTACCCTGCTGTGCTATCAAACACTAGAACGTATTCCTTCCATCCAACTGTATTTTTCTATCCATTAACTGATCTCTTTACATCTCTTCCTCCTTCCCTTTACTTCCCAGTCTGGATCTCATGGAGATATATGTTTTTTGTTTCTGCTTTATAATTTATTTAAATATTTTAAGTCATGCTATCAGATTGTAAAGAAAAACAATGAAGAATAGATCTGATTTCTTTTTAAGTCCATATACATTGAAACTTTTTTTTAAAAAAAAGACAAGCTAATACAAGTGAAGTATAGAATAACTGAATAGCAAAACTAACAGGAATGAATTTCTAAAACCCAAAATCTATGAAAGTAAGAAATAATATATTCACATAGAAATGCATGAAATACTGTACTTAAACAAATTATTTTATATCCACATCACATTTACTGACATTTGCAAATTTAACTTCATTTTCCTGAGAAAATATCAATAGACTTTGAAAGTTGGAAAATATACAAATAAATAAACATATCCATAGGCTATACTCTCTGCTTACACTGAAGTAAAACTAAATATCAACAACAGAAGACCCTAAAATCTGTTTTTTAGAATTATTAAATAATCTTCATGTAAAAAGTAAAGTTCTGGTAAAATAGTAAACTAATGTGGGATGCTAACTTTGTCTTTTGAATCCACTAAATATATCAAGAAGTGAGAGAAAAGTACAGGAATCTCAGAGCCTAACATAAACACTGTAGAAAACCACTAGAAAGACAGAAGTTTGCTGAGCCTGCAAAGGAGGATCATGCACCATGGATGGGTTGAAGGCTCATTCAGAATTGTGTACATGTGCATTTTGTTCTTCCTCCTTACATGCTATACAATTATTTTAGGCCAAGTGCACTATCTAAGCTATAGAGTGATGCCTTCAGGCATAGGGTCATCTGTTAGATTTCAACAAATTGTAACTCTAGAATTTATCAAACATGTGGCACATCCCTACACTATAAACTGAGCTCACTTTGAGGATTAAAACCAGGAACCATCTTTGACAGCGTCCACCAGATACACATTTTCAGCCAGGGTTGCACACACTGCTCAAGTCATCCTCCATACTGTCGTTTAGAAGGACAATGTAACTATTCTGTAAAAATTCATTGTTTGTGGAATAAACCTCAAAACCCTTAGTGAAAATAAAGGAGCCTTCTTGGCTCACTCTTCAGCTAACTCTGCGGCCTCTTCTCCAGTCACATCTCACCTCACATTTTTAGTGACATCTGTATTCAATGCTTTTGGTTCCAAAATAAAACTTTCTTTCTTGTCTCATACTGATCTCTCCATATGAAGAGCCCTTCTTTTACCTTTATTATTGATGGGCTTATAAAAATCATCTTTCAAAATACATGTACTGCACCTGCTAATTTTATGTAAATTCCTAGAAGCTAAGGGAATTTCTGTAAGCATTTTCTATCCTGAGTGCCTAATCTAAAGTCTCATATATAGTAGGTACTAAATGCTAATTTTATTGAAGTAAAGAAAATTTGACTCTAAAATACTATCAGACAAAGATATCTAAGGGTATCAACATTTAGTCTACTTTTTTTAAAATTTTACACATATGAAGAATTCCATTACAATATTTAGCACAATATTTTTGCATGTATTTTAATTTTAGAAAATTGATTTAAAATCCAGATGTGATAATTTTACTTCTATCTTTTAAGTAATTTGTATCAGTTATCAACGTACTAATATTAAGAATCAACGTACTAATTAAGAATTAAGCTATATTATAGCTTAAGGTTATTTTCAATAAAATTTTTCAAGTTGAAATCACTTTCTACTTTTAGTTAATAACAGCATGTGAGAAATATTAACATTATTTGTCAACATCCTGCCTGCCATATCTCACTGATGTTTTTTCTTAAGTGATCCTAATGATTTGGTTCTCTGGTAAAATGTGTTAATCACAATAGATAATACTTTGTCCTCTTATTGCACTTGAAAAGGGGGCCCTGTTGCATAACAACTGCATCAAGTTCACATTACTAAGGAAAAGTTTTAATAATGATTTACCTTTTTTACACACTAAAATAATTTATTTCTGATTTTCCCTTCTGAATGAGCCTTATATATTTAACTATCTCTTAAGTTAAAAAATAATTTAAATAAATATGCAATTGGTTTTTTTTGAAATTTGTTAAAATAATAAAATTGTTCAGCTTACAATTACTAATTATAAGAGAAGCTCAAGAAATATGCATATAATAGTCTGAATAAGTTAAGATAAACTATATAAGAAGAATGTTAGAATATATGCATGTAGAAGGATTTCATTCATACACATTGAACTGGTGATGAATGTAGTGTCATGCAAATTACTTCAGAATGAAAGGCAGCTTTGGTTTACATTACCATGATGAAAATGAGCATTATCTGCTTGATATGTAGCTTAACCAAGCGGCTCAAATTAAGTGGGATGGCTCTAAATCTCTTCACTTGTCTTGCTGTTTCTGTATCTCTCAATTTTTTTCTCTGTTTTCCCTGCGTTCATTTCATTTTCAAACCTTTCTTCATATAATGGAAATTCCCCAGATTTATTTTCTACTGTCCTTTTTTATTTAAAATTTTAGTTTTGGATATTTTGAGTCTTCTATAACCATTCTCTGATTTCATATTTAGAAAAAACAATCTAGGAACAAATATGTTGAATACTATCATATAGTAGTTTCAGTGTATAAGGCTTAGGACAAATGGCAATTTTAACTCCCATTGTGTACCCGAATTGTCAAACTACAGGAGAAAATATTGTTATAAACACTCCAAAATTAATATTTAACCCAATGTAAATAAAATACATAATATATAAAGAAAAAATAATGTCAAAATACTTTTCAAAATAACATATTTAAAATATTTAAAATGGAAATTAAGAATTCATTAAAATGATTCTACTGACATACAATAATGTGACAGTATCAATTAAATGAAAAGCATCTAGAAATGCTCTACATATTACTTGCAGTGGTTCTGTTAAGAAATATATAACATCTTGGTGCCAATAACCACACTTCAAGTGGCTTTTGATGTCTCTTTACTTCCATAATGGCTATTCTTTGCATACTATCTATATTTTCAATAAAACTTCCAACCTTCTATCCCTAAATACGTTTCAATTAGAATTACCTATTACACAAACCCAGTATTTAAGTACCCTTAGAATTCAGTCTAAACTGCTTCACATAACTTACAAAGTCTTTCGTTCATCTAGATTCCGCTCTTCTCATGTTAGACCTCTGCACTCATCCTGACACTTTATACACTTTTGAATACATTATGTCTCTCTCACACATCCATATCATTGAAATGCTTCCCTTTTTGCTTGAAATAGTTTCTATTTTCTCCTCTTTCTGAACCTCTTTCTTTCTACCAATGTTGTCAATTTCTGGACTTATTTAGAGATGGTTTTCTTAGGAAATGTTCCCTATCCCTAGGGAACCCTCCCAAGCTAATTTATATGATACTCATATGTGTCTCCATATCATATTATATTTTCCATAAAAGAGCATTTGTCCACTAATGTTTGTTTTCTCTCCCTTCTACTATCCTATTGATTTTGTAGAGGTAGAAAGCATATATTATACTTTACTTTGTATTGTACAACTATATTCTTAAAAACTTAGCTGAAAGTAAAATGAATGGCTACATCAGTGAATAAACTACTTATAAATAAAAAATTAATTATAATAAAATTCCAAAAATCAGTACAATGAATGACCGTTGTCACAGACTTAGACCTTCATCTATAAGCATTTCTTTAGAAAATTAAAATTCTTTTATATGCTGAGTTTTCATAATTAAAGGGAATATAAAACTTATTGGAAAAAATAAATAGGGTGTCACAAAGTCTGACAAAGCACAAACTAATAATTTTTCTTCCAATGCACACCCTTGCAGTATAAGTAAATTTTCAGTTCATTTTGGTAGAATGCTATCCAAAAAGATTCATTTGCATTTCTATCAGTTTCGTGTGTGTTCACTTTCCCATCCAAAGAAACATTTGTGATATCACATGTTTTTAATTTAACCCTAGTAAAGATAAAAAGAAAACACCACTATGTATCAGTAGCAATTTGAAGTCAATTTACTAGTGAGTGTATGCATATTTTCTTATTTATTTGATATGCTTATCTGTGATTTTCCTATTTAATATAATTTGCAATGTATTGGACACATTTTCTACATAATTGTTTGATTTTTTTCCTATGTGAATATATTCCGTTCTTGAATACCTTCATTGATTTTTAATAGGCTTTCTCACTTGTCTATGAAAATCTGGAAGACCAGCTGGTGGTTGGATGATACAGCATGGGCCTCACTTTGCATCTGATGGTTGGCTGGTTGCTGGCTGTATCTCTCCAATTTCCCCAGCAAGGTCCTTATTTAACTTTAACCATATTCCAGTGGTGGTCTTAGGATTCCAAGCAGAGCCACAGAGAAAAAGTCAGTACAGATATTGTATGGGTGTGTATAAAATTTAAAAAACAGTCTCACATACATTTTTTAATTGACCAATTGTCTTTTTTTGATAAATATGACAAAAAGGTGAAATACTGAATTCACTCCTTTGAATAAAAGGACATGGCATAATAGTTTTCTCAGAACTCTTGCTTCAATCTTTGTTGCTGATTCTGATCTATGGGTAATTATTTTGCAAATGCAGGTATATGTTTAAATCTTAAACATTGTTCATGAAAAAAGCCAAACTGTACAATATTTCAAGAGGTTTATTCTGAGCCATATATGAGTTACCAAGCCCTGTGACACAGCCGCAAGAGTTGAGTTACAGCTTGGTTTTATACATTTTAAGGAGCAGAAGTTAAAGGCAAATATTTAAATCAATACATATAAGGAACACATTGATTCAGCCCAGATAAGTGTGACACCTTGAAGCAGGGGTACTTCCAGGTCACAGGTGGATTTAAAGATCTCCTGATTAGCAAGTGCTTGAAAGAGTTAAACTTTACTTGAAGACTTGAAGTCAACATAAAGAAATGCTTCGCTTAAGGGGGATTGTGGAAGCCAAGGTTCTTGTTCTATAGATGAAGCCTGCTGGTAGCTGGCTTCAGACAGAATAGATGATAAATGTATTTTATCAGATCTTAAAAGGTGTCAAGACTCTTAAATCTTTCCTAGATTGGGAAAAAAAAAGAAAAAAACAACATAGAAAGAAATGGAGATTCTCTGCAGAATGTAAATTCCCCACAGAGGGGACAGCTTTGCAGGGCCATTTCCAAGTATGTTAAAGAAAATATATTTTGAGATAAAATGCTTTGATTTTCTTGAGGCCTGCTATCTGTGTTGTGATGGTATACCAGAGTCAGGTTGGAGTTCGGCATTTTACTGCTACAAACAGTCTGTTTTTTCAGTTTAAAAATATTTAGTTTAATGTTTTGCTGGTCAGTTGTGCCTCAATTCCAAAGGGAAGAGATTGTTATAAGGCATGTCTGATCTCCATGTCATGGCCTGAACTAGTTTTTCAGATTTCTTTGGGATGCCATTGGCCAAGAGGGTTCCATTCAGTCAAATGGGAGCCTTAGAATTTTATTTTTGGTTTACAACACTAATACCCATTTAAGTTTGCAAATATCAATTAAAGGCAAATTTAGCACTTTATTTGGATCATTGTCCCCAAATGTACTATTTTATTGCATTGCTATTGTTAAGAGTTGGTAGTTTAAATTATTTGCGTTTTAATTATCTGTAATATTGCCTGCAAATGTAAAATCAGTCATTGTTAAAACAATTGACAAAACATCTGAAATAAAATAGCACTCCAGTAAATCAAATCACAAATGAATCACTAGTAATAATTAATTAGTGGTTATTTAAGTGAATTGACTAATTTAGAAGTCAATGAAAAGAGAAATTTTACTTAATAACATTGAAAAATTGTAGCTGATTTCTATTTATTATGTAGCTCCCATTCTGTTTCATATATGTCAGATTTTAAGCTCATTAGTAAAAGACCACATTCTTCTCTTTCTCCTCTTTATCACATTCCTCCTCTTCCCCTCCCTCCTGTACTGATTTTCCTCTTCATCCTTCTTTCATCATTCACAGAGCCTGACCAAGTCTATTTTGTTAAATAAGGGAATTGCTGGCTAAAACTCTGCAGAAATGAAGGCTACCATGACAAATTCTAATTTTAGTTTGAATCTCATTTTCAAATCAATTTGTGCCATAATTAGTTAGCAATGATGCCAGATACAACCTTGCCTCTATGATCCTTATTTTAAATGTTTATAAATTGTTTATAAGTTAAGTTATTCAGAAATTAGAAAAATAGTTCTATTTTTATATCTAATTTGTAAACGAAAAGAAAAGCATAAACTTTAAAAAGAATTTAGAACAGAAACTTCCAAATACAGTACGTTCCTCATAGTTACTTTCAAAAAAACAGATTAACTATCTTTCTACTACAAAATTACCTTGAGCATTAATAATAGATGTGCCAGAAAATAAGGATGCTCTAACATCTTAAATTTGTCAGCTAAGATTTGCATAAATTATGTCATTATTACAATAATAACTTGGCCAAGTAGATAGGGAAAAAATACATATTTTGAAATAAAAACTACCACTATTTTACCATATAGCTCCATAAACGTACAAAGAGAATTTTTTTAATGCTAGACTTTTATGTCACATTTATTATAATAGACACAAAACACAAAATAAGCATAAATTGACAAGGTCAGGGGTGATGTCAGATCATGGCTGTGTCTTAATTTTATATTTAGATGACACGGCATTCTACAGAGCATATGTGAAACACATGTTTTTAATGAATGGCAGAAAATGAACCTGGGAAACATCAGAGAATGTGTCAGTCAAATTTATATTTTCTGATGCAATTTTCACTTAAAACAGATAGGACTTTAATGAAACCATCTCGAGAATATAACATGATTCTGCAGTTTGAGGGATTCAGTGAACTGATACCTGAGTCATCAAAAGAAACAGCATCTGTATGAATCAACTAGTGGCAGTAAGGCACTATGCAACCCAAGACTGTTTCTAAGAAAGCAATTATGGGTAAAAAATGCCTGGGAATTTTCTATGAGGTGGAAAAAAGACAATACTTAAGATGGAGACGGTGATGTCCAAGACATTGATTGAAGAGGCAATGGAACCTTGGCCAGAGTAAAAATGAAGTACATTGCAATTCTAACGCTCTGAGGAAGTAATAATTGAATATTCAGAAAATAGAACTATTCACACTCTTTTAAAGAAGTTAATAAAAGAATTCATTTTAGACATTAGCTAAACACAGAAGACATACATTCTATAAGTACCAATAGTATCCTTCAAAAGACAAGATGAATGAAGATTTTTCCTATTTGGGAGAGAGAAAGAGACAGAGAGAGAGAGAGATGGAGAGAGAGAGGAAAATTGGTGCTATCAGATCTGTCTTAAAAGAAATAATGAAATCATTCAGGCTGAAATGGGACCAGAATGTGATGCCTTACTAAGAATATATTTTATGAATTTTCTTTATCATTTAGTACCGAAATATAAAGCATATTTATCATATATTCTTATATATAGATATATGTACACCTATGCTTTATATAAAAACAAATTACCACAATAAAAAGGCTTTAAACAATATTCATTTATTACATATTTTATCCAGAAATTTGTTTTTTTGTTTAAAAATTGTCATAATTTTTAATTGTATACATGTAACTGGGCAGCTTAACTTCAAAATTCATTTTAAAACTTTCTTTTTTTCTTTCCACTAGGTTTCAAGATATAACCTTGAAGCAAACCTCAGAAGCCTTTTTTCTTAGCCTTAAAATAGACTCCATGTCTCTTTATTTCTCACCATATATATTCCCTTCACATTTATCTAACCGCACACTAGTATCTACTTATTTGCCTTTTTAAAAGTTCTAGGGACTAATCTTGAGACAGACAAACCAAGCCTGGAGTCCCAGCTGCAAAATTCCAGAGATCACTTCAAGGTGGCTGATTAACAACCTGGCCATTGGTGAGATTATGCTGGCCCATGATCGAGGTGGACTGGGACTCAAGAGAGCCACCAAAACAAGACACATAGACAACTCAGCGCAATTCTTGCAAGTTGTCCTTATCAAGTTTTTGCCTTTTAAACTCCTGTCTTCTTCCCCAAAATTCAAGTGGTTGCTTTGGATGGGAATCTGGCCACTTCTTTACTAGTTTCGGTTAATAAAATCACTTTCATTCTACCATGTCTCACTGTTGTTAATTAGACTCTGCAACTGGTGAGCATCTGGACCTGCATTTGGTTGCATACATAGGTGAGTATTAATTTCTGCTGCTAGGGGCCAGGCCAAGACAGCCGACTAGAAGCCGTGGTGTTTGGAGGCTCTCATCAAAAATGAGCATAATAAGCATGCAAATCCTTCACCGGCAATCAAGGTATCCAGGTTCTCTCACCAAAATTGACTCGAAGGCTGGCATGACCCACAGAGAGAAGGAAAAGCATTGTGGTGTGGGGATCCCCTGAGAGCCACGTGGGGAAGGGGAACACCCTCCTGACAGCCAAGGGAGGTAGTGAGTGAGCATGCTACCGAGCCAGGAAACTGCTTTTTTCATGGAACTGTGCAACTCACGGATTGGAAGATCCAACTTGTGAATCCATGCCACTGGGCCTAGCATCACAACCCTGGATTGTGCAGATTTGTACAGCTACTCAGCTAGAATCTGCTTAAGCCTACTAAACTCCCTAGGGGAGGGATGACCAGCACTGGCTGCAGCTGCCTGCTGTCTAAGCCCTTTGAGCTCCTTGGGGGAGGGGCAGCAGCCAGCACTGGGACCTGCAACTGCCTAACATGCTAAGCTCTCTGATATGGGAAAGGGCCGCACCCATTCCTATAGCTCCAGGCCATACTTTTCCCCTGCTGGAGCCAGGGAGGCTGGATGGCTTGGTCCCAAGACTTGTCCTCACAGCCCAACACACTGGCTGTGGCAGTCTGCGGCCAGAGTGCCTCTTCAGGCCTAACCATGACCCGTCCTTCCTCAGTGAGCAGGGCCTCCCTGCAGGATCTCCAATAACTCCAGCCTGAGGCTCAGGGACAGAATTCGGATCTCCTGGGCCTGAGCCCCTAGGGGAAGGGGTAGCCGCAGTCTTTGCAGACCAACAGACTTAGTCTTCCCTCCTGGTAGTTCTGAGGAATACGGACAGCCCAGACAAGTGGTTTTCTCCCCAGCAAAACACACCATCTTTACCAAGGGACAAGGTGCTTTGTTAAACAGGTTCTGCTCCCCGTGCCACCCAACGGGGTGAGATCCTCCAACAGGTGTTGTCAGATACCCTATACGGGAGCTAGCCTGCTGGCATCAGTTGGTGCCCCTCAAAGTCAGAGGTCCCAGAAGGAGGAGGAGGCACACATCTTTGCTGCTCTTCAGCCTCCTTGAATGACATCTTCAGGCACAGGAGCAAATCAGATGAATAGGGCCTGAAGTGAACCTCCAGAATACTGCAGCAGCCCTACAGAAGAGGAACCAGACTACTGAAAGGAAAACAAACAAGCAGAAAGCAACAATAGCATAAACAACAACAACAACCAAAAAAAAGGGCCCCACAAAAGCCCCATCCAAGGGACAGCAGCCTCAAAGATGAAAACTAGACAATCTCAGGAAGATGAGAGAGAATCAATGAAAAAATGCTGAAAACCCAAAAGCCAGAGTGCCTCTTCTTCTCCAAATGATTGCAACGTCTCTCCATCAAGGGCACAGAGCTGCAGGAGGATCGGATGGGCGAATTGACAGAAGTAGGCTTCAGAAGATGGGTAATAAAAATCTACAATGTGCTAAAGGATCATGTTCTAACCCAATGCAAATAAGCTAAGAACCTTGATAAAATGATAGAGGAATTGCTAACTAGAATTAACCAGTTTAGAGAGGAACATAAATGCCCTGATGGAGCTGAAAAACACAGCACGAGGACTTCCTAAACCATATGCAAGTATCAGTAGCTAAATTGACCATGTGGAAGAAAGTATGTCAGAGTTTGAAGACCACCTTACTGAGGTAAGATATGCAGACAAGAATACAGTAAAAGTGATGAAAAGGAATGAACAAAGCCTCCAAGAAATATGGGATTTCATGAAAAGACTGAACCTACATTTGATTGGAATACTAGAAGGAGATGGGGAGAATGGAAACAAGCTGGAAAACACCCTTCAGGATATTATCCAGGAGAACTTCCCCAACCTAGCAAGACAGGCCAACATGCAAATTTAGGAAATACAGAGAACACCATTAAGATACTCCACGAGACTATCAACCCCAAGACACATAATCATCAGATTCTTCAAGACAAAATGAAGGAAAAACTATTAAGGACAGCCAGAGAGAAAGGCCAAGTCACCTACAAAGGGAAGCCCATCAGACTAACAGTGAGCCTCTCAGCAGAAACTCTACAAGCCAGAAGAGATTGGAGACCAATATTCAACATTCTTAAAGAAGAGTTTTTTTCAAATCAGAAATTCATATCCAGTCAAACTAAGCTTCATCGGTGAAGGAGAAATAAAATCCTTTCCAGACAAGCAAATGCTGAGGGATTTTGCTACCACCAGGCTTGCCCTGCAAGAGCTCCTGAAGGAAGCATTAAATATGGAAAGGAAAAACCTGTACCAGCCACTGCAAAACCACACCAAAATATAAAGACCAATGATATGATGAAGAAACTGCATCAACTAGTGCGCAAAATAACCGAATAGCTTCATGATGACAGGATCAAATTCTCACATAACAATACTAACCTTAAATATAAATGGGCTAAAAGCCCTAATTAAAAAACACAGACTTCTCATGGCAGCCTCTGCCTCCTGGGTTCGAGAAACTCCCCTGCCTCACACCACTGCCCTCCAGCCTGGGTGACAGAGTGAGACTTTGTCTGAAAGAAGAAAGGAAAGAAGGGAGGAAGGGTGGGAGAGAGGGAGGAAGGAAGGAAGGAAGGAAGGAAGGAAATCTTTGCTTACTCCAAGGTTATATTTGCCTGTTTATTCTAGAGGCTTTATAGTTTTAGCTTTCATATTAGGCCTCTAGTCCATTTGGGTTGATTTTTACGTATGCGGTAAGGTATGGGTAGAAGTTTATTATTTTGCCTCTGGATATACAGTTGTTACAGCACCATATGTTGAAAAGATTGTCTCTTCCTCATTAAATTAGCTTTAGAACTTCGTCAAAAAAAAAAAAAAAACAGACTGGCAATTCGAATAAGGAGTCAAGGCCCATCTGTGTGCTGTATTCAGGAGACCCGTCTTATGTGCAAAGACACACCCAGGCTCAAAATAAAGGGATGGAGGAAAATTTAGCAAGGAAAGGGAAAGAAAAAAAAAAAAAGCAGAGGTTGTAATGCTAGTCTCTGACAAAACACAGACTTTAAACCAACAAAGATCAAAAAAGACAAAGAAGGGCATTACATAATGGTAAAGGACACAATTCAACAAGAAGAGCTAACTATTTTAAATATATATGCACCCAATACAGGAGCACTCAGATTTATAAAACAAGTTCTTAGTGACCTACAAAGAGACTTAGACTTCCATACAGCAATAGTGGGAGACTTTAACACTCCATTGTCAGTATTAGACAGATCAATGAGACAGAAAATTAACTAGGATATCCAGGACTTGAACTCAGCTCTAGATCAAGTAGACCTAGTAGATGTCTGCAGAACTCTCTACCCCAAATCAACAGAATATATATTCTTCTCAGTGCCACATGGCACTTATTCTAAAACTGACCACAGTATTGGAAATAAAACACTCCTCAGCAAATGCAAAAGAACTGAAATAATAACAGTCTCTCAGACCACAGTGCAATCAAATTAGAATTCAGGATTAAGAAACTTACTCAAAACCACACAATTTCATGAAAATTAAACAATCTCCTCCTGAATGACTCCTGGGTAAATAACGAAATTAAGGCAGAAATAAAAATTCTTTGAAACCAATGAGAACAAGGAGACAACGTATCAGAATCTCTGGGACACAGCTAAAGCAGTGTTAAGAGAGAAATTTATAGCACTAAATGCCCACATCAGAAAGCTAGAAGTATCTGAAATTGACACTCTAACATCATAATTAAAAGAGCTAGAGAGGCAAGCACAAACTAATCCAAAAGCTAGCAGAATGTGATAAATTACAATAAAATCAGAGAGGAATTGAAGGAGATAAAGACACAAAAAGCCCTCAAAAAAAAAAATCAATGAATCCAGGAGCTGTTTTTTTGAAAAAATTTAAAAAAGAAGATAGACTGCTGGCTAGACTAATAAAGAAGGGAGAGAAGAGTCAAACACAACAAAAAATGATAAAGGGAATATCACCACTGACCCCACAGAAATTCAAACTACTATCAGAGAATACTAAAAGCACTTCTATGCAAGTAATCTAGAAATTCTAGAAGAAATGGAGAAATTCCTGGACTCATACATTCTCCCAAGACTAAGCCAGAAAGAGGTTGAGTCCCTGACTAGACCAATAACAAGCTTTGAAATTGAGGCAGTAATTAATAGCCTATCAATCAAAAAAAGCCCAGGAACAGATGGATTCACAGCTGAATTCTACCAGAAATACAAAGAGAAGCTGGTACCATTCCTTCTGAAACTATCCCAAACAATTGAAAAGGAAGGACTCCTTCCTAACTCATTTTATGAAGCCAGCATCATCCTGATACCAAAACCCAGAAGAGACACAACAGAAAAAGAAAACCTCAACCAATATCCCTGATGAACATCTATGTGAAAATCTTCATTAAAGTACTGGCAAACTGAATCCAGCAGCACATCAAAAAGTTTATCCATCATCACCAAGTCGGCTTCATTCCTGGGATGCAAGACTAATTCAACATACGCAAATCAATAAAATCACTTAAACAGAACCAATGAAAAAACCACATGATTATCTCAATAGATGCAGAAAAAGCCTTCAATAAAATTCAACATCCCTTCATGTTAAAAACTCTCAATGAACTAAGTATTGATGAAACATATATTAAAATAATAAGAGCTATTTGTTACAAACCCACAGTCAATATCATATTAAATGGGCAAAAGCTGGAAGCATTCCCTTTGAAAACCAGTACAAGACAAGGATGCCCTCTCTCACCACTTCTATTCAACATAGTATTGGAAGTTCTCGCCAGAGCAATCAGGCAAGAGAAACAAATAAAGGTATTCAAATAAGAAGAGAGGAAGTCAAGTTGTCTCTGTTTTCAGATCACATGATTTTATATTTAGAAAACCTCATCATCTCAGCCCAAAAACTTCTTGAACTGATAAGCAACTTCAGCAAAGTCTCAGGATACCAAATCAATGTGCAAGAATCACAAGCATTCCCTTACACCAACAATAGGCAAGCAGAGAGCCAAATCATGAATGAACTCCCATTCACAATTTCTACAAAGAGAATAAAATAACTAGGAGTACAGCTAACAAGGAATGTGAAGGAACTCTTCAAGAGAACTACAAACCACTGCTCAAGGAAATGAGAGGACACAAACAAATCAAAAAACATTTCATCCTCATGGATAGAAAGAATCAATATCATGAAAATGGCCATACTGCCAAAAGTAATTTATAGATTCAATGCTATTCCCATGAAACTACCATTGACATTCTTCACAGAATTAGAAAAAACTATTTTAAATTTTATATGAAATAAAAGAAGAGCCCACACAGCCAAGACAATTCTAAGCAAAAGGAACAAAGATGGAGGCATCACGCTACCTGACTTCACACTATACTACAAGGCTACAGTAACCAAAACAGCATGGTACTGGTACCAAAACAGCCATATAGACCAATGGAGCAGAACAGAGGCCTCAGAAGTAACACCACACATCTACAACCATCTGATCTTCGACAAACATGACAAAAACAAACAAGGGGGACAGGATCTCCTATTCAGTAAATGGTGCTGGGAAAACTGGCTAGCTATTGGCAGAAAACTGAAACTGGACCCCTTCCTTAAACCTTGTACAAAAATTAACTCAAGATGGATTAAAGACTTAAATGTGAAACCCAAAATCATAAAAACCCAGAGGAAAACCAAGGCAATACCATTCAGGTCATAGGCACAGGCAAAGACTTTATGACAAAAATGCCAAAAGCAATCACAACAAAAGCCAAAATTAACAAATGGGATCTAATTTTACTTAAGAGCTTCTGCACAGCAAAAGAAACTATCATCAGTGTGTACAGGCAACCTACAGATTGGGAGAAAATTGTTGCAGTCTACCCATCTGACAAAGATCTAATATTCAGAATTTACAAGGAACTTAACATATTTACAAGATAAAACAAACAACCCCATCAAAAATGAGCAAAGGATATGAACAGACACTTTTCAAAAGAAGACATTTACATGGCCAACAAACACATGAAAAAAAGCTGAACACTGATCATCAGAAGAATGCTAATCAAAACCACAATGTGATACCATCCCACGCCAGTCAGAATGGCAATTATTAAAAAGTCAGGATACAATCTGTGTAGGTAAGGCTGTGGAGAAATAGGGATGCTTTTACACTGTTCATAGGAATATACATTAGTTCAACCATTGTGGAAGACGGTATGGCAACTCCTTAAGGATCTAGAGCCAGAAATACCATTTGACCCAGCAATCCCAGTACTGTGTATATATCCAAACTAATATAAATTATTCTACTATAAAGACACATGCACATGTCTGTTTATTGCAGCACTATTTACAATAGCAAAGACATGGAACCAACCCAAATGCCCATCAATGATAGACTGGATAAAGAAAATGTGGTACATATACACCATGGAATACTATGCAGCCATAATAAGGAATGAGCTCACGTCCTTTGCAGGGACATGGCTGAAGCTGGAAACCATCATTCTAAGCAAACTAACACAGGAGCAGAAAACCAAATACCGCATGTTCTCACTCATAAGTGGGAATTGAACACTGAGAACACATGGGCACCGAAAGGGCAACACATCACACCAGGGCCTATTGGGGGATGGGGGATGAGGGGAGGGAGCTTAGAGGACAGGCCAGTAGTTGCAGAAAACTACCATGGCACACGTATACCTATGTAACAAACCTGCACGTTCTGCACATGTATCCCAGTTTTTTTTTTTCTTTAGAAGAAATAAGGAAAGAAACATTCTGCTGCTGTATCTCTTCATAAAGAAGAGCATAAATAGGAAAACAGAGAGAAGGGTCTATGTTGGGGTTTGCACAAAGATATATTGGGACATAATTTATTTCAAATTTTAATTAAATTTTTATATTTATATTTGTTGAATGAGTCCCTTGCATTAATTCATCTATTTTATGCTCAACGTTTTTCATATTTGGAAAATTTTTAGTCCCTGGTAAGAAGAGACAGTATAAACGTATTATCTTGATTCTGTTTGTTATTTAACTGCTTTACCATAGTTTCCACAAATATAGAATGTATTATATTTTAATAGAAACCCCAGCAAAGGCTCAAACCTCTGTGAGGTAAAATATTTGTTGTCATCTTATCACAGATAATGTGAAAATATCCTGTAATAGATGAGAAGGTTTACAATTCTTTGGACACTGAATTTGCAACAATTTCTAAGTGAAACAGGTAATGGGAATGATAACAAAACCTCAGAACATACTGCCTTTGCATTGTATTATATGCGCTAAAATTTTACCAAGGTTGTGTTTTGTTTTGTTTTGTTTTTTGCTTAAAGATCTCGATTTTCCTTACTTCTGCCTCTATATAGATTTACTCACCTGCAAACCTCTCCCTTTATTTGGGGATTTTAATATTTCTTATTCATATATTCAGAGTGTTATCACCTGGGAATTGCTGAGGGCCCCAGGCTCTTTCCCAGATTTTTGAAATACTAAATATAATTTCCTGTTAAGCCACATTTTTAATGCATATCAATGCTATTCTGGTATATATCATAGCCTATCAAATATAATCTTTGTAACTGTCAAGAGCTTGAACTGTATTTATAGTAAGTGTCATACAAAGTGTGGGCCCATGCATACTCATGATTTTTAAAAAAGTACTTTTATTATTAAGGATTTTGTAAAATTGCAGAAAGTTTTCAAAATAAAATTAATAAGCCATTTATTTTATACCAGAACTTTATACTTATAGAAATATAATTAAGTTAGTGAAGAAAGGCATCCATTGAGGGATAACTTCTTCAATAGTCTTCTAGATGCCTGCCGATATACTGTATTTTATCCCTAGAGAAACAGCTAGGCTGAAGTCAGAACTATCTTGGAAAAAATATAAAAGATATCAGGATGATGGCAGCCAAAATTTTCAATAAATATTGTATAATAATAATAAATAATAAGAGCTCAAAAAGTATACACTATTGGTGTAGCAGTTTAAAGCCTCCAATGCATTATTTTACTCATTACTTGGTTTATGTAATGACCTTTGAATAAAGAAAAAGTCATTTTCAACACTGTTTAAGAGAAATTGAAGAAGAAAGCCACGCATCAAGTTATTAGAAGTAAAATTTAAGCCTCCATTTTGCCTAAGAAACATTGCCTATCCGAAATCCTCTAAATCTATTTGCTGTAAGCATGCAGGTTTTGGTGCAGACATTATCTAAGCCGATAGACTCAGCTACACTGTATATTTTTATCTTTCTGAATCCAAGCTTCTCTGTTATGCCAACCTATAACACTCACAAAATTCAAATGTTACTTGGGCTTCCTGCAAATGTAAAAATTTTTCGGTCTATTAAAAGTTTTGATAACCTTAACGCTTTGAAGGATACGGATGTTGTACTTTGAAGAATATCTTTCAATTAGGGTTTATTTAGGGTGGTTTCTCATTATTAGACTAGAGTTTATGGGTCTTGTAGAGGAAGATCACTGACATAAATTGCCATTACCATCACAATTTATCAAGGGTAGATAGTATCAACATGAGCTATTACTGTGTACATTGACTTGATCAGCTAGTTGAGCTAGTGTTTGTGAGATGTCTCAAGCATAAAGTTATCATTTTTTTCTTATTTTCCATACTGTACTCTTTGGAAAGAATTCGCTATGCACAGTCCATCATTTATGAGGTAGAAAGTTTTGTTGGAGGCAGAGTATCTACATAAAGTATTTGGAATTCTTCACATCTGTTGTCTGTTCCCTCCCTTCCTTCTTTTTTTCCCTCCTTCCCTCCTTGATTACCTGGTTGATTGTCTCCTTGATCCTCTTCCTTTCCTTTCCTTTCATTTTCCTTCCTTCCTTCCTTCCTTTCTTCCTTCCTTCCTTCCCTCCGTCCCTCCCTCCCTCTTTCCCTCCCTCCCTCCCTCCCTTCCTTCCTTCCTTCCTTCCTTCCCTCCGTCCCTCCCTCCCTCTTTCCCTCCCTCCCTCCCTCCCTCCCTCCCTCCCTCCCTCCCTCCCTTCCTTCCTTCCTTCCTTCCTTCCTTCTTTCCTTCCTTCTTTTGTGCATGTGTTTTGTTATGGATTTGTGAATATTTAATTTATACTTTGAGCTATAGCCCAATGCTATGCTAACTTAGTTTTTCTTCAAATCATTTCTACTTTGGTCATTGGGAGCTAAATCAGTTGCGAGTTATGACCTTTTGTCACATGTAATCATCGTGGATTTTAAAAACTTCCTCACTTTCTGGCACTATGAGATGTTTCAGGTTCATCTTGTATATTTCCTGTCCCAGCCCTTGAATTACCAATTTCTTCCAGGAGTCCTTTGTTTTATTGGCAAGTGGATGAGAAAATAAGATCTAAGTGCTAGTTGTGTTCAGTGGTACAAAAATTGCACGGGTCCTCTTGGCTGACAAAGAAAGGAAATATATGTCTGTATATTTACATGTTTGTAAATATTTATATATGTATATATCTGTATCTATATTAAGCCCTGCGTAAGTTCATACTTAGGTCTCTCAACAATTACAGTACCACATGCATCCTTCTCTAATGATGAGAAACCAGTTTCCCACCGTATACCATCTATTACTTAATTGTTCAATTTATATTTCACATTTTCAGAGTTGTGAGCTTGTACTCCCATGGAAAAATGCATTTACCAACTACAGTACAGTGCCTTCTGTCTTTTGACTGAGTTTCCATTTATCTCCTAAGTTAATTAAATATGCGTCTTTTTCTTCACCCTTCCATCCATGTCTTTAGGCAGCTTAAACTCATTCTTTTTTATCACTGAATAGTATTCAATTGCATAAAGATATCACAGGTTTTTACCCATTCTCCTCTCCTGTCAAATGACATCTTTGTCGCAACAATGAATTATTTTTGGCAATTATGAATAAAGCTGCTGTAACCATTTATTGTCAGACTTTATATGTACATATTATTTCAAATCAGTTAAGTAAATACTTAGGAGCATGACTGCTGGATCTTGTAGTAGGACTATTTTTGAAGATCTTGAAGAGAAAGACACTACCATACAGCCAATGATTGTCTTATTCAAAATGCCAATGCTTTTATTGTAAAAATAATTTCTTTTAGAAAATTGATTTGCTAAACTACTATGTGCAGAACAGTAACAGCCCAAAACTTTTGTCAAAGTTACAAAGCTGATTTACTGTACTTTTTGTGAAAGTACATCTGTTCATTTCTAATGTGAGAAAATCATACAGATTTACATGCCCACATTGAAACTGATCAGCACATTTAAAAATCATATGTTGCAATTTAAGGCTTAGTTTTCTCCCTTTGTACTTCTGATAATTGTGAATAGAAACATCACATTTCCTGAGGTGTAATAATGTATCTTGGAAAAATCAACATTTATGGTCATGAATTGCAATATATTGTGAAAACAGCACTTTTTTTTTTTAACAAAAACTATGTTATGCAATTTTTGACACCGTTCAATTTGATATACAACTCCTTGGCTCAAACAATGTCAGCCAGCTACAAATTGACATATAGCTGAATTTTTATTCTATATTTAGCTTTGAGGAAGAGTTTAACAAGGGTTTTCCTATATATGAAAGAATGATGCTTATGTGAAATTTACCCTATTTATTTTTAACATCCATCCCATTAATCAAACTTGAGTCCTAGGTTATGATGTTTAGCCAATGTATAGCTATGGGCTCTCAGATACCAGTTTCACTCCACATAATACTGTGCTATTTTACCCAAGTCCAGATCACAATTATATCTACATTTTAGCATTCTACTTATGTTTCACCTATTTTTCCAACTCATTTTACCTTGCCTGGAAAGATATTATAACTTTTGTCCTCAGTAGTTTCATCACAGTTGTTAAAATGCATTTCTCAATATGTTTCTATAGGGAACAATATTTTCTCATTTAAAGAGATATCTGCATGCATGTCAATTGCCTCTGCATCTGAGCACTTCTAAGCAAGCTTCTATCCTGATAAATAACTCAGCAATCTAAGTTGCATTTGAGAAAATCTTTGAGTGTGGATTATAAATTGATTCTAACTAGTTGTATTCAAAACTACAGGACATTCTGATATATACTTAGGAAAAATACGATATATTTACACAATATCCTATATAACAGAAAAGTTTTGAAGAGTAAGAAAAAATTTATGGATTTCTTTAAATAGTTCCATATGTTAAAATAAAAATTGTCATTCTTGGTCCGGTGTGGTGGCCCACACCTGTAATCTCACCACTTTGGAAGGCCAAGGAGGGTGGATCACCTGAAGTAAGGAGTTCAAGACCAGCCTGGCCAACATGGTGAAACCCCATCTCTACTAAACATACAAAAAATTTGCTGGGCATCATGGTGGGTGCCTGTAATCCCAGCTACTCAGGAGGCTGAGAAGGGAGAATTGCTTGAACCCGGGAGGTGGAGGTGGCAGTGAGCCGAGATCATGCCACTCCACTGCACTCCAGCCTGGGCAACAAGAGCAAAACTCCATCTCAAAAGAAAAAAAAATTGTCCTTTTTAAATTCTGATAAACAAATCAATTTGCAGGTACATGTGAATTGCAATATTTCTCAGAAATATATAAAAGGGGTACCTTCAAAGGAAATATTGATATTCAACATGTATTTTTTTTTAAAATAAAGCCTTCACCATCCACTAAACCATCACTGATAATTTTCACTAACAATCATTGGCATCTCTAAGTTTATTGAGTTCAGCGGCAACATTTGAAGAAACTTGTCTAAACATAACTTATTTTCAGATACATATTATTTTGTTTAAATGAGTGGAAAATATTAAAATATTTTGAGAAGATTCAAAACAATAATAAAGCCAATATTAAATATATATATTTTTATTTCAGAGTACTGAAAATTATGACTTAGATATCCTCATTATTTAGTCACCCTCAAGCATTACTGGAATCTCAGAAATTCTTCTTCCCATAAAACAATATTTATGTGATTGGTAAAAAAGATTTAACAGGATGGATAGTATGAATATGATTTTAAAAGAGTAGAAAACTATAAAATAAATTTAATGTGATATATGACATACAAATAAAACTGCAGTGCTGAGTATTAATTTTGTGCTTCAGTACACTTTTTCTAGAGACAACACAGAAGAATTTTGGGGCTCAGTTGTTCTAATATCAAAGATAGAAAAACTATTAGTACTTGACAAATGAGTCCCTACCACTCTGTCTTTACAGTATAAAGTTTTCATTTTTTAATTTAGAGCATTGAAAATTCAACTAAATATTTTAGTTGGAATACCCTTATTTCTGACATGCAACTGAATCGTGATCACATATTTAAAGGTGATATGATAATTTTGCAAGTGAGTGCAAAAGTAATTGCAAAAACTAATCGCCATTATTACTTTCTTTCTTTTTTTTTTTGAGATGAAGTCTCGCTCTGTCGCCCAGGCTGGAGTGCAGTGGCGAGATCTCTGCTCACTGCAAGCTGCACCTCCCGGGTTCATGCCATTCTCCTGCCTCAGTCTCCCAAGTAGCTGTGACTACAGGCGCCCGCCACCACACCCAGCTAATTTTTTGTATTTTTAGTAGAGACGGGGTTTCACCGTGTTAGCCAGGATGGTCTCGATCTCCTGACCTCGTGATCCACCCACCTCGGCCTCCCGAAGTGCTGGGATTACAGGCGTGAGCCACTGCGCCCGGCCCAATAGTCTTTACTTTCAATGGTGAAAACCGATAGTATTGTTTGACAAACTGTGTATCATTATCAAAGAAATGTTTTATTACGACAGGCATTTATTTATCTGATGAATTAAAAGGGTTATTTGCCCAGCCACAACTCCATTTACTATGTAAAAATGTTTTTAATAAGGTTTCATAGAGAACATTCTTCACTAGTTTTCAAACACAAATTATTAACTAATTATTATATTGTAAAAAATATTAAATTATTATTTAAATATTTTAAATATTGACAAAAAGATCCATGGTGAATTATAGTTCCACATTTAAGAACTGCTTAGGTCAGACTGAAAACATCTACTTAATACATGATGGTTTGGTTTAAATAAGAGCAGAAATGTAGCGTTAACAATGTTATTTCAAGTACTCCATGACTATTAGAATTTCACAGTTAAAAATATGAGTTAATGATTTTATATTACTAGGACATTATGTACACATAGTTATGATAATCCAAATATCCCAATATTTTGTTTTCAAAAGTACATATAAAATATGCACGGAGTGGAAAACCTTTTGGAAATATATATTTATTGTTTTTGTCACTTAACAGAGCTATAAATCATGCAATTACTTCTTGCAACAGAAGGGAGCTCACGGCAGGGCGCTGTGGATCACGCCTGTAATCCCAGCACTTTGGGAGGCCAAGGCGGGCAGATCACGAGGTCAGGAGATCAAGACAATCCTGGCTAACACGGTTAAACTCCGTCTCTTTGAAAAATACGAAAAATTAGCCGGGCGTGGTGGCGGGCACCTGTAGTCCCAGCTACTCGGGAGGCTGAGGCAGGAGAATGGTGTGAACCCGGGAGGCGGAGCTTGCAGTGAGCCGAGATCTCGCCAGTGCACTCCAGCCTAGGCGACAGAGCGAGACTCCGTCTCAAAAAAAAAAAAAGAAAAAAAAAAAGCTCACACAGTTTACACAATATGTTGTCTGCCAATAAGTTAATATAATTATTAATTCAAAAGTGAATAAAAAGTTGTCTCATTTTATATTTTAATGTGTTTGTTTTACCTCATTTATATATTTAAAATTAGTAAATTGTATGTACTTTTCTTATAAAGCTAAATGAGAAAAACGAGTCATATGTATTCAACTCTTATTCTTTTTAATCTCATACTAATCGACACAAGTATTTATAATCATCAGCTTCATGTCAGATTTACTCACTTAATTTAATCTAATGATTTCAATACTAAAATAATTTTGTAACTATCGACACATTGTGTGGTCTATATTTACTCATCCAATATGGATCAAATTAAATGTAGTTAGATGCTAAATACTATTTTTTAGACATTAGTCATTTTTTCATCACTGAAAACTATATTATCTGTAAGTGTGAATATTTCAGCATTGGAGAAAAATGGCAATGGCAGTGTATTAACTAGTGTTATGATCAAGAGAAATTTCATTATGAAATATAAGATACTTGGGGTTCGTATCCATCCATGTCAATGGAGAGATGATGACTACCCGTGGAAGAAAAAAATAGGATGCAAAAATTCCTAAAAACCTCCTAAAGACAAATGGTAAATAGGGATCTCAGGTGTTCTATTATATGTGTTGCTCTTGGTTCACATGCTGAAGACAGAGATTAAAGTTACATTCAGGGAACTTTGGGGGCGGGACGACTTTATTAGTGGATAATTCTCAGTATGCCAATCTTTAACTTTTATGTGTTTACATGCATAAGGGCTTCAACCTAGACACAATGATCAGTTAACGTCTTAATATTCTGTTATTTAATATTAAGTACCTTTATTTTGTACAGGCTACTCCTCTGTGTTTGTCTACATTTCTTGACACAATGGATTATTATTATTAGTGGGTGAAGGTGTATATGCACTGGAGTATGTGTGTATAGTTATGTTTATATAGCTATGTATCCCTGGAATAAAATAACTAAAATAATAATGTATTATATAGTTATGCAGTTCAGTTGTGATAGTTGTGTATATGCATGTATGTATATGTGTGAGTTTAGCCTCAGTGTTATCTAGAATTTTGTGGCTGATGAACATTCTACTGTTAGCCTAATTTTTGTTTTGGTGAATCTTTTAAAATATCATTTTTGTCTTTCATAATTTTTCTCTTTATCTTTGCTGAATGTTTAGTTTTCTCCAATATGTATAGGCCAATATTTCTTTTATGTTTACCCTGAGACAAAGATTCTTGACCAAACTCTATCCAGTCCACTATGAGTTATTTTCTCTACTGCACCTCAACCTTGGCCCATAAAGACTTGAAAAACACACCAACGTAGCTTTGAATAGCTCAAGGCTGCCTTCCTAGGGATACCTGAGCTCTGATTAAATTGACTATCCAAGAAAATACATCCTGCCAAAAGAATTCACTGTTCATTCCAGCTCCCACATGAAGTCTCTGCAGGAAAACAGGAGCCTAAATTTGATAAGTGTCAGTTAACAAACCCAGATGGGCTTTATAAGGACAACAGTCTCCTTTCGGGCTTTTTTGTAATGTTTTACTTTCCAGCTCTTACGAGTTCACATGCACCATCCCTTCCTCAATGCCTCATTCTCCCTTTAAAATCCTCAGTCAGCCACTTCTACACAAATTAAGGTTGAGTTCAGTTCATTCTGGTCCCTTTTCCCCATTGGAGTAGTATATTAATGATGGAAATATGTTCATAACACTTTAGCACCCAGCTTTGTTCATCTTTGACAGCTAGTTTGGCTCTACTTTCAGAATTGGAAATATAAATACTTCACCCTGGAACAGGGTTGCCTTTACTTTTGTCCATTTTTGTGCAACAGGCAGATTCTGCTATTCATCACTTCCCTTGTTTCTTTTGCAAACATATCCAAAGTTAAGTTGTAGCTTATGTGGACACACAGACAAGAAGAGGAACATAGAATTGACAGTTAGTGTTCCTTTTTTTTTCCTGTTTGGTTTTAATATCATCATCCACGTGATTGCCAAATGGGAAAAACAAATTGCTACACTAGTAATGATTATGGCACTTAACAAGTCAGGTCATCCACTCCTAATATATAGATTATGGTTTATAACATCCTTTTCCATCACTTAAGAAATCTTCCCTCATTTCTATTTCTGATGCATTGTACAGGGCTTTTCTCTTTATATCTAATAAGGTATTACGTAATTAGATATAGCTATGACTTCTCACACTCTCTTTACCCATTGATCTACACTTTTTCATGAGGCACATCATTTTTCAATTCTGTAACATTCCTTTATAAACTTGACACTAAATATTCCATTATCCTTGTATGTTTTACTTCCAGGATTCCTCTTAGACAGGCTTGCTTTTCAGTCAAACTTCTCTTTTATTTAGATCCTCTTGGATATAGTTAAATTTATTTAGCCCCGATATATATTCTAGATAAATTATTCATTAATAGTCTTCCATTTTTAAGTTATTTTAATTGTCTAGACAAATAACTACAGATGTTTACATTTTCTTTTATATTTTCACCACCACATTTTAAGCTATTTTTGGAATTTATTATATCTGTTTCCTTGAGGGAAAAGATATACTGTTTTTTCTTGAGATCTTTTTTCTATGACATTAAATTATTTAACTGGCAGTGAGTTTTGCATTTAAAAATTCATTTCAGTGAGGCTTATTTTTACATTTTACTTGGTATATTATTTATTTTGCATTTTTCTATCACTGTACTTCTGTCAATTTATTTCGTGGTTTGAAAGGTGTGCTCATTCGGGCCCACAGATCACTGAAGACAACACCAAAATTTCTTTATGCTTTATTGCTCTTGTCTTTTGGAATTAGAAAAATATATCTCAGATTCGGTGTAGTTAGCCAGCAAGTAATTTTACACAGTTCTTACATGTGAGGCTGCTTTGCTCCCTATATCTACATTTCAGTAATAAAATTCAATAAAAACCTCAGAAAATGCAATCACTTAATGAAAGGAAAAGACTTATGCCAATCCCAGTTTTTATACAGTAAGCCAAACTCCCCTCCAAGAGTGGTAATCATCACTTTAGCCTGTTTTACTCTATGTGAATTGAAATATTAAATAGTCACACAGACTGTCACTGAATTCGGTAGGCATATAAATGTGGTCCTGTTTATAGCTTTGTTTTTGTATTTTGCTTCTATCACTTGAAGACATCTACCTTGTTTTTTGCCTCTGTGTCTATATCATCACACACACACACACACACATCATATACACACAAAATGCATGCAACCTATATTCTTTTCTAATATAGGCATTAAATGTACATTTCCCTCAAATAAATATGTTAGCCACTTTGGACAAATTTTGAAATTTAATGCTTTTATTTTTATTTGATTCAAAATTATTTCTAAGCATCCTTTTAATATGTCCTTTGATACATTATTTATTCTGAAAAGTGTTAGTTTCTAATTATTTGGGAAATTTCCAGGTATCTTTCTTTTATTGATTTAAAATTCACTTTCATGTGGTCAGAGAACATTACATGTATAATTCAAAACTTTAAAATATCAATTTATTGAAACTTGGTTTATGGCCCAGAATAAGGTCTTGGTTAATGTTGCATGTGGGCTTAATATTCTGCTACTGTTAGATTGATTATTTTTCTATAAATTTCAGTTAGCTCAAGTTGGATGATGGGTAAGTTATTATATACCTTATTGACTTTCTATATAATTGTTCTAACAGGTTTGAGAAAGAGATAATAAAATTTCCAACTATATTAAAGGATTTGATTGTAAGCAGTGGGTTAAAAAGTATGCCTTAGGCCAGGCGCGGTGGCTCACACCTGTAACTCCAGCAATTTGGGAGGCCGAGGCAGGCGGATCACCTGAGGTCACGAGTTTGAGACCAACCTGGCCAACATGGGGAAACCCCATCTCTACCAAAAATACAAAAATTAGCCGTGTGTGGTGACACGTGCCTGTAATACCAGCTACTCAGGAGGCTGAGGAAAGAGAATCATTTGAATCTGGGAGGCAGAGGTTGCAACGAGCCAAGATCACGCCACTGCACTCCAGCCTGGGCCACAGAGGCAGATGCCATCTCAAAAAAAAAAAGAAAGAAAGAAAGAAAAAAAGTATCCCCCAAAAGATGTAACCATTCTCTATTACTTGAAACCCCATGAACTCCTCTGGAAAAGTGTCTTTTTAGATATAATTAATTTAGGATTCTTGAAGATAATTAATGTAAGGTTCTTGTAGAGATTATCTTGGATTACTTGAATGGGCCTTAAATACAATGGTAAGTGCATTAATAAAGAAAAAGCAGCCTGGCGCGGTGGCTCACCCCTGTAATGCCAGCACTTTGGAAGGCCAAGGCAGGCGGATCACCTGAGGTCAGGAGAGTGAAAGCAGCCTGGCAAACATGGTGAAACCCCATCTCTACTAAAAATACAAAAAAGTAGCGGAGCGTCCTGGCGTGCGCCTGTAATCCCCGCTGCTCCGGAGGCTGAGGCGGGAGAAATCGCTTGAACCCGGAAGGCGGAGGTTGCAGTAAGCAGAGAATGTGCCGTTGCGCTCCAGCCTGGGCAACAAGAGCGAAACTCCATCTTAAAAAAACAGAAACAAACAAACAAAAAAAGCACAGGGAGCTTTGACACACAAATCTTCTTCACATACAAGAAGAAAGGTGATGAGAATATGGAGGCAGAAATGGGAGTTTTACTGCCAAAAGCCAAGGAAATTCTTGAGCTACCAGAATCTAGAAAAGTCAAGGAAATATTTTTCCTTAGAGCCACTAATTTTTTGCTCCATATTCTTCCCATCATTCAGTGTTTTTTTTTTTTTTTAATTTTCATCATTCTGATGGATATGTTGTGGTAACATGGTTATCTTTATGTGCAATACCCTGATGCCTGTGATGCTGAACAATTTTTCATATGCTTATTTGCCACCTGTATATCTGCTTTGGTGAAGTGTCTGTTCAGATGTTTAGCACACTTCTTGTTTTTTGTTTTCTTATTGTTGAGCATGAGGAATTCTTTGTATGTTAGGGATAGCAGTCCTTTATTGGATATGTGTTTTGTAAAGATTTTCTTCCAGTCTGTTGCTTGCCTTTTCACCCTCTTAAATCACACAGATATTGTAATTATATTTGCTTATTCCTATTGAGGATGTTTTACTAATAATCACGCTGATAATTAAAGCGTACATCTTTCATTAATGCTGTGACTTCAGAGCTATTGCTTGCTATGTTTACTTCATTTCGTTAAAGCCAAATGTGCTTATCCCAGATGATATTCCATTATCTCAGTAGCAACCATTCACTTTAAAGTTACGATGATTGCATGGTGCTATGTTGGAACCTACTTTATTTCTTATATAGTAGTTGGATCTTTAAATAGAAGCTAATTATAGAAAATAAATGTTATTACTGTGTAAGTGGATACATTATTTTTTGAGAAATATTTTTTCTTCATTGTAAGGGTTGTATTCTATACTATTTACAAATAGCTTTATATTTTACCAGTAAAGTTAATTGAGCTTTAATTAGACACATCAATTTAGCAATTATTTTATTTTATGCAAATAATATGCTTATTCATGAAATAAATATTTTAGCTTTTCTCCAGATGTATTTAATTTGAAAATTAAGAAGACATATAAAGAAATCATTTTGGACTGAAAACAGTTCAAAACATATATTTTCTTTATATAATTAGCTATAATATAATTTCCCATATCTACCTCTGATAAATAATTTTTAATAAATTTGCCTGATCTTCTAATAGTGCTGATCACAAAATATTACAAAATATAGCCCCATACACTAAGAAAACATGGGTTGAACTACACTGAAGCTTAAGTGTGTGTACATATGATTTCTCATTCTGAGTAACTTAAGGAAGATAAATTGCAATTTGTATTACAATTCCGCGAACTGTATCCAATCCATTGATTTAAAAGGAGGCATTTTAAAAGCATATCTTTAATCACTTCAGCCTTAAGTAATGTTCAGTAAACTTTTTAATTCCATTTTTTATTTTATTGATACTAGAGAATTTATTCATGCTAGAGAATCAAGCTACCTGGGTCTTGTAATAGATATGTACGTGTATATTACAGATTTAGAGGCAGCTTACCTGGTGCCTGTTGACTGTTCAGAAACTGCTGAAAATGAGCAAACCACACATGAGTAATCTGTATGAGAGCTTTACTCTAAAGAATCTTCCTACAGACTGGGGTTAGAAAACAGTATATTTACTGTACACTTACATAGATCTCACCTCACTCTTTCTTACAATATTAAGTTGTGCATCTAAAGTTTAAGGTCAAGGTGCATCAATTTATATTTTACAGACTCCTTTGGCTCAAGGTTAATTGCCAGAGACCATGTGGCCAGAACTTCACTCAGTTCCATGCATAATTATGTCTAACTAATGCCCTATTGTGTGGAGCACAATAGGAATCAGTTTCTAGGAATCAGTTTCTCCTTCACCTAAAACAAACTATTTACCCTGTAGTAACCCCTGAGATAACATTTTCTGACTTTTTCTGCAATATTCTACCTAATACTTTTGTCCAAACTTACCTAATTTGGAAGATTCAACTTTTTAATCTAGATATGAAACATCATCCCAAATATATCCATCTGAATTTTACAGGTGACTTAAATTTGACATGGCCAATACCAATTTATCATGTTTATTCCCAAACCATTAATGTTTTAGTTCTTATTTCAGCTAGTCCACTCCTAGTCTCTTTTTCAAGGTTTCTGGCTAATGAACCACATCCTTAATGTCCATTTGATTTGAATATACTACTCAAAACTCTGTGGAATCTTCCTCCAAATGAGATTGTTCTCCTGTGACTCTTATGGTATATTGAGAATAGAGAAGAACTATCTTATCTCTATGCAGAAGAGAAAAATAAAGGAACTAAATATTTTTGCTGTGTTCCTGTACCTAAAAACCTCAGGAATCCATCTTCCCTGGAAAGAAATGAGTATTTATTTGTCTTGGTTAGGAGTGGAGACAGAGGTTGGAAGTATACAGGATGAATATTATTCTTTAAGTTGAAAGTAGTAAAAACTTCACAATTTCTCCATCCTTTATATCATTTGAGATGAATGTCCATTACTTATAACAATGTATTATAACATTTACATTCTAAATACTCTATTTAATAAAATATATTTATTTAATAAAAAATAAAAAACACAATATAAGTACATAACTATATGGGAGGAATGCTGTTATACAAAATTATGACAATTTTAAATAAAGGATTGAATTTTAGGAATATATAATATTCTTAAAATATGACTAGGCACAGGGAAGAAAGACAGACATAAGACAAATTTCATATATAGAATTTGGTCAGAGATTGATTGATTTCCTAAAAATAAATGGCAAAGGCATTAAGAATAACTTCCACTAAATAAGATAGTCATATGTTATTAACAAATCTATTTGAAGAGCTAGAGGTTTCTGTTTGCACAACTGAGTGGATTGCAAAATTATTACTTTAAATAAAGAATCTTTGAAACAGTGGTTTGGGCCAAAGGTGTAACTTCAGTTTTGTTCTTGCTAAATTTAAATAAACTGCAAAAAAAAAAAACTACTGAAAATAATGACTAGACATAATTTATAACATTAGTGTACAGACAGAAGTGGGGGAAAACATAAAGCATTATCAATAGACACTTTATTATTATGGCACATCTGCCTCTAAGAGGGAGAAAGAAAAGTAAATAATATTCACATTCCAAGTTATCCTATTGCTAAATTTTCAACATGTATCAAATAAAACTCTCATTAATATTATGTGAGAAATAGTAGAGTATCATAAAATAAATCTTCTCATATAATAATACTGAATTTTGATTGTCTCTTATGAATTAATTTGGTAAAATTCAAAAAGAGTAATGGTTGCAAACATTGTTTCTTCGTGGTTAAATCTGAGTTCACTGTTTACTCCCTGAGAAACCTTGGTCAAGTTCATCAATCATTCTGAACATTACTTTTCCTCTGTAAATGGGATTGAAAAAAACTTCTGAAATCGTAGTTCATACTTCATAGAAATTGAGATGATCAATGTAAAATAATACAGTGCCTAGCACACACTAAGTGTGGAATATTTGTTAGTTTTTTATAAATAATACTATTGCAAAATCTTCATAGATTCTATTAACTTGTGGAAAAATATTAGGAATATTAATATTAAACAGCTTTCAGCCTAGTATTTCTGATTCAATACTGATTCATAAAATAAACAAAATCTGAAATAAATATAACTTATTTGTAAACACAAGCCAGAGGTCTATTTTTTAACTCATGATAAAGAAAAATATCCCTTCTCTTGAACCAACTAGTTTATCTATTCTGCCTCTTAAATCAGTGAAAATATTTCTCACCATATTCAGAGACCCAATTAGATATGGTCAAAATTGTCATATATAGAGGAACTGTTATGGACTGAAAGCTTCAGTCTTCCCACTCCCAAGTTCATGTTTTGAAGCCCCAACCCCCAATCTGACAGTATTAGGAGATGGGAACTTTGGGAAATGTGATGGTTAACTTTAGATGTCAACTTGCCTGTTACAACATTGACTTCCCTGATTCTGAGGCTTTCAGACTGGGACTGAGCTACTGTCAGCTTTCTCAGTTCTTCAGGTTTAGATGGGCTATCATGGTATTTCTCAGTCTCCATAATCATGTGAGTCAATTATTTTGACTAATATAGGAGGGAATTAGGTTTAGATGAAGTCAAGAGGGTAGGGCCCCCATGATGGGATTAGTGTCCTTATAAGAAGTGGAAGGAGAGGCAAAGAGAGCAGTCGCTAAGCTTTGTGAGGACACAGAAAGGAGGTGGCTACTGCAGGCCAAGAAGAGGGCCCTCACCAGAAACTGAATCAGCCAGCACATTAATCTTAAACTTCCCAGCCTTCAGAGCTGTGAGAAAGAAATGCCCATTGTTCAAACCATCCAGTCTATGGTATTTTGTTATGGCAGCCTGAGCTGACTAAGACACTGTTAGTGTCTGCAGAGTCCACAGTTCAAGGTAAGTATTTTTCCTGTTTTGCCTACAGTTCCTCAAAGGTTTGAGAAAAGCTTTGGGTTGTATATTATTTTCAATAATTAAATGGCAATGTATTTTCTTAGGTAGCATTTTGCTAGCTATCTCTATAAGTGGTATATTATTAATGTATTGTTTTATTCCATATACATTTTCTGAGTATTTATTTGATGTCAGTAATACTTGTAGGAAGTGGACATATAGCAGTACAAAAAAAAAGGGTTTCCTGTTTTGATCCAATTTGCATTTTAGTAGAAAGCCACTAAACAAATAAACATATATAAATATCATTTTTTGAAAAATGTTATAATGAAAATATGATGAGCCAGTATGAAAAGTGTGGTGAATGGTCTTGGTAAAACCTCTCTGGAGAGGGATACACTTAGGCCATCATCTAAATGACCACAAGGATACAGCTTTGTAAAAATCTGTAGAAAAGCACTTTAGTATTAGGTCTAAAACAATCTGGAGTTGTTTGTGGAACTTCAAGTCTGACATGGTGAAAGTAACCAAGATAAATAGGTAAGGTAAAGTTAAGATATAGGACACAGGGGCCAGATCATATAAAGCTTTGTAGTCAGAGTAAAAGACTAACATGTAGATCCCATTCTGTTTAATCAGTAAGGTTTTAAACACAAAAATAATTTATTCTGATAGATGCTTCCAAAAGCTCACACTGACTACTGAAGACAGATTGCAAGGAGAGTAAGAGTAGAGGAATGAACGCTAGTTCCATCAGACCCAGCCTGATCTGCTGTGAGGAAAAGACAAATATATTTTTTGTGTATATGGAAGGTTAAGTTGGACAAGGTGCCTGGAGACAGGAGGAGAAAAAGAGATGTGGCATAGAGTAAGTGGTCAATAATATTTATTATTTGAATAAATAAATGAATGGATGAAAGATAAAAATCATAGGTTTGAGGCTTAACCAATCGGAGGACGGTGACACCATTTAATGCCATAAAACATTCTGAGAAAGAAAAGGTTTAGAGGTGCTAGGAAATAGAGAGTTCATTTCAGGATGTCAACTTTGCGTTGCCAATTAGAAATCCAAATTGAAATGTGAAGCGATAACCAGAGAAGAGACAATGTAGAGAGAAGAAACCAATAACAGACAGAATATTGAGGGGGTGTTGGTAGTGAGGGTGTTAGTAACTCTTTCTCAATGGCAAAACTCTCATCAAGAGGACACAGCATGCTTCTAAAGGCCAAGTAAGGTCCACAGGGTGGAACAGGCCATTTAGTCTTGATGATCAATGAAAATGATTTCAGTTGTTCCTCTTCCGAGTTTAAAGGTTGAGGGGCAAACACTAAAATATTTGGAAGAAATAAAGAATGCCTAAAGTTTCATCCATGTTATTCATTTACCCCCAGAGAGATGGCATTAGACCTATGAACGATACGTAGTATATTGAGAATAGGATCATTCCAGAACTTTGCTGTATTCATCTAAATGAACAAAGCCCACAACTAGTCTAGCTGAATAACCCATAAAATGGTTGTTGCATTTAAAGGTTGTTGATATATGTTTCCTAGAACTCTAAGAAAGCAATAGTATTTTTGCGAGGATATTTTAACACACTAAGTTACAAATAATGTTTATATAGCCAATTAATAACCATAAACTGTATGCTTGTTAATAAGGTTTTTTTAAATTTTTTAATTTTTATTTTTTGAGATGGAGTCCGGCTTTGTCACAGTGGCATGATCTCTGCTCACTGTAACCTCTGCCTCCCGAGTTCAAGCAATTATCATGCCTCAGTCTCCCGAGTAGTTGATACTACAGGCACCTGCCAACACACCCGGCTAATTTTTGTATTTTTTGTAGACATGGGGTCTCACTATATTGGCCAGGCAGATCTCGAAATCCTGACTTCAAGTGATCCGCCCACCTTGGGCTCCCAAAGTGTTGGAATTACAGGCATGAGCCACCACCCCAGCCTGTTAATAAGTTTTGATTTTTGCTTAGAGTATACGTAATATTCTGTCTCTAAAATCAAGCTTTTTTATTAAAGCTCTGTTTAATCACAGATTTTTTTTGTTCTTCAGTTATATTTACAATCCACTTCTAAGTGATTCTTGTCACTGCAAATAGGTGAAGGTTTAAAACTGACAATTATTTACATAATATAAATGCAAAACTACTAAATATTATAAGCACAATTATATTAACTTCAATCAGGCAGTGCTTTTGAGTGAAATGATCAAGAACACTAGTTTTTAAACAATGTTCTAGAAGCCCAGAGAACACTGACATCAGTATACAGTAAGCTGAACAAAATGGTCTCTAACACTGATGCAAAATGTATTCTAAGCTGAAGAGGAAAAAAAAATGCTAAGTAACTGTGTCAAAGGGAAAATGGATTCAGGTCAGAACAAGATTCTATTAAATCTTTAGTACAATTGCAAATGAAGAACATTGAGAGGCCACCAAAGAAGTCCAAAAGGTGGCAAGAAGAAGCTGAATGGATTTGGGGTCCCATGACTGAAGGAACAGCACAGTAGCAGGCTGTTCTATTTGTCTCCATTCAATAGAGAAGACAATTATATTAGCCTGTTTTCATGCTTCTGATAAAGACATAATGGAAAATGGGCAATTTACAGTAGAAAGAGGTTTATTGGACTTACAGTTCCACGTGGCTGTGGAGGCCTCAAAATCATGGTGGAAGGTGAAAGGTGAAAGGCACTTCTCACATAGCAGCAGCAAGAGAGAGAATGAGAGCCAAGCAAAAGGAGTTTCTCCTTATCAAACCATCAGATCTCGTGAGACTTACTCACTACCATGAGAACAGTATGGGGGAAACTGCCCCTATGATTTGATTATCTCCCACTGGGTCCCTCCCACAACTCATGGGAATTCAAGATGAGATTTGGGTGGGGACATAGCCAAACCATATCATTCCACCCCGGCCCCTCCCAAATCTCAAGTCCTTGTCCTTGCATTTCAAAACCAATCATGCCTTTCCAACAGTCCCCCAAAGTCTTAACTCATTTCAGCATTAACTTAAAAGTCCACAGTCCAAAGTCTCATTTGAAACAAGGCAAGTCGATTCCACCGATGAGCCTGTAAAATCAAAAGCTGGTTACTTACTTCTTAGATACAATGGAGGTACAGGTATTGGGTAGATACACCCATTCCAAATGAGAGAAATTGGCTAAAACAAAATCCATCAGGGCAGTCGAATCTTAAAGTTCCAAAATGATCTCCTTTGACTCGATGTCTCACTTCCAGGTCACACTGATGCAAGGGGTGGGTTCCCATAGTCTTGGGCAGCTATGACCCTGTGGCTTTACAGGGTACAGCCTCCTCCCTGGCTGCACTCATGGGCTGGCTTTTCCATGCTGCACTCATGAGTGTCTGTGGCTTTTCCAGGCACAGGGTGCAAGCTGTAAGTGGATCTACTGTTCTGGGGCCTGGAGGATGGTGGCCCTCTTCTCATAGCTCCACTAATAGGTGCCCCAGTAGGACTTCTGTGTGGGGGCTCCAATTCCACATATTCCTTCTACAGTGCCCTAGCAGAGGTTCTCCATGAGGGCCCTGCCCCTGCAGCAAACTTTTGCCTGAGCATCCAGACATTCTCATACATCCTCTGAAATTTAGGCAGAGGTTCCCAAACTTCAATTCTTGACTTCTGTGAACTTACAGGCTTAACACAACATGGAAGCTGCCAAGGCTTGAGGCTTACACCCTCTGAAGCTATGACCCAAGCTCTATGTTGGCCCCTTTCAGCCACAGCTGGGGTGGCTGGAACACAGGGCAACAAGGCCCTAGGCTGCATACAGCAAGGTGACCTTGGGGCCAGCCCACAAAACCACCTTTTTCCTCTTAGGCCTCCGGGCCTGTCATGGGAGGGGTTGCCATGAAGACCTGTGACATGCCCTGGAGACGTTTTCCCAATTGTCTTGAGGATTAACGTTCGACTGCTTGTTACTTATGCAAATTTCTGCAGCCCCCTTGAATTTCTCCTCAGAAAATGGGATTTTTCTTTTCTATCGCATTGTCAGGCTGCAAATTTTCTAAACTTTTATGCTCTGCTTCCCTTATAATACTGAATGCCTTTAACAGCACCCGAGTCATATCTTGAATGCTTTGCAGCTTTGAAATTTCTTCGGCCAGATACCCTGAATCATCTCTCTCAAGTTCAAAGTTCCACAAATCTCTAGGGCAGGGGCAAAATCCCACCAGTCTTTGCTGAAACATAACAAGAGTCATTCTTGCTCCAGTTCCCCACGAGTTTCTCATATCCATCTGGGACCACCTCAGCCTGGAGTTTATTGTCCATATCACTATTAGCATTTTGGGCAAAGTCATTCAACAAGTTTCTAGGAAGTTTCAAACTTTTTCACATTTTCCTGTCATCTTCTGAGCCCTCCAAACTGTTCCGACCTCTGCCTGTTACCCAGTTCCAAAGTCATTTCCACATTTTCGGGTATCTTTTCAGCAACACACCACTCCTGGTACCTATTTACTGTATTAGTTCACTTTCATGCTGCTGATAAAGACATACCCAAGACTGGGCAATTTACACAAGAAAGAGGTTTAGGTTTATTGGACTTACAGTTCCACATAGCTGGGGAGGAGGCCTCGCAATCATGGTGGAAGGTGAAAGACACAGCTCACATGGCAGTGGCAGGAGAGAGAATGAGAGCCAAGTAAAGCGGATTTTCCCTTATCAAACCATCAGATCTTGTAAGATTTATTTACTACCATGAGAACAGTTTGGGGGAAACCACCTCCATGATTCAATTATCTCCAACCAGGTCCCTCCTGCAACACTGGGAATTCAAGATGAAATTTGGGTGGGGACAGAGCCAAACCATATCAATATTCAAGACACCTTTTTTCCCTAAATAGCAACCTAGTAACAGGGGCAGCCAAGGTAGGCTCAACCTCTTCCTCCCCCAGGAGCCTGAATAGGACAGGAGTTCCACTGACAAGAGGGAACTACCAGCAAGAGGGATGGACCTGAAGTCCCACTAACAATAACTAAGCAGGGGAAGTGTTCTTTATCCCAACCAGGTGTGAAACTCTTCTTCTGCTTCAACAGATGCCATGGTAGTTAGCGAGGTGGACTCTGCCACAACAAAATGCTTAACCAGAGTACTTTCTTTGTCCCTATAGATATGAAACTCCCTCTCTATCCAGAGACAGCAGATTAACCAACTGGCAATGGCAAAGGGCATCATACCATGACAAGAAAGTTTATCCATGAAGCCTCTTTGCTCCTGTGGGGCTGAGCTTCTCTTTTCCCTCTAGGAAACACCAAGGTAGCTGGATAACAACTTCTAAAGGGACCTGTCAGTGGGATAATTAAGGAATCAGAGGGACCGAGGGGTTGAGGAGGAATTATTTAATTATTTAGGTGCACCAACCCAGTCAGATTAACATCCAGAGGACTGAGCCCCGAAAAAAGAGTCAAGCTACCTTTTAAGCATTTTGTGGGGCAGGGGGAGATTTGTGCAGGGGGAAGCATATTATAGAAGCGAGAAAAAAAGACTGTTATTCAATTAAGACATGCATCACATCATTTCTTACTTCTCAAGGAACAACATGTTTTATGACTTGAGATTATCTGTCTAGTGGCCTTGCAGCTGCACAGCTAGAGAAACAGAGTCTTCACAATGCCCGAGAAAGGGAGAGATAAGGCTCACTAGCCACAGGAAAACAGACTTCAGCTCTTTCTCTTCCTCGGGGGAATTGGTTTTTCTTACATACAACTGAGTTTTTGCTTACACATTCTTTAACTTCTTTTAATTCCTGTTCCAACCTCACCACAAGTGCCTCATTCCTGTGAGTCTCTGAGTCTTTGGGTGCCTGGGACCTCCCTTCCCACATTCAGGGACATCAAGGTGTCCTGGGGAGCAGTAAGGGGAATTCCACCACAACAAGCACCTACCCAATGTGTGCTCTTTGTTTCCCCACAGGCACAGAGCAACCCACCATAATAAGTGCCTGGCCAGGGACATGTATATATACTATCTGGTCTGACACTCACCTCCCTCACCAAGAGACACCTAGTGGTTTCACCCAGACAACCATTTCCACACATCAAACAGGACCAGCAGAAACCAATGGGAACCGAGGAAGCATCAGATAACCAGGCAAGCCAAATTAATACTACAAATGTTCTGAATATTACACTGTCATTGGACACACAGCAAATCAAGATTTGTCTGCTAAACTGAAATAGATGACAGCCTGTTTACAATATTTGAATAGGACCTACAGTCTGTTAACATAATAGGTAAAATGTTTAGGATGCAATAAAAACATCATCAATATACCATGAATCCGAAAATCCCAACTTGAAGGAGAAAAGATATTCAACTGACAACATCAAGGTAAATCTTATGTTGGAATTATGTGGTAAGAATTTTAAAGCTGCTATCATCTAAATGTTTCAACAATCAATTATAAATTATTTTAAAAGAACTGAAAAATATCTTGGCAAAGAACTGACAGACAAAAGATTAATTAATGAGTCAGAAGGCAGTCCAGCAACAATTTTCAAATGTTGAAAGTAAAGCAATGTCAACCACATAATCTGTAAAAATGTCCTTCAGAAGTAAAAGGGACATTGAAATTTTTTCAGATAAAGGAAAATAAAAGGAATTTGTTATTAGCAGATGCACTTTTCAATTTGAATTCTTTTAATTTTAATTTTTATTACAGATACAAGGGCTACATGTGGAGGTTTTTTACATGGGAATATTGTATGATGTTGAGCTATGGAGTATGGGTCCCACCACCAAGGCAGTGAGCATGGTACCCCAATAGGTAGTTTTTCAAGCCCCCTTCCACCCTAACTCCACCCTTTAGTATTCTGCAGTGTCTGTTTTTCCTATATTCTGTCTATGTGTGTCTATGTGTGGTCAGTATTTAGCTCCCACTTATAAGTAAGAGCATGTGGTATTTGGTTTTCTGTTCCTGAATTAATGCATGTAGGATGACGACCTCCAGCTCCATCCATGTTGCTGTAAAAGATATAGTTTCATTCTTTTTTATGGCTACATAGCATTCCATGGTACCTATGTACCACATTTTTAAATCCAATTTCTAATTGGTGGGCACCTTAGTTGATTTCTTGTTGTTTGCTATTGCAAACAGAGCAACAGTGAATGTATGAGTGCATGTGTCTTTTTGGTATAATAATTTATTTTCCTTCAGGCATATACCCAGTAATAGGATTGCTAGGAGAAATGGTAGCTGTGTTGTAAGTTATTTGGGAAATCTCCAGACTGCTTTCCACAGTGACTGGATTAATTTACATTCCCACCAACAGTTAATAAGCATTTCCTTTTCTCTGCAGCCTCATTGGTTGTTTTTTGATTTTTAAATTGTAGACATTCTGACTGATGTGAGATGGTATCCCATTGTGGTTTTGATTGCCGTTTCTCTCATGATTAGTGATGCTGAACATTTTTTCATGTTTGTTGGCTGCTCGTATGTCTTATTTTGAGAAGCGTCAGTCATGTTTTTGTCTATTTTTTAATGGGTTATTTATTTTTGCTAGTTTATTTTTTTAAGTTACTTATAGATTCTGGATATTAGGCTTTTGTCAGATGCATAGTTTGCAAATATCTTCTCCCATTTTGTAGGTTTTCTGTTTTTCTAATGACAGTTTATTTTGCTATACAGAAGCTCTTTAATTAGTTCCCACTTGCCTATTTTTGTTTTGGTTGCAATTGTTTTTGAGGATTTAGCCAAAAATAATTTGTAAAGTTTGATGTTGAGAAGAATATTTCTTAGGTTGTTTTCCAAGATTTATATTGTTTGAGGTCTTACATTTAAATCTTTGATCTATTTTCAGTAAATTTTTGTATATTGTGAAAGGTAGAAATCCAGCTTCAATTTTTAGCATATGGTTAGCCAGTTATCCCAGAACCATTTATCCGATAGGGAGTTCTTTCTCACTTCTTGTTTTTGTCAGTCTTATCAAATATCAAATGATTGTAAGTATGCAGCTCTATTTATTATTTCTGAGTTTTGTATTTCATTCTATTGTTCTTTTAACCAGTACCAAGCTGTTTTGGTTACTGTGTCTTAATAGCATATTTGGAAGTCAGATAGTGTGATGCCTCTGGCTTTGTTCTTTTTGTTTAGGATTGCTTTGGCTATTCAGATTTTAGAATCTTTTTTTTCTAATGCTGTGAAGAAAGATGTTGATAGTTTGATAGAAATAGTGTTGAATCTGTAGTTGATTTGGGCAGTATGGCCATTTTGATAATATTGATTCTTCTAATCCATTTATTTTTGTCATCTCTGATTTTTTTTCAGCAGTGTTTTGCAGTTCTCCTTGTAGAGATTTTTCACCTCCTTGGTTAGCTGTATTTCTAAGTGATATGGTTTGGATCTGTGTCCCCACCAAATCTCATGTCAAGATGTCCCCAGTCTTGCAGGTGGAGCCTGGAGGGAGGTGATTGGATCATGTGGGTGGACCTTCATAAATGGTTTAGCACCTTCTCCTGGTGCTGTTCTCATGATAGTGAGTGAGTGAGTGAGTTCTCAGGAGATCTGTTTGTTTAAAAGTGTGCAGCACTCCCTCCTTGCTCTTTTCTCTTGGTCCTGCTTCTGTCATGTAAGATGCCTGCTCCCATTTTTCTTTCTGCCAATAGTAAAAGCTCACTGAGGCTTCCCTAGAAGCAGTTGCCACCATGCTTCCTGAACAATCTGTGGAATGGTGAGCCAATTTAACTTCTTTTCTTTATTAATTACCCAGTCTTGGGTATTTCTTGATGGCAGTGTGAAAACTTACTAAGACACTGGGTATTTCATTTTCTTTGTGTCTATTTTAAGTCTGATGGTTTTCTTGATTTCACTCTCAGCCTGGATTTTGTTTGAGTATAGAAGTGCTATGGATTTTTGCACATTGATTTTTCTATCCTGAAAGTTTACTAAAGTTGTATATCATTTCTAGAAGCCTTTTGTCTGAGTTTTTAGGATTTTCTAGTTGTAGAATCCTATCATCAGTGACTTCTCCAGTGCCTTTTTTTAATGTTTGTTTCTATTGCCTGATTGCTCTGGCTAAGATTTCCATTACTGTGTTGAATATAAGTGGAATATATGTAGATATAGATATAGATATAGATATAGATATAGATATATGTAAGTGGAATGTAAGTAGAATATATGATGAATATGAGTGGGCATCCTTGTCTTGTTCCAATTCTCAAGGGGAGTTGTTCGGGCTTTTGTCCATTCAGGATTATGCTGGCTGTGGGTTTTTCATAGATAACTCATTATTTTCAGGTATGTACCTTTGATGCCTAGTTGGTTGAGGGCATTTATTATGAAGGAATGTTGGATTTTATCAAAAGCTTTGTCTGCATCTATTGAGAAGATAATATGGGTTTTGATTTTAATTCTGTTTATGTGTTGAATTAGTTTTATCGATTCATGTATGTCAAACCAGCCTTGTATCCCAGGAATAAAGCCTACTTGGTTGTGGTGCTGTTCAGCAGCCATTTGAAGTGTTGACATGTATTACCTCAGCATTTGTTTGTTTAAGGTTTTTATTTCTCCTTCATTTGTGAAGCTTAGTTTCTCAGGTTAGGAATTCTTGGTAATAATTTAGTTTTTCAAGAATGCTGAAAATAGGCTCCAAGTCTCTTTTAGCATATAAGGTTTCTGTGGAGAGGTTTGACTCTAGCCCGCTGAGGTTCCCTTTGTAGTTGACCTTCACTCTAGCTGCCTTAACATTATTTCTTCTGCATTGATCTTGCTGAATCTGATGACTATGTACCTGGGGTATGGTCATCTTTTTTAGTATCTGGCTGGGGTTCTCTGTATTTCTTGGATTGCATGACAACCTTTCTAGGATGATTAGGGACATTTTTGTGGACTATGTCCCCAGTGTATTTTTCAGTTTGTTTTTTTTTCTGTCTCCTTCTCTATCAAGAATGCCAATGCAACATACATTTGGTCTCTTTATATAATCCTACACTTCTTGGAGGTTTTGTTCACTTTTCTTAATTTATTTTTCTTCCTTTTTGTCTGACTGAATTCATTCCAAGAACTTGTCTTTGAGCTTTGAGATTCTTTCCTCAGCTTGGTCTATTCTGCTACTAATACTTCTGATTATATTATGAAATTTTTGTAGTGAATTATTTAGCTCTAGTTCGGTTTGGGTCTTTGTTAAAATGACTATTTAATCTTTCAGTTATTGAATTATTTTACTACATTGCTTGACTTCTTTGTATTGAGTTTCAACTTCTTCATGAATCTCAATGAGCTTCTTTGCCATCAGATTCTGAATTCTATGTCTATTCTTTCAGACAATTCAGACATGTTAAGAACCCTTGCGGGAGAGCTAATGGGCTCCTTTGGAGGTAAGGGCACACTCTGGCCTTTTGAATTGCAAGAATTCGTATGATAATCATTTCAAATCTGGGAAGGTTAGTATTCCTTTAATAGTGGTGTAAATTGAATATAGTTACTTGGCTTTGTTTCTGGAAGTTTTCAGAGGGTTAAGGCTCTGTATAGTTCTTTGTTTGTTGTTGAATTCTTGCCCTTGGTTTTACAGGGGGAGAATTAGCAGTGTTTTTTTGGTGTTGTAGTTTGGGCTACAATCCAGTGGATGGTGCGTGAGATCAATGAGCAGTAGATACACTATTACTCAGCTGCTTGGCTCCTTTGTGTATCACCATGTTGGCAGCTATGTTCTGCAGTGTGAATTGGAGAGAAGTGATTCCTTCATCAGGTCTATTACTAGGCCTTGCCAGAGCCACCTCTGATGTCTGACACTGTGACTATAATTTTTTTTGTTGTTGTTGTTCTTGTTCAACTTTACAGGTTGCAGGGCTCCCTTGGGGAGAGGTCCAGTAAGGAAACAGGCCACACCCTTTCCAGACCAGCCCTACAGAAGCAGGCATGACTAGGTCCCATAACAGCTTGTGAACTTGTGCAAATCCTTCCTGTCAGTATTCTGAGTTTTTAGGGTCCTTTCCTATTCAAATGCCAGGCAGACCCAGGCTTGGCATTCCTGAGCTGTGGGCCACAGCCCAGCAGCACCAGCACCTGCTTGTGGCTCTCTCCTCCTGACTCTTGGGATTGGGTTTGGGGTGTGCTGGAGGAGCCAAAGGGCTCCCAGACTGCCAGAAAACACTAACACAGAGCAAAGTACCTAGGCTGGGCAAGAGAAGCTGCAGTGTACAATTCACACTTCTGTGGGGTGGCCAGGCAGGAGCCCTGAGACTGGCAAGCAGGCAGGCCTGCAGGACAGACATGTCCCAGTCCCATGGAGAAGCAGGCCCTGATTTCTCCCTGGTGGTTAGCTTGCAATCAGAGTGTCTCAGAGGCAGGAGACATGAGAAACAGGCAGCCATGGAGGGTAGGTGCTTATGGTCAGGCTCCACTGGAACTGACTCCTCCTAAAGGTCCCCAGCTCCATGCCTGCTGCAGCCCCCTCTCTGTCTAATCTCTGAGGCGATCCCCCTGCCACCTCACATGTTCATGAGTATGTGGAGTCTCCTCTAGCTAGAGTCTCAGAGGCCCTCGGCAATAGTAGGCAGTGCCCCAGTCCCTTCACTCACCCCATCCACAGGTGCCCTTCAGGGTCAGAACAGCCTTAGCATTCAGACTCCTCACACAGATATCCCAGCTTCCTCCCTCTTCAGCTTCAGCATCTGTGTCTTTTTTTCTCCATTCACATTCAGCATTTTCTCTACAAAGGTCTGTTCAAATTTCGTTGGTGTATTTGAAATCATGGTCTCTGTAGGAACAGCACTTCCTGGCTGTATCCAGTTGGCCATCTTCTACCAGATGTACTCTTAAAAAAAAATCTAAAGGGAGATTTTCAAACATGATAAATGATCGAAGAAGAAATCTTGGAACCTAAGGAACGGCAACAGACTAATGGAAAGTGAGAAAATATAGAAACATACAGTAGAATGTCCTTTTCCTCATGAATTGAAAAAATATTTGATGATTTAAACAAAAATTATAACACTATCAAATAATCAAAACAATGATAATTAAAAGCAGGCAAAGCAATGAGACATATGAAAATAATTTTTCCATAGGCTACCTAAGGAAGAAAAATGTTGATAGCAATAGATGTCAAGTATATTTACTTTCATACGTAGAACAATAACTATTAAAGTGTACAAAAAGATACACTGACAGCCCTATAAATAAGGGGAAATTCTAAAATATATCCAAGTAACATAGTATGAGATAAGAAAAGAGAAAAAGAGAAATTTAAATAAAGAAAAATATTGGCATATTTAGGCTATATTATATGAATAATTTCCTTAAAAGTAAATGTTTTAATACATCAACAAAAAGGCAGACATTGACAGAGTTTGTTTTAAAATGTGATGTAACTAAATGCTGTTTACTAGAAATCTATTTCAAATTTAATTACATAGGTTGAGAAAAAGAGGATGGGAAAAATACAATCATTAATAAAAATACAGGAGTGTCTTTATTACAGTAGTCTACTTTATGGGTGATACATTTCAATGACTCAAGTGGATGGCTGAAACACCATGTAATATTGAACCCTGCATATACTGCCTCTTTTTCTAAACATGTACATGCCTATGATAAAGTATAATTTATAAATTAGGCATAGTAAGATATTGGTAAAAATAGTAATAAAACATAACAATTTTAACGATATGTCATAATAGAAGTTACGTGAATGTAGTCTTTCTCTCTTTCTTCCTCTCTCTCAAAATACCTTACTATATTGTTTTTACCCTTCTTGTGATGATATGAGATGATAAAATGCCTAGTGGTGAGATGAAGTAATGTGAATGACATAGGCATTATGATGGAGAGTTAGACTACTATTGCCTTCTGACAATATATTAGAAGGAGGATCATTTGCCTTAAATAATCCTGGGTCAATGAGTTCTGATTATGCTGGTTAGATGTCAGAGGCATCAGTGTTGGTGACTAATGGGCAGGTAGCATATAAAGCATAGACATTCTGGACAAAGGAATGATTCATGTCCTGGGTGGGAGAAAATGAGACAACATGAGACTTCACTCTACTACATAGAATTGCACGCACTTTAAAACTTACACACTGTTTAGTTCTAGAATTTGTATTTGCTGCAGGTAACTGAATCTATGGAAAGCAAAACCATGGATAAAGACTATGGTGATATTCAATTAAGTAAACTTCAAAGCAAATAAATTTAATAGAAACGAGAAGGAAATTACATAATGATTAAATAATCAAAACATTAAAAAAACATAACAACACTACAGTATGCATCCAAACAGCCTCAAATTGCATGAAGCAAAATCTGACAGAGCTAAATGGAGAAATATAAAAACACATGCACAATTATAGTTGGTTACGTTAGTAACTCTCTCGGCAATTGATATAATTACTAATTACTTCACAGAAAATTAGCAAGTATATAGGCCATCAGAACCAGATAATCAATCAACAAGATGTGTTGACATATATAAGACAATCCACCCACCAATGGCAGAATACAATTTTTTGTAAAACTTTATGGATTGTTCATCAAAATAAACTATATTTTGGTCCACAAAAAACTCTCAACACATGTAAAAGAATGGAAATAAAATGTAATGAGTTCCCTGATCATAATGTATTCTAAATAGAAACCAATCACATAAACACAACAAACATGGAAAATAAATAGCTCACTTCTAAATAATCCATGGATAGTAAAAAAAAAAAAAATCTCAAGGAAAATAAAAAGGAAATAGAACTGAAATAAAGGAAAAAAACTGTATGAGGATACATGGGATGTAGCTTTAGCAGTGCAGAGAGGAAACTTTAAAGCACCTAAATGTTTACATTGGAAATAAGACCTAAGATAATAAGTTATGTCCAACTTCACAAACTAGGAAAGGAAGAGAAAAATAAACTGAACATGAGAAGAAGAAAAAAATAATTAATATAAAAGCAGATATCCAATAAATTGAAAACTAAAAACAATGGAGAAAATTAATAAAATGAAAAGTTGTCTCTGGAATAAAATTAATAAAAATGATAAACCTCAGGCAACATTGACACAAATAAAAAGAGAGAGGGAACAAATCATGAATATCAGTGATAAAATAGAGGATATCACTCTAGAACCTGCAGCAATTAAAGGAATCATCAGAGAATCCATGAATAAATTTATGCTTATAACTTCAATAATTTAGAAGAAATAGATACATTCCTCAAAAAATACAAAGTAGCAAAACTCAGCTATGATGAAATAGTGTAAATCATATTATTACTCTGCTAGAACTTTAACTTGTGATTAAGTAACTTCTCCCCAAATAAATTTTTAGATCTTTTGAAAAATTATGTAAAATATTTAATTAAATATAACTAATTTTCCAAATGTTTTCATAAAACAGATGATACATAGTCCCAAACTTACTTTATGAAGACAGAATTAATCTAATACCAAAATCAAATGACAACAGTACCAAAAAAAAGGAAACTGCAGTACAATATTTCTCATGAAGTTTGATTCAAAAAAACACAATAAACTTTTAGCAAGCCAGTATCTAGCATTGTGTAAAGAAAATAATATTAATATCATGAACAACTGGAATATATTTTAGCTATACAAATTTGGTTCAACTGTAGAAAATCAATCAATGTAATCCAGTGTTCTCTGGTTCTCCTTGTACCTCCTTCTTCCATATTTAATGACCCTTGTGATTATAGTAGATTGATAATTATAATCCAGGATACTCTGTATTTTAAGATCAACTGATGAGCAATCTTAGTTGCATCTGAAACTGTAATTCCCCTTTGCCATGTATACATATCACAGTTTTCAGGCATTAGGTCATAGACATCTTCAGTGACCATGTGGTAAGAGTAAAGAGTATTACTCTGCCCTTCCACATAAGTAGTCTACAGAAAAGTCATACAATCATATCAATTGAGGCAGAAAAGTATCTGGCAAAATCTAACAGCAATTTATATTAAAATGTATCAGTAAAATAACAATAGAGGAAAATTATCTTGATAAATAGTTCGTACAAAATGCCTGCAGCTAACATCATTTTTTCTGGGGGCGGGGAGTGGGGGATGGTGGTGGTAACAATCTGTGTTTTTTGTTTTGCTTTGTTTTTGTTTGTTTTTTGGGGTGGTAACATCATTCTTAATGGTTAAGGACTGCATGCCTTTCTCAGAAAATTAAAGAAAGACAGGGATGCCTGCTTTCACCACTCTTATTCAATGTCTTACTGTAAATTTTATTCACTGTAATAAGGTATTAAAAAGTAATAAAATACATAGAGCTCAGAAAAGAAGAAATAAAACTGTCCAAGTTTGTAGATTACATGATTGTCTAAATAGAAAATCACAAGGATCCCCCCCCCAAAAAAACTACTATACTTATAGATATTCCAGATCTATATACTGAGTGAACATGCCAAAAAACAAAATTTGAAAAAAAATACTATTGCTACAAAGTGAAGGCAATTCTTAAGCATAAACTTAAAATGAGTACAGGATCTATATATTTATATTTACAAAATGTTCATGTAAGAAATTTTAAAATTAAGTAAATAAATGGAGAAATGTACTGTGTTCATGGATTTAAAGACTCAGTATATTATAGTAATAAAGCCAATTCTCCATAAATATCATATATATGTATATATATATATATGTATACACACACAGACATATACACACAACATAAGTCTTAGCAAAATTCCAGCATAATCTTTTGTTAGACATAGACAAGCTTATTTTAAAATGCATATGGGAAATTACAGGTTCTAGCACAGCCAGAACAATCTTAACAAAGATTAATAAAATAGAAGGAATAACAACACCAGTTATTAAGGCTTACTATAATACATGCCTATAATAATCTATACAGTGTGGCATTGAAAGAGAGATAGGCGGGTATACATATGTAACAAAATAGAGGACAGTGAAATAAACTGGCACGGATGTGCTTAAGTAATTTTTCAAACAGATGCAATTATTAGCATAAAATTCCATTTTCAGAGAGTGGGATAGGAGCAATTTGGACATCTATAGCTGGCATGGGGTGGTGGAGAAGAACCTCAATCTAAGTATCACAAGTTATACAATAATTAACTTAAAAATGGATGATGGACTTAAAATAAAACTTAAAAATATAAAATGTAAGCGAAGAAATATAGATCACATTGGGAATTTAGAATGAGGCAAAAAATTCTTAGACTTCACATCAAATTTATGATTATTGAAAGAAAATTTTGATAAATTGGATCTCATCAAATTGAATTTTGTTTGGTTTTGTTTTGTTTTGCAAAAGGCCATGTGAAAAAGAAAAGTAAAAATTAAAGCACTGTCCAGGCATGGTGATTCACACCTATAATCCCAGCACTTTGGGAGGTCAATGTAGGAGGGTTGCTTGAGTCTAGAAGTTCAAGACCAGCCTGGGCACCATAAACAGACGCTGTGTCTACAAAAAACAAAATTAGCTGGGCACACTGGTCATCACATTTAAGTGAAATAAGGAAGGCACGGAAATACAAACTTATGTTCTTACTCATTTGTGGGAGCTAAAAAAACAATTTAACTTATGGAGATAGACTGTAGAAAGATGGTTATCAGGGGCTGGGAAGGGAAGTGTGAGGGTTTTAAAAGTTAGGGATGGCTAATGGGTCCAAAAAATAGAAAGAATGAATAACACTTAGTATTTGCTAGTACATCTGGGTGACTATAATAAAAAATAATTTAATTATTTTTAAAATATTTAAACGTTATATGTTAAAAAATAATTTATATATTTTAAAATAATGAAGTGTACAATTGAATTGTTTGTGTAACACAAAGATAAATGTTTGAGATAATGAATACACCATTAAGCCTGATGTGATTATAATTCATTGCATGCCTGTATCAAAATATCTCATGCAACCCATAGATATGTATACCTACTATGTACCCACAAAAATTGAAAATAAAAATAATAAATTGCATTGGGATCTGCTTTCATTTCTGTGAAAATGTGTATGAAATTGGTTTATTAAAGAAACTAGCAACACTCCTATACTTGAGCCTTAGTGAAAAGGATGAGTGAAATAAGATGAGATTTTAGAAAGAGGCAGAGGGTCTGTGTTGATTATGGTTAGGGATCTAAATTTTACTATAAATTTAATGGAAATTTATTGATGAATTTTTAAATGAAAAACTTGCATTTCTTAATTTGCATCTTAATAGACCATTTGTGTTTCTTAGGAAGGAGTACAGGTGGATAAAATGACAGTAAGGAAAATAGTTCCAATATGATTTTTCAAATATTTTTCAAATATGTAAACACTAACCTGAATTAAATGATGGTAGTGATGTGTAATGAAGAAGATGTATTTGATACATTTTGGAAATATAATATTAAAACATGCTAATATGTTTAGATGTATGTAGGGATAAATTAATAAAATATTTTTCAGTTTACTGGATTAAAAATATGATGAATAATGATTACATTTACTGACTAAGAAAAGAGACTGGATTGCAAATGGGGTTAGAGGAAAAGCAAAGTAATTTATTCTCATGTAGATGATTTAATCTATGTTTGTATGCTTCATGCTTGTGGGTGTTCAATATTCCTTTACCTTATTTTCTACTGGAGTTTTCATTAGTATGAGTCAAATATTGTACCTTTAGCACAAAATTAGTATTAATATTAATTAACTGTAATTAAATCTACTGACTTTTTAAAAAATCAAACACATTGTCAATTATCTTGAAATGTAATTTTACATTTAAATTGTTTATATGTAAATTAAGTATCAGAGATAACATTGAAAATTATCAATTTTTTGTTTCATTCATTGATCTTTTAAATACATTATAGAAAGAACATCTGCAATAAGGTAGGCATTGTAATAAGTCTTAGGAATGTGAAGACAATCTTTGCCTTAAAGAACTAACAGCTTCTGCCGGATACAATGATTGAAATTGTTTGTGAGAGCCGATTCTTCTAAACATATTAAAATAAAGCAGAAATCTATGATACATTTTTATGTATTTCCAAAGCCTGTAGCAAAAACATTGGGAGGTCAGAAACTAGGAAACTTATCACCAAAGAAATAAAGGCTGAAATGAATGTAGCGCAGTGGCATAATATAACTACATGCCTGTAACAAACAAACAAAAACAAAATTAAAAATACAACTTAAAAATGAAAATTGTGCTTTAATTAAATATTCTGGGTCAGACAGCATGTGTAAAACATTTAAGTTATTGGCAAATTTTGGACTTTGGGTATTTTATCAATTTTTTTGTGGTAATTAGAAAACATACAAACAAATGGTAGAGCACAAAGGAGAACTTTTAAAAATATTTTTATAGTTAACATGACATGAAAAAAAATTCTAAGATGGCTCAATTTGAAAACAATGCAGTATTGATTCTAATCTCAAGGCTTTTGAAGACACAGGTTAGAGATCACTGCATGACAGCCACTGGAAAAATACAGGTGCACATACACTGAAAAAAGGTAAAATGTGAAAATATTCATCTTCAAATCATGGTATCTAGCAAAATGTGATCACTTGTTCTAAGATTTTCAACACAAGATACTTAATGGATGGTGAAAAATATTAAATTGTAAAGTTATATATATCCTATCAAAGAAAATAAATAATGTGCATGATTTTAAATATGCTTTCTCATTAAGCTGCTTCTGTACATACAAACAAATTGAGCACAGGAAAATATTTACTTATGGTTGTACAGTCACAGACTATTTGTTCATTTTACTAATTCAACTAGTTGTCATTAAAAAATAGTAATAGTTTTGAAAATCTTTTCTTTTAATAACTGAAATTGTGAAACAGGGCTCAGCATATAAAACATAACAGTAATAGGTTTTTGCAGTTCATCAAGTCTTCAGGCAAAACATATAACAGCCTGCTGCCTCAGTTTTCTCATTCCAAATGTTAGAATAATAAGCCACACTACATAAATGCAATGCCAGATTTGATTTCAAGCATCAAAACAGCAATTTGCCTTTAGGAAGAAATTCATTTTCAATGGCTAACTCTATGTTATAATATACCAAAACAAAAAACATATTAAATCTGAGCTGTTGAATCCATTGCCAGTTGTTTCCACATCTTGAATGAGTTTGTATAAAAGTCTGTAAGAAGAAAGATTTGTAAATATACAATTATGTTATGAAGGCTTAAAATTATAATGAATCTCTGACTTTTACCCTGTATTAAACAAAAATTAAATAAAATTACAGCAACAACATTAGTACAACCAATTACTCATGAATTATATCTATTTCTAATATATTTTTAAATGAATGCCTTTTTTTAACCACCGCCAAAATAATCTTCTACCTGTATCTCCAAGATAAAGTCTGATTCACTATGTCTTTTATTTTTATTTCTTATTTTATTTATTTATTTATTTACTTTTGAGACTGAGTCTCGCTCTGTCACCCAGGCTGGAGTGCAGTGGTACAATCTCGGTACACTGCAATCCCCGCCTCCCAGGTTCAAGTGATTCTCATGCCTCTGCCTCCCGAGTAGCTGGGATTACAGGCGTTCACCATCATATCTGGCTAATTTTTGTATTTTTAGTAGAGATGGGGTTTCAACATGTTGGCCAGGCTGGTCTCGAACTCCCCACCTCAAGTGATCTGCCCGCCTCGGCCTCCCAAAGCTCTGGGATTACAGGTATGAGCCACCGCGCCCGGCCCCTGATTCACTTTTGAGCATCCTGATGTTTCATATGCAGTGTGATCCATGTACAGCTTCTAGCAATCAAAATAAAAGTAATTTTACTCCCTTAAGCTCCATTACTGAGAATGAGAAAAGCAGCCCCTGACATTCAGGAGCTGGCCTAATACTTCAGCTAGACTTCGGTGTTCTCCTATTGAAGTTAGATCTACAGAGCATCCAATCAGAAAAGATCACTCTGTGACCGGGACAGGAAAAGATAACAGGAGCACTCTGTGATCCTGTCTGAGCAACAATAAAAAATGTAAACATTTTCTAAGACACAAAACAATAAACATCTCTCAGGGATAATATGAATGGTTGACTGATGCCTATTTACTAATTATAGTTTACCTTGACCCTAGTCTGCCCTCTACAGAGGGAACATTTACTGAGATACCCTGACATCATTCAACTTAATACAAGCTCTTGATTCCTTGGATCCTCCCCGAAGTCACCCAGAAAAAGTCCTAATTTTATCAAAAGTGTCTTTTCTAACACAATTTCTGAGATGTCTCACAGTTGACGTTGTAAGTCAAGCAAAACTCCCATCTAAAGGTTTCAGAAAACTTAAGGTATATACACTTATTTCAGAAATAAAAGATGAATACATGTATGCTCTTTGATGAATAAATTCATCTCCATGCAAGATCCAAAATATTTTATCCCTATGTTTGTATGTTTTTATGATACATTATATTTAGACATTAACCTTAATACACATTTTTTAAACTCTTGCAAACATCAACTGATTTACTTACTTCTTTCTATATACTCATTTAGTTTCTATCTGATAATAAGAAGATATTTAAAATGGTATTTTATTAGATTATAAACTTCTTGAGCTCAGAAACTGTACCTTATCTATATGTTTAGTTCGCTATGGGATTCATTATTTGGTGCAGAATAAATGTTATCTGAATAACTAAATCTTAACATTGAAGTTATTCCATGAGAAACCAGAGCTAATTGAGCATTAATCCAGTAACAATGAATGCATAGGAGAAAAAGAACTGTATAAAGGTATATAAGCAAATGTCAAACTGCTCCATATATTTTATTCATGCAAAATGAAAGAAAATAGTTTGAACTCATGTTAGTGAAACCTCATAGAGACAGCAGGACTTGAGATTTGTACAAATGTAAATAAGGAAGGAAACTATGACAGTGTTGGCAAAATAAAAAAGAAATAAAGACTATAATGTCATTCTTGGGAACAATGAAGACAGACCTAATTTAACCAGATGACTGGTTCATTCTATTTTCCAGTAAGATTTTATGTTTATGGAAGTTGTTCAACATTTAGAGTTATAACTTCAAATGACTAGATAAATATGATGCAAAAATATTGAGTCAAAGATATGAGGAAGAAAATATTCACTTATTATCATATATAGTCAGCATATTTAAGGCAGATTTTTGAACCTAAGAATTGCAGGAGAAAAGAGGAAAGAAAGTAAAGTGGATGATTAGAAGCAAGTGTAATAAATATTTGTTGAGTATTTTAGTTTAATTTCTTCCTTGATGCAGAAGAATGTCAATGAACATAGAGAACATGAAAATAAAAAGAAATTGGAACACATAATACAAATAAAATAATGATTTATTAGCACAGCTACCCTGAAAGCCCAAAGTAATAATGATTTGTTTGTTTCATTTGATTCTCATTTCCTAAGCAGCTTATAGTTTTAGAAATAACATCATATATTTCTTAAATCACAGAATATTTACTGTTAGAAATCAAATTGGGATATTTGTACTATGCATTTGACAATTATTTTTGCTCTGAAATTATGCTAAAATAATAATAAAAGTAAACACATATAACAAACACACATATACAAATAAATATACATATGTAAATAGGCATGTTTATTCATACCCTTTTCATGGCTAAAGTTATCATGTTGCTTATATCCCAGTATCAATTACAAAGCGAAATAGGAGAATTGTGAAAAACATTTTCCATTCTTGAAAAACTATCTAAAATAAAATACATAACTTATTCTCACCACTTTTCTAAATTTTAGTACAAAATTATTGCGTTCTTTTTTTCCAAACATAAGCTGTTTCTGAAACAACATTGATTACATGTCAACAATTGCAGTGCCTGCTTTTACATTCCTACTTCTTCAGTAAAAATAATATTAATCAAGTCAACTTTATTCCTGTAGTAAAAGTGACCCACATTTGAAATTTTGACATGTAATACAATGACATAAAATTACATGAATAAATCAAAATTATAATCAAGAAATCACATAGTAGAAAAAAATCAATAATATTTTTGAGGGTATCTTTTGTTTCTATTCTTAAAACATGAAAGAAGTGCATTTTCCTATGTTAAAATGATTTTAATTAAAAGTGTATTTTACTTTATATTGTGGAGAAGCTAAAGCTTGTAAGTAGTATCCCAGCTTTACAAGCAGTATCCTATGATGTTGCCATTTTTTCCTCTAATGCTCAGAATTGACAATAATGTCTTATTTATATTATTAAGTGATGAACTTCAAGACTACTTACAAATTAATAATGTTTGAGCCTAAGGGAAATTAATAATGCATGTAAATCTTACGTCACTGTTTTGATAATTTTCAGACTTTCCGTATCGCATGTTGGCTTCTGTAATAGAGTTGTCTGTACTTTCTTCCTAGGTCTAATAATATTGCAAAGGCAAGGTCTTATCTAACTGGATTAACTTCTAGAAAATCAGGGAAAAGCTTTTGTCATCAACCAGGAGCTCTGTCCTCTGCTCTCAGGAATGTAATTAACAACTCAGGTCACTCCCTCATCTTTGCAGTTCCCCCACAGAGGTTCAACTATTGGCTGCAGCCCCTCCCCTGGTCTATCAATTGTCACTAAAATGAAGATACAATTCACAGCCAATAACTCAAGACAAAGACAGAGAGATCACACAGTTAAAATTTCACAATGCGGAGAAAGGGCAGAAAGGAAGGTGACCAATTCTTAAGGTGTGTTAGAACATTGTATTTAGTATGGAATAAAAGTCTCTGTGAAGCTATTTGACTAATTTTGGTCCTTTGGTGTTCTAATTTTTTTTTCCTTTAGCTTTGTGAGTTGGGATGAATAATAATGTAGCATGGTTTACTAAAGGAGCATTTCACAAATTTGTAAAGAATCTAAAACAACCAAAGGGAATTATATTTATTTAGGATAAGTTTAATACTCAAGACTAAAACTTTATTAGTAGATACTGGGTAATATTTTGTCTTTACCAGAGCTAGATATTTCAAGCAATCTTAGAGATATAAACTTGCCCAATTTAAACTGCTGAATATATCGTTTTTCTTGAAGTTCATAAATGTCAATATATTTTATTTTTTAAAATTTATCTAATCTAACTTGGACCCCTCTATTAATCCACAGTATATTTATGTTTCACGTTTCTAAACAAGCAACACCAGAATAATCACTAGTGCCACAAATTTGTCCCTACCCACCTGGCATTCAGAGTAGCCATAACAGCAAACAGAACACTTTGACGATATGGGACCTTACGTTTTGTATAGCATAGAAGTCACTGTGTGCTAGAATGTATTGAACCATACATTTTTATACTACTCCAGATAAGTTGCATCACCTTTATAAACATATATTTACATGTATATCTATATCCATATACATCTCAGGGATTATTAAATTATATTTAATATTTTATAGGGCCTTGATGAAATAAATGAGGTATGGTTTTAGATGATGGACTTTTGAGTCATATTGCTCAGAGTCCCATCCTAAATCACTCACTACTAGATGTAGTTAGGCATTCTATATGTTCCTGATGTTTTCTATTTGCCCTATACATCCCTATTTACCCTTTTGCATGCTCTTCATGCCCCAGGAAAGTGATACTCAAGATGAATTCTGGAATTGGTTGCTTATTTATTTGAGAAGCACAGGGATAGTCTCCAAAAATATTTTTTAAAAGGTCTTCCCCTAACTATACTTGATATAGCTACTGCTGCAACTGAACTTACAAAACTGCCAAGCGCAGTGGTGTGCTGTAACTAGCTCCTGCCAGATCTCAAAAGCAAATTGTACCTTTCTCTTCTCATTTTTATTTTTAGTGATATCACGTTGGTAGCATGAAATTCACCATGGTGAGAATGGAATCAATGAAAAATACAAATCAGGATTCTTTACCCTCAATCTCAGGAAGTTATTTTTATACCAGTGCACACAATGTGTCTCAGCAAGTTACTAGCTGGTGCATTGATTACATTTGATCCTTCCTGTCATGGGAAGAGCAGTGCGTTGTGCCCATAGCAAGAGTCACACTTCCAGTTATGGATTTGTGTTCTCTGCCTACTGACTTTGCTAACATCATCATTGTAGACTTAGAAAATGTCTTTTCTGTTATTGGATAATACACACAAAGTTTTATTTTATTATGAAGAAATGTGCCAATATAAGTAGAATCCACTGGTCTTTCAGAGAGCCCCATCACCCAGAAGCAGTGAGCTTGATAGAAATGTTGAATGGTCTGATGAAGACTCAATTTCATGCCTAGAATGGGGACAACATTCTAAGGGTTGGGGTATCTACAGGATGCAGTATCAGCGTGTCTGAAAACAACAGTCAATATTTGGGGGAGGATTTCCTTCAGTAAAAAAAAAAAATGCATTGGTTCAAGAATCAAAAGATGTAGATATAAGTGGCTCATTTCACCAACACACCTCATTATCTACTTCAAAAATGTTAATTTTTGTCCTCATGCTTTGGGGCACAATGGATTTAAAATATCTGGGATCCAAGGGTGAAATGCTTCAACCATGGACCCAGTGAATCAGAAGTGAAGACAGCTTAATAGCCATTTTGGGCATTTCATGTGCCAAATCAATATTACTGCACAAAATAATAGAATGAGAAAACAGAGGGAGAATAGAATAAAAAAAACAGTGTTTTATAATATAGCATTATCTTTTATCATATTAGTAAACCTTATTGAACATACATTTTAATTGAATACTTAGCATGTGGGAAAATTAAAGCTTAGATTTGTTAAATAATTTGGCTTGTGTCACAAAGCTAATATTTGATTTGATGGTACAGTGAGTTGGAGACTATATTGTCTGTTTATTTTGCCAATTTAGTTCCCTGTATACAACTGGAACCAAATGGTTGCTCAATAGCTCGTTGTGGAATTAAAACTAAAATTATTGCTCTTTTTCCATGACTCAAGAAAAGTTTTTTCATTTTATTAAATCATTGTGAGTGACAAAAAATACTTTAATAAAAAGGAAGAAATGAATATTTTAGTATGCTATTAATAAATTCTAGCTGTGCCCTTACTCTGTTTTTGAGAAAATGTCACATATTTAGTGATAATGCTAAACTATATGAAATGGCATTTGCAATAATCACTATATTACAATAAATAACATAGAAATTGTATAATAAAAATGAATGCTGCCACATTCTCGCCCACCTGTTTCTGTGTCATAATATTAGGATTGATGATGAAATATATAATTGAGCCAATATCACATCGTCTGTTAACCTGTGGTGCACTGCAAGCTAAAAAAATCTTTTTAACTTCCCATCAGTGGCAAGTGCATAATGAAGTTCAAAATAAAGTGAAGCTTTTCTCAAGAGACCTTTTCACTTATTCCTCTCTAGCCCAGTATATGTATTGCTCTTACCATACAAACTTTAAAAACCCAATCCTATAATTATTGCTTATCATAATCATGGAAGTAGCACGCTATTCTGTGAGCTATTTCATTGAGATATAAAAATGAGGTCCTGGCCAACTCATTATTGAAGGTCTCATGTCATAATATGTTAATATAAAAGTGTTGTTCTCTTGGTCCAGATCTGGCATCAATTTGTTAATTGAAAACCTACTCCCTGAACTATGCCCTCCTCCTCCTCACTGGAATGGATGGTTTAGGATGCACATGTTCATTTAAAAAGCTCTGGCCTTTTTAAGCAACAGAAAGTTTTGCAGGAAAGGTTTTGTGTTAGTGTGGAAATAAGCTAAATTTGACTTGGTCTTCCTATTTGCTGATTTGTACAAAATTCTTTGATCTTCCAGTGATAATATAAAATTAAGTCAAGTTAAGTTGATATTGGGTTCATTTATGTTGATAGATTGAAGTTATTTAATTATAAGTAATACTTTGATGAAGCAAATTTTCAATGTGACTAAGACAGGGCTTATGTCTAACAGACCATAAGAAAACAGGAAAAAATGTGGAAATTTGTTTCATTTATTTGTCTTACATTTTTCCACAATATCTTTTTTTTTTTTTAACTTTTAAAATTGAGCTTGCAACCAGTGATAAATATCACATAGGGAGTCCTGTTTTTGAGTGAGGTTGATAAAATTTAGATAAATCCTGTGTCAAAATAGAAAGATTAAATGGAAAATAGTAGAACAGAAAAATAACCATTGGAAAAAGTGCTAATAAACTTACAATGCATTGAAAGCCTGCATTGGGTCAGGCCCTCTAAAATAATATGTGATAGATAATTTCATTTAAACCCACAACAAGATTATCATTTCAGTGTTATTATAGCCCCTTCACTGTAAAAAATCTCCAGAAATATTAAGTTATTGACACAAAGTCAAAAACTGGTGTCAAAAACGGGATCTGAACTCCAATCTTGCTTAGCCACCAGGGGACACCGAGGAGACAGAAAAAAATGGAAAGCCACCAGACACCCTGCTTTGACTTACTGTATTGTTCTTAATTTTAGTAAACATTTACACGAACAGACACATTAAGGTCCTATAGGTTCTGGCCTTTTCTTGCTCATACACTTGAGAGTAATAACTTGAGGAATAAAACCCTCAGGAATTTAATAAACGTGGCAGCAAATCTGCCTGAATAGGCTGACTCAGGAGGTGCTTTACTTTGTGATAAGCATTCCTTTCTCCTGAAAGAAATGTTACAAGTTGTTCTTTGTGCCACAATAGCTTAGTAAGAATGGAAGTTATGAAATTGTCACAGATCTCTCACTAAGGTGGGGACATAGTGGTGAGGGGAGCAGCTTTTATAACTGTTTCATTACTAATTATGAAATGGGAATGGAACACTGTCCAAATGTATTCTGATAATACTTTCCCAAAATGTTTAATCACATCCCACTTGTATTTAAAAATAAACATCTGTAAGACACATTACAAAGTCTCCATTTGTAAAAGTTAAATAAAATGTTATATAATTTGTCTTTCTAAAAACAAATATAAAATTGTATGTATATGCTGTCACCCAAATTCATAATGTTAATGTTAAATTAGGTAAATAAGTATTATTTAAGATACATAAGTGTGTATTTCGATGTGTATAGGATGTAAAGAAGACCTATAGTCACCCTAGAACTTGGTCCTAGGGGTATTTTTTGGAAAAGTTGGCGAAAGAAAATTGATCAAGTAAAGAAAAGCTATTTTATTGGGACTTTATGGTATATATAATACTATATTTGTAATATTCAGTTTTGTTCCATGATTATTTTACAAACCTGAAAACATAACTTTTATAAAATTAAGAGTATTTATGCACATATCATGAAATTTTGCATAGTTCTACTTCTTAAGACTGAGCAGAAAACTTCATGTAATGGCAAAGGGAATTTTACAATTTAAGCATTGCATGTGTATATCTATGCAAAAAAACTTTACGTTCTGCACATGTACCCCAGAACTTAAAGTATGATAATAAAAAAATTCTACAAAAAGTATTCCTACATCAAACTTAAAATGATTATGACTAATAATATTTACAGAGATATTTATAAGTACCACATATCATGTCAAATCTTCAAGTTAAACTCTGATGTAAATAACTTTAAAAGTCACTTTTTGTTATAGAAAGAATAATCCTCCCCCCCACACACACACACTCAAAAAATGTCCATGTTAGAATATGTCACCTTACATTGCAAAGGGAAATTAAGGCTGCATGCAGATGGAAATAAACATGCTAATCAGTTGGCATTAAAATATATAGATTATCTTGGATAATCTACCTGGCCCCAATATAATTACAAGGGTCCTTAAAAGTGGAAGAGAAAGGTAAGAGATTGAGAGCCAGAGTGATTCGGTGTGAGAAACTCTGGACCAGCCATTGCTGGCTTTGAAGAGGGAGAAAGAAAGACACCAAACAAGAAATGTGAAACTAGCAAACGCAACAAAATAGATTCTTCCCTACAACCCCCTATAAAGAGCAGAGATCTGTAAACACCTTTTTAGCCTAGTGAGGCACATGTCAGGCTACAGAACTGTAAGGTATTAAATTTGTATTCCTGCAAACCACTAAGTTTGCTGTAATTTGTGACAGCAGTAATAGAAAAACAAACCCAGTAAGTAGGAAAGCCAACATTCCACTGTGGAAATCCTGAAGTCAAAGTTTCTATGCTTAATCACTGCAGTGTAACGACCAAAATTATGTATAAATCATGATAAAGGAATAAATTGATAACTGACATTCTGGAATTTATATAAAGACGTACGTTTTTGTGGCGATTTTGTGCTTTTTAAAATCATTTTATTTGTATACTAAATAACATTGCTACTTCTACCATAGCAATTGTATGACAATTGTACACATATGGATTTTTAATACACATAAAGGACAGTAGATAATTTTTCAGTAGGTGAACACTGGCTAAGATAATGTTAGGAAGAAAAATAGAAGTGATCATCCATTAGTAGGTAAACATATTTTATACTATTCTAACACGGGATAAATTTTAAAACTTATTGCTTGTTTTATTTCAGACACTTTACCGTGCATCCTTATCTGCAAGAGTGACATAATTAATGTATTTTAGAATGCTAGACAACGTTGAATGCACATTAAGTTGTCAAAATAAAAAGTGCAGGAAAGAAGTAAGAACAATTGACTTGGTTTTAGAAAAATCAAGTTTCTATTTAAGTCTTTCTAATTAATAATTGTAAAATTTAAGTACATTTCTTAAATTCTCCAACATAAAATCAGAGTTCACAATATTTTGCAGGCCACTTGACCTTTTTTGTTTTGATGTTAGACCAATGTTAGGTTGAAATCTAGTTTCACTGGCTTAAAATTAAAATGGGTGTAGGGCTGTTTTCTTTTGGAATATCAGGGGAGAATCTGTTTTCTTGACTTTTCTATGATGGGTACTGTACTCATTCCTTGGCTCACGATACCGCATTACATGATGTTTTCTCTCTCTGTCCCCATTATCACATCACCTTCTATATTATAATTACCCTTGTATTACATCAGGCCCACCAGAATGATTCAGGATAAGTTTTGTATCTCATGATCCTTAACCTACTCACATCTACAAAGTCCCTTTGGCCATGTAGGATTATATACAGTATTCACAGGTCCCAAGGATTAGGATGTGCATCATTCAGGGCCATTATTCAGTCTCTTCTCAGAGTAATTTGGTACCTGTATTCTTGTTAAGAGTTAATAATACTAGGACAAAAACAATATCTGGTTATTTACTCCTATAGCCCTAAAAGCCAGGGCAATCTCTAGAATATACTGTAGAACTATTTATTGAATGAAAGAGTAAAAAGTATTGGCATGAATGAATTAGAATGACTAATAGATGAGAGGTAAAAACTAGTAAAAGAGAGGAATTATCTCAGACTTTCAAATATTTTCCCCAAGTCTAGAAATGTGAATATATCTAAATAGAATTGTAATTAGCAATATTAACTAATATCACTTGTTTTTTATTATTACTTTTTAAATTTATTTTTATTATGTTTGTTTAGAGATAGATTCTCGCCTTGTCATCAAGGCTGGAGTAGAATGTCGTTGATTATAGCTCACTGCAGCCTCAATCTCCTGGGTTCAGTTGATCCTCTTGCCTCAGTCTCCCAAGTAGCTAGGACAACAGGCATGTGCCACCATGCTCACCTAATATTTTATTTTTTGTAGAGACAGGATCTCATTATGTTTCAAAGCCTCGTCTCGAAGCATAAATCATTTTGTGATTATTAAAGTTAACTATTTCAGCAGCAATGGAATGAAATGACCTAACAACTATATGATTCAAATATTTAATAATTTTGTGATTTATTTTCATTCAGTTTTTCTCAGCACACTTGTAAAGTATAAATAATATTGTTTATCTCACAAAGATTAATTAGATCATGTATGTAAAAAGTCCTTTGTAAATTGTATAGTGAATAGGAAAATACATACCCGAATTTCTCTTGAACTTATTCATGTACGTATATGATGTTTAAAATACATACATAATTTTAGTAGGGGATGGTTTCCAATTTTTTGATTTCTGTTTGGTTACAGAAAATGTGTCATTTTCAAGAAAAAATTGCTGAAAGCAGTCATTTCAGTACATCTGGATATATTTTTATGAAAAGTGCCTATGTCTCATTATACCACAATTAACATTTGTTAATGAGTAGCGGCAAATGACCACTGAATATCTAAATTAAAAAGAAATCAGTTCTATTCCTAACTATGAGACTCAGATACTTATTTTTCTACTGAGTTATCTTGAATATATTCTGTATCCTGAGTTGTCCTTCGTAATTCCATTAGGACTTATTATGGAAATAAATATTGTACTCAATGGATCTTTCACATATTTCTAACAATATTTTTTGGACTACACCAATGACAAAATCAGATTATGAGTGATGTAAGTATAATTTGGAGGCAAAGTCTCCTGTATCCAGAAAGTCTTAGTCACAAATACGATGCACTTTAAATACCCCTATTACAGTGCATTTGTAATGAATGATTTCAACATCTTGATGAACTTTGTATTATTTATTTTTTGCATGGGCATTTATTTCCTTGCATTTCAATTGGGTCTATTGCTACACTAATACTACATGGTTGTGAACAAGGTGACCAATCATCTTACTGAGTGATATTAAGACTTTGTGTTGTTTATAAATACACACATGCTCTTTGATCTTTTCACGTGTAATTTAAAAAAAATTGTATCATGACAAGAAAATATTGTGCGAATTTTAAGAGCTTTAAATCCAGATATATTTTGCTAACTTGGTTTTTGTGCTAATACTTTTAAACTGTTTTGAATTATATGTTGCATAATTAATTATAAAGAAAATATAACAACTGCATGAAACTAGTACTGAATAGTTCTACTTTTTTAAACTTAGATATCCAGTGGTAGTTTGCTTTTATGTAGGTGAAAATTTTAGCAGGTCAAAAAAAGTTTGGGTAATTTGGTAATTTAATTTGAAGTCTGTGATGCTGGGTAGGGGGAAACATTTAGAAATTATGGTATAATTGACTGGTGGTCTACATTATAATAAAATTTTAGCCAAGGAAACAAAAATTCTTAGTCAATGGAATGGGTTTGGCTCCAGTTCTACTAGCCATTTGAAAATATCCCAATCATAGATTTTTGAAATATTTTTTATTTTATACTAAAAATTATTTCTGGAATATTTTCATCATTCCAATATTCACCATAAAGTGCTCAAGTTAATCTACAGTGAGTTCTACCAAAAAGAAGAATCCATTACAATACTAATTTTAATCTCACAAATGACTTATTAATATACTGCCCAATAGATATATTCTGTAGCACTTACATAACTTTTAATTATTATAATACACTAAATTTCAAAGAGATAGCCACTCTCAGCACAAAAATTCTACATAAATGGTCAAATTAACTAACGCTATAGTAGTCATATATATATTTATAAATATATAGACATATCAGTTAATTTTATTCTTATACAGAAATCCATATATTTTGATAGTTTCTTGCATTTTTGCTAGCTTTATAAAACTTATAGAAATTAAATGTGTCTATTGCTATGGTTCGAATGTTTACGTCCCACTCAAATTCACATGTTGAAACCCACTGAGATTCATATTCATATGAAATTCATATGAATTTGAATTCCCTCATGAATGGGATTAGTGCCCTGATAACAAGAGGCTTGAGGGAGCTTGTTTGCCCTTTCTGCCATGTGAGTACACAGACAGAAGGTGCATTCTTTGAAGCACAGAGTGAGTTCTCACTAGATTGAATCTGCTGGTACCTGGATCTTAGACTTCCCAACCTTTAGAACTGTGACCAATAAATTTATGTTGTTTATAAATAACTCCTAAGATATTTTGTTATAACAGCCTCAACAAAAGAAGACACCTGTTTTATAAGTCTGCAAAGCATGTAGCCCCAAATTTGTATCATTGGACTGTAAAATACTAAAATGTTTTCTCAGCTGCATATGTGCAATATAATAAAAGCACAAGGATCTAAATTTTATAAACAGAATTTTAGGACAAAAGTAGTGAAGTATAAGATATTTCAATGCCAGAAATCAAACTGATCTCATTATTTCCCTTTAGAGATTTCTCCAGTGGAAGGAATAGCCATGTAAGTTATCAAATAACTCAATTCCCACTTTCTTATCTAATTTTTTAGTCTTTATTTTTAAGTAATCTAATTTTTATAGCTTCAGGAAGTACATACTCAAAGTAGAAAGGTTAGCCCTAGAATCTATTGTACTATATCTAAAGGTAACATCAGATTGTTACTTTTCAAGTAACACATTATCAATGCATGTTTATAAAATACGAATAATTCTAGACATTAGACTTTAAAAAATAACTGCTGGTAATTAAACCAAATTAATACTTTCAATAGGGATTCTTATTATATACTTTATTTGAAAGACTTTTTCTTCCTGTATATTGTATTCCAAATCAGATACACTCAGATGCAACCGTATTTAATATAAATTGTAGAAAAAACTATGATTACAAATGGCTTTGTAGGTACCCTTGAACTTTAATAAAACTTTACCTATGCTTAATGCATTTATTTGATTTTACAGTTTAAAATTGGATCATATTGAAATTTTATTTTTAATTTATACTTTCTATTTAGGAATCAGGTTGCTTTTCTTATCCTTTAAGTGTTTGGAATATGTATGGAGAAAATGGAAGAAGACAAAATGAGGGATGAAGCATTAAGAAATTATTACTGTGGGACAAATATATCCCTTGCCTCTCAGAAAAATCTGAGAATTATTTTAACTCTATGACTTTCAGAATGAGTTCCTGGAAACTTCTGACAATAAAGGTTTGCCCAGTCCTAGGATAATCTATGTCTTTCAGCAGTATTATTCATTTCTTCCTGTATAAAATAAGTGGCATTGAATAAATAATGATCATTAGCAATATGTTACCCTTTAATACACATATTTTCAAATCTTTCCCTGAAGCAGTGAACATTAATTCATACTCAGTTGCAATTATGTCAGACCTCCACTAATTTAGATTGGATTCACATGCACAAATCAGAATACTCTGGGAAGAGCTCCAACCGTAACTATCTGTCAAACAAATCAAAGTTGTCTTCTACATGCAATATGTCTGGTGTTGCTGATATTTTTAGATTTCTACAAATATTCTAAGATTGCTAGATTAATTCTTACTAAATGTGAATTTTTAAATATTCCTCAAAATTTTATTTATGAGTTTGTTTATATTTTATTTTAATTGTATTGGTATATTATTAATAATCTAAAATAAATATTATTTGTTAAATTACATATATTTTATTAAAATATTTTATAAATGGTCATATTATTAATTCAGCAAAATTTTACCATGACTCAATTATTTACTTAGGAATTAAGTCAACAAATGACAAAATTTGAAATAAACAGAAATAATGTGCATAAACATATTTATTATACTAATTTCTCACTATTTCTCATTATTTTCTTGATCTCCTTCTTTCCCTGATTAAATTCCATGTTCTATTGCCAGCATTTTCTTGTGTACCTCTTCACCTCCTATGCTTGCTTCTCCTTTTACTATATTCCCTAAATGACAGCATTGGCAATGTTCTAATTGTACCCTACCTATCCACCAAACTTGAAATGGCTGTAGAAAAACACACAAATATGATGATTAGCTTTCACAAAACATAATGTCAATGAAAGACTTACAAATTTCTCTATCAGTTATTTCAAAGAGAAGGGCAATGAATGAATTGTCCTTCTCTTTGAAATGACTATTTTCTTTTTAAAATTCATTTTTTTAACTTTTATTTTAAGTCCAGGGGTACATGTGCAGGTTTGTTACATAGGCAAACTTGTGTCATGGGGGTTTATTGTACACATATTTCATCAACCAGGTATTAAGCCTAGTACCCATTAGTTATTTTTCCTGATTCTCTCCCTCCTTCCACCCTCTACCCTCCAAATGACCTCAATGTGTCATGTTCCCTTCTATGTACCCATGTGTTCTCATAATTTAGCTCCCACTTATAAGTAAGAACACTGGTATTTGGTTTTCTGTTCCTGCGTTAGTTTGCTAAGGATAGTGGCCTCCGGATCCATCCATGTCCCTGCAGAGAACATGATCTCATTCTTTTTAATGGCTGCTTTCTGTTTCATACTGTTTCTTCTCAAATCCTTAATATGTCACATCCATAATCCCAAGTTACCCTAAGCTAATAACCTTATTTCCTGTTTTACTGTGGAACCTATCCATTATATGTATCTAGCATACTACGGGGATCTATAGTCACATATTTTGCTTTCTCATTATTACTGTGAATAACTGTCAGAGGTTCTAGATATATGACCCTTTTATTTTCATGTAAGTATAGGTGCCCTTTTTTCTACCAAAGAATATTTTTGACAATTTTCCTCTCTTTCTCTATGCCATTAATTGTTATGCTCTTGGGTTTTTATTAGTTTTAAAACATTCTATTATCACTCTAAAGTCCACCAACATTGCTCTAAGTATGTTCACACTAAATGAAATGAGAATTTCTCAGTCCATTTGACTTGGTTTATCAGCAGCATTTGATACAGTTGATCAATCCATTTTTTATTGATTCACTTGATTCCAGTTATACCACAATGCCACAGGTTTTTTGCTTACTATACTCTAATTCTACTCAGACTGCTTTGTTTATTTTTCTATTTTTCTGACCCCTACATATGGAATTTCTCTTCTGCTTATTTTTAATCTCTTCTATTTCTATGTATATTAACTCTCATTCCTTCAGTTATACATATTATCATGGCTTAATAAGCATCTCAAAATTTAAATGGCTCAAACTGACTACCTGATCTTCCTGCCCTAAAAGAAAAAAATAATTAACAACAACAACAAAACCCTTTTTTATACTGCCTTTTTACCATGACAGAAAAGATTAGTCACTATTTTCTAGTTACTCAGGCCAAACATCCCAGTCACCAGTGACAACTCTTTTTCTAAAACCACATATGCAATCAATGAGCACTTTCTGCTGGCCCTAACCTTTAATCCAGAATCCAGGTAATTCTCCTTATTTTTACTGTTACTACTTTCTTCTGTGCCAATTTCATTTACAAAGGTTACTGCAATAATCTTCTCAAATTTCTCCTTGATTCTACCTTTGCCCTGTGTTAATCTATTACTTTTGTTTTAATTATTAAATTTTTAAAATACAAAATAAAAGTATTGATACAGAAAAACATTTAAACCACATATAACTTAATAAACAGTTATAAATTGAACTTTCTTATAATAAATACCTTGTTAAGGACATATAACTTTGCCAGCCAACTCAATAATCTTCTCAATCTTTAGCTAGCTTTCTAACTCTGTGAGATGGCTGTGTAACAGACAGGCTATTTTCTTCTTAAGGATGGAATGGCAACACAGGGTTTTGATAAATTCATCATCAATGGGCCCAGGAGATGATCAATACAGAATCACAATTTAAATTGACTATAGCTAGTCACAGTGAAAACAGTCAGTCAATACTGTCATTAAGTTAATTAACATTGGCTGTCAACCACAGCAGGAGCAAAATACATGAGATAGCCAAAGCATGACACCATAATCTTCAATCCAGAAGGAAAAGTAGTTGAATTGAAGGAATATGTAAGCCTGAAGTAAGGAAAGAACCATAGCTATGCAAGTTGATACTCAGCAATCTAGTTTTTCAACAGAGCTCTGCCAAAGCAATGACAAGTTCTGAAGAATGAACAAGCAGCAGGAATAATAACAAAACAAAGACATCACTGAATAAGAAGTAATAAACTTATTCAGAAACTCATACAGGCGATTGTGTAGATGAGTGGAAGTCAAATAAAATTTACAATTTAAGGAACTTTATGAAAATACAGGTGGCTAGGAGTCAGTCTTTAAGTGTTAGTTTCAATGAGTCTTTGTAATGACCCAACTTTGTACATTTTAAAGTTTCATGTGAAATTCAGATGCACAGTCAGTATTGAGAATTATTCACTTGAGAACACAGATGTTAGGATCAAAACTAATTTTGAGTCACTGAGTGTCTCTCTTTCTCCACAAAATGGAGTAACAATAGTAGGACTCTAAATTGGTATTGTGAGACTTCTAGGGAATGTCTGCAAAGAGCATAACATTGTGGCACATAGCAGGAGAGCAATCAGTATTGTCATTACATTTATATAATTCTCTGTGCAAAAGGTCATCTTCATCTCAAGCATTTCTCAGTGGCTAATTATATTTACCATTTTTTCTCCAAGGTAAATTTCAAGCTATGATCTAGTGGTTGTAAATTTTTGTTTAAATAAATTTATGACAAACTGTGCAATTAATTAAGTTTTCAGAATTTACTTTGGTTTAGTTTTTTATGACTTTCAATTATGTTCCATAATGTGTCCTAATAAATACATTTTGAATGAATAAAATGATGCTTGAATGAACTGTGGCACTCTGGTGGTTTACATACCATAAAAGCATTTAGTATTTGCATTTCATCATGAGAATGCAATCTATATCACTGTGACAAATATAGTGCATGTGAACCTTTAAAACATTTATTATTGGCTGTAATTATTATTAATTACAATATTCACTTGTCATTAGTGAAAAATAGACCTGTATTAGCAATTTTCTTTGAAAAGCTTAATGGTTAATTTGTAACATACATTCTCATCATACTTTGTTTATTTTAGGTTGTTCTTATTAATGTTTAGTCTTTTAACTACTATGGTAAATAATGGAACATTTGAAATTTGTAGTAGAGTAAGTAATATAGGTTCACAATATCATTTCACACATAAGTAAACAGAAGATATCATCTACATGTATCTGTATTTCTCCTTATTTTTCACCAAAGTAAAATGTACATGCAGAAAAGAGGTTCTTGTCATAAATGGACAGCTCACTGAATTTTCACAAAGTAGACATATCTATGCAACCAACATTCAAATTATGAAATATAGCATTATCAGAATGCCAGAAATGCCTGTATGGCTGCTTTTCAAATCTGTTTCAGTAAATCTCCCACTATCTCAACTTCTTATAGCATAGTTTAGTGTTTTCTTGTACCACTTATAAACAGGGTCGCATAGTGTTTGAGTCCTTAGTATTACATGTGTGTGTTTCATTCATATAGTTGCAAGTATTCATGCATTATTGATTCTTATTGCTATAAAGTGTTCCAGTCGGTGGTAGATAATTTATTTCTCATTTGACTATTGATGCACATTTGGTTGCCTTTTAGAGCTACCCTGAATAGTGCCATTTTAAATAATTTATTATCTATATTTTGAAGGAGATATGCTCACATTGATTATATGTTGAGAAGTGAAAGTATTATCTTATTAATGTTAGTATTAATTAATATTAAGGTATACATTTGTTCAGCTTTAGATACTACCAAACAGATATATTGTGGCTATAACAGCTTATCCTTCCATGGGCATATTATGTCTATTTTCTAATTTTTCAACATCCTTAACAACCCTTGGCTGTTGCTATGGTCTGAATTTTGTGTCCTCTCAAAATTTATATGTTGAAATCCTAGCCTTGAAGATTATGATATTAAACCTATTTATGCCTAGTGTTCCAGTAATGGAACACTAAGTATGTGGGCGTTATTTATATCCTACTGCTCAAGGTCATCACCAAGGTCAGATTGCAAAAATTCAAAAACTTGCAACTTCAGGCATAAATGGGTTAAGGGATGGGGCCTTAGTCGATAATTAGATTATGAGGATAGAGCTCTTATGAATGAGACTGTAGTCTCTATAAATGAAGCCAGAGGAACCTTGTTTGCCCCTTCCACTACAGGAGAACATAGAGAGAAGATTCATCTATGAACTAGAAAATGGGCCTTACTAGACAAGGAATGCTCCAGGGCCTTGATCTTGGACTTGTCGGCTGCCAGAACTGTGAGAAATAAAATTTGTTGTTTATAAGCTACCCTATCTACATATAGTATTTTATCCTATAAATACATATTATTTAATATAAATGAAATATATTATAGAAGCCTGAGCTGACTGAAGCACTTGTCATATTCCTTATTTTACATCTAAATTACACTAGTAGGTGTGCCGTGGTATCTCATTATAATTTTAATTCACATTTCCCTAGTGACTGATGACATTGAAAAGTCATTGTCTTTCCATCTGCTTATCATAGGATAGCCACTTTTAAAATATTGTGTCACAATTCTTTGCAACTAGTATTTTGTATTGTATTTTTCTTATTGATTTGTCAAATGTGTTTTCATATTTTTGATATAAGTCCATGGTTGCATATATATATATATATATATATATATATGTGTGTGTGTGTGTGTGTGTGTGTGTGTATGCATATATATGAGACAAATATTTTCTCATACTCTATAATTACCCTAATGCCATTCCAATAATAGTATCTATTGATAACTGAAGCTGTTAATTTTAATGTAATCTAATTCATAAATTTGTCCTTCATACTGGGTGCTTTTGTATTTGGTATAAGAAACATCTACTTATTCTAAGATAATTTAGAATAGCTTAATTTCTTACTTAACTTTCTTTTAGATGTGTAATGAGTTTACCTTTTATACTTAGAACATCAATTTGTGTCAATAACTTTAATATATATTATGTTATGTCAATAACATTATATATATATATATATATGTAAATGAAGTGATGGAAGGGTCTGGAATTATTTTATCCTGGATGGATAATCCAGTCAGGTGCCACTATTGCTTATAAACTATCACTTTTCTTTAATGCTACTGCATTAATAGCAGGACAGACTTAAAATTTATTAGGCAACTATATTCTCATGACTACTTTTCTAGACTTTGTATACTTTTGCATTTATCAATGTGTCTAAGTGTTCATAATTACTTGTTTCTTAATTACTGGAGATTTGTAAAAAGTGTTCATGTATGAAATACGTCTTCCAACTTTGTTCTTATTTTTTAACCGTTTTTGTCCTATTATTGAACTATTAAATTTCCATACACAGTTTAGAATATTTTAAGTAAAATGTTTTATATGCTAAAATTTTTATTGATTTTTTGTTTTTATTTTAAATAGATTTTTATTAGAGTAAAAATACATATGTAATTTACCATCTTTACAATTTTAAGTGATAATAAGTACATTTATATCCTTTTAAGTGATTATCAATACTTATCAGTGGTAATAATCATATTTATATCCTTTTTATCCCTTTCATTCCACCCAACTGCCTCCCATTCCCAGGCTCTGGCAATGTCTAATCTATTCTGGAACATGTAATCCACATGTTTAGCTCCCACATATGAATGAGGATTATATTTGTCTTTCTCTGCTTGGCTTATTTCACTTAACATAATAGCTTCCAGTTTCATTCATGTTTCTGTAAATGACAGGATTTTATCTCATTTTATGGCTGAGTAATATTCCATTGTGTATATATTCACATTCTTTATTCAGTTATTGTCTGATGGACACTTAGATTGATTCCAGTTCAGCTATTGTGAATAGTGCAATAAGCATGAGAGTGAAGATACAGATATCTCTTTGATGAATATTTTCTTTCTTTAAGGTATACACCCAGTAGTGGAACTGCTGGATCATATGGTAGATCTATTTTTAGTCTTTTTGAGGAACCTTCATACTCTTCTCCATCGCAGCTGTACTAGTTTAAATTCCTACCAAAGATGTATGAGGGTTTCCCTTTCTCCACATCCTCTTCAGCATGTTATTGCTTACCTTTTGGATATAAGCCATTCTGAAGAAGGTAAGATGATATCTCATTGTGGTTTGATTTACATTTATATGATGATTAGTATGTTTAGCATTTTTCTCATATAGCTGTTGGCCATTAGTATGTCTTCTTTTGAGGACTGCCTGTTTAGATCTTTTGCTCATTTTTAATTGGATTATTATTATTATTATTTTGCTATTGAGTTGTTTGAGTTCCTTCTCTATTCTGGTTATTAATTCCTTGACAAACGAGTAGTTTAGAAATATTTTCTCCCATCTTGTGAATTGTCTCTTCACTTTTTGGATTGTTTCCTTTGTTGTTCCAAAGCTTTTTAGCTTCATGTAATCCCAATTTATTTTTGCTTTGGTTGTCTGTGTTTTCAGATGTTACACAAAAAATCTCTGCCTAGACCAGTCTCCTAGAGGATTTCCCCAGTGTTTTCGTTTCATATTATAATTCCCCAGTTTCCGATCTTAGGTTTAAGCCTTCAATCCATTTTGATTTGATTTTTTTGTATGGTGAGAGGTAGGGGTCTGGTTTCATTCTTCTGCATATTGTTATCCAGTTTTCCAAATACCATTTATTAAAAATACTGTCATTTCCCCATTATATGTTCTTGGCATCTTTTTGGAAGACGACTTGGTAGTAAATGTGTGCATTTATATGTAGGTTCTATATTCTGTTCCATTGCTTTATATATTTGTTTTTACACCAATACTATGCTTTTCAGTTACTATAACTTTGTAGTAAATTTTGAAGTCAGGTTGTATGAGGCCTCCCGGATTTTCTTTTGCTCAGGACTGCTTTGGCTATTTGGGATCTTTTGTGGTTCCTTATGAATTTTAGGATTTATTTTTCTATTTCTATGGAGAATGTCAGTGGTGTTTGGAAAAGGACTGCATTAAATCTGGAAGTTGCTTTGGGTAGTATTGTCTTTTTCACAATCTTAATTATTCTCATCCTTGAACATGCAATATTTTTCAATTTTTTTGTACCCTCTTTATTTTTCATCACATTTTTGTAATTTTCCGTCTATGGATCTTTACTTCTTTGATTAGATTAGTCTAAGCATTAATCTAGGTATTTTATACTTTTTGGAGTTATTGTAAACAAGATTTCTTTCTCAATTTCTTTTTCACATTGTTTGCTGTTGGTGTATATAAATGCTAGTAATCATTGTATGCTAATTTTGTATTCTTCAAATTTTGTGTCTTGCAACTTTACTAAATTTATCAATTTTAGCAGTTATTGGTGGAATATTTAGGATTTCCTAGATATAAGATTATGTCATCTGCAAACAAGGCTAATATGAGTATTTTCTTTCCAATTTGGATGCCATTTCTTTCTTTCTCTCGCCTAATTAATCCAGCCAGAACTTCCAGCAGTATGTTGAATAATACTGGTAAAAGTTGGCACCATTATCTTGTTCCAATCTACAAAGTAAAGGCCTTCAATTTTTCTCTGTTCATTATAATGTCATCCATGAGTTTGTCATGTATGATCTTCATTATTTTGAGATATGTTTCTCTCATGCCCATTTTGATGAGGGTATTAATCATAAAGAAATGTTGAATTTCATCTTTTTTTGTATTTATTGCAATAATTGTGTGGTGTTTGTTCTTCTCTCTTTATTCTTAAATAGTCTATCTAAAAGTTTGTTGATTTTATTTGTCTAGTCAAAGATCCAACTTTTTTAGTCGATCTTCTATATTGTATTTTAGTCTCAATTTGTTTATTCGAAGTCTTCCTACTTCTTTGTCATAGTCATTTATTGCTATAAAATTCTTCTTAGTACTTCTTTTGCCTTATTTCATAGATTTTTATATGTTATATTTCCATTTTCCTTTTGTTTCAAGAATTTTTATGTGTTGATGAGAACAGTGCTATTACTCTTTCATTTAATACTGCTAAATGGAAGAAAAGGTTTTACTTACTTATCAGCTTCAAAATGCTAATAAATGGACAAACTGCTAATCTGTTGATCTGGATAATGGCAAGGAAACATAAATTGTATCCTCACAAGGTGAGTTATCCAAGTACAATCATGGATAGTAAAGTGAATACTTTTTGACCTTTTTTTATGTAATTGTTTCAGTGTGAACTAGGTCAGAAATGATAGAGAGCAAGAGCAACACAGAGATATGTCCTATATTTCATGCAAAATTGAAGGAATCGTGTCTTATTTGGGGGTTATTTCAAGCAATATCTATAACTTAGGAATATTATGAGTGGTGGCAGAGAGGAAATGTTAAAATCTGAGATTATGAAAGTAAATATAAATACACGTAATATCAAAATTGAATATTTTACATTATGCTAGTAAGTTTAGAACTTATCAAAAGTACAGAACTTTTAGTAATGTGGTGATAAAATCAGATTTATTCCTTAGGAAACAAAAATGAATGTGGGATTGATACTAAAGTAGAAAGCAGAGAAAGGTTGACCAGAAGGGTCTCAATTTGTAAAATACAATGCTATTCCAGATGAAAGGAAGAGAGAGAAATGACATAATTAAGACAGTAGCTATATGCATGGAAAGTTTAAACAATTTAGGCAGATACCGATAGCGTACAAACAATGGAAGCTGGTATTGGGTAGGTACAGAAGAAGAGGAAGAAATGAAAGACAATTCCAGGTGCCTACTTTGGAAAATAGATATTTTACTTAATAAGAGGAGTAGATTTGAGAATCCTAATATCCATTTTTAATTAATTAAGCAACTATGTTTTAACAGTTTAAATTACTCTTGTGATACAATATTTAGCAAAGTATAATACTAACACAGTTTTATTTCTCTATTGCAATAAAATCTAACTTTATCCCAATGTGCCAGTAGAAACAGAGTGTAAAAGGCAGAATGATAAAGGGATACTAAATTTAAGAGGTATTCCTCTTACAAAACATTTTTGTTATATTATTTAAATTTTCTGATCTCTGAATTTCTTGAAATTTTTTGAATTATAGTAAAATTTGAATTCATTAATATCTTTATTATAATATATAGTGTTCTTATAAAGATGAGTCATTATAATCTAGTCACATGTTAACCTGACTTGGTTAAATCAAATTGCTTTATTCAAATCATTTAGGTGATATTAAATTCTCTGTGAAAATAGAAACTGAGATTACCTATAATAAGAAAGTGAGGAATTTGTAGAATAGATCATTTAAAGGAATGGAGAATATCATGGCAGAATATGAACTTTTAAGAGTCTCTAAATTTACTACAGTCCAACAACAATGACTTCTATTGTTTTTCTCTCACACAGTATCCAAACTTGTTCTACTTTAATATCTTTATATTTCAATTCGTTCTTCCGATATTCTTACCACCATGTTTTCAAACAAGCTAGATAAAAGTGGGGATATGTAAAATATAACTTTATGTTATTGAGGTATTAGCTCAAGTATCAGTTCCTGATTACACAAATCACACCCTCATCCACTCCTCCCATCTTGTGACATTCTAAAAACATCACCTAGAAAGATGCTGGGCACAAAATAAAATCTCGATAATTCTGTTAAATAACTAAAAAAAAATAGAAAACTACATCTTTGGTTAAAAAAAAGAAAAAAATTAGTTAATTGACACAGGAACTCGGTTCTCAGTGCATTTGGGGTATTTTATTAGTCGCCATTTTTATACACTAACATGTACTTTGCAGCCTGGAGAAATGTACAGAAGGCAAGCTTTGGAAACAACTACATTTAGGACTTAATAGTGGCTGCAAAACAGAACAATCTAGATAATTTTCTATGATTCAGTTTCCTTAATTGTAAAAAGGAAGTATTTTTTAATAATTTTATGAAGATTAAATGAAACATTTTATATGGCAGATATAAGACCATATATACCTAAACCTAGCTTTAATTCTTTTCTTCTCTGACCCAACTTTATGTATAAATTGCTACACATAATTTAAAATATTATAGCCACGAGAAAATTAACTCTTAATTTACAATGACCAACTCCAAAACAGAATTTTATAAGTCATTTTGAACCAGTGTTTTATTTAAATTTAACTTTTTATGCTTTTATTCATAATCCTTTTTTTCTCTAAAACTAAAAATATTTTCCCTGTACAACTCTTACCACCACTGCCAACCCACTAAAAGGTTATAAATTCATTAATTCTTATACTTGAACAAAACATTTTAAACATGTAATCAGAATGGCATATTTATAACATCAGTTTAATGAGACAATTTTTAAATTAAGTTTAGTATGTGGAATGAAATTTCTTAGTTAATTGAATGTTGTCTGCACTTTTTATTTGGACTTGGAAGGTGAATGAGTGAGCTATTGTTCAGAAAAGTGCAATGAATTACAGAAGCTAGATCTTCACTCAAAAATAATGAGTTCTGTGGGTAATCTATACTACTTTTCAGGCTAAATACTCAATTTTCTTGGACTCACCTATTGGTTTAAGCACTAGCCTCTGGTTCTCCACACAATATAAAGATTTGTGAAAGTATTTAAATAATTACAATCAAAGTAGCTTAAAATACTCCATCACTTGAGAGATAGTCTTTTAGAAAATATTAAATTGATTAACTTGAAAAGGCTAGAATTGAGGCAATTGGAAGTAAATTGTGTTTTAAATTTAAAACAACTTTATGTTCTCTAGATATAAACTAAGTACTTTTCTTTAGGTCAGTAATATTTGTAAATACACTTTCAGACCCTCTAAGAAGAGAGGAAAAGACCTAAGAAATTATAAATGCACAACTAAAAACCACTGTGAGTGTTAATCCTGTTATGAGTGAATGATGTGGGATCTTTCAGGTATGTAAAAATTAGTTTACTTATTTTGTCATTGTTTAGCAGTAATAGTAACTTTTATTTTTACTACTAAAGTACTATTATCATTTCGAATTGGTTCAAAAAAAATTCACAATGGTCTCTCCTTATCCTCAGGAGATATGTTCTAAGACATCCATGAGTAGTACCAAAACCTATATGTACTCTGCACAAATTTCTATTCCTCCATCGCAATTTCACAGAAGATTAATTCTAACCACCTATTTTAGCAACCTCAGTGTATGATTTTTTTCTCTTTAATTGTCAGGAACTTTCACCTATTCACTTAACAGAAGCACTTTATGGCTTCTCTTTGGCACACCCAAATTGCCAGAATCTTGTAATTTTAGGACATTAATAAGTAAAATAAGGATTACTTTAACACAAGCACTGTGATATAGTGACAATCAATTTTATAACTGAGATGCCAACTTGGTGACTAACAGGCAGTAGCATGTGCAGTGTAAATACGCTGCACAAAGGGATGATTCCCATCCCATGCGAGATGACAGAAAATTTAACGATGCCGCTCAAAGTAGTATGCAATTTGCAACTTATTAATTGTTCATTTCTGAAATTTTCTATTTAATATTTTTGGAGCACATGACTATGGGTTACTGAAACCATGGAAAACAAAACCACAGATAAAAGGGGACTACTGTATACCTATAGTTTGGCTATCCTAACTACACAAGAAATCACCTGTCCTGCTCAGAGTCAAATAAATTTAATTTCTAAAAGACTTATCAAAGAGCTTTCAAATAGCCATGCATTAAAAAAAAAATTAGATGAGCTATCTAACATATGTATTTTTTCAATAGTAAAAAATCAAATTACAATTAATATGTGCATAGAAGGAAGATTTGTATTTTTAAATGAGTGATAATTAAAAAAAAACTAAGGTGCTTTTTGAATAAATGTTTGTATTTACACAACACCTGGCTCACATTTTAAAATTTATCTTTTTTTGACATCCCACCATCATCCTCAGGATTCCTCCTATGAAAACGACAGATTTAACTCCAGAGGTGCAGAAATAGACAGTGGTAACTTACTTAAATGCCTACATTTGATTGATATGTATTTTCTGGTATTTAGTATATTAAAGCTTGGTTGAACCAAAATGTTATATGTGGATCAACCATACAAAAGATAATTATTTTCTTTCTTTTTTCTTGCTAAGTGTTATGTGCTAAAATATTCATGTTCATCTAAAGATTTGCATTTTCTGACAGATCATTTTGGGTGATATGCACATACCCAATGCAAATTAGACAATTCAACCATTTAACCTTGAAATATACCTAATATCTTAGATAGAGCAATTCTACAGAGAAATATGTAACACCCAGGGAATAAAAGAAAATACAATCATGCAAATATTAAGGGGTAATTCACTATATATTAAGTATATCTCCAGCAATTACATTCTCTTTAGCTTTATCTTCTTAATTATTTAGGAATTAATGTACTTCTGGTAAACACAAAAAGTTAAACAAAAATATATTCAGTCTCCATCTCACAAAATTCCACCAAAAATGTAAGGAAATATTTAATTAATGCACAAGGACAATGGAAATGGAAGTGTGAATGGTAGCTACAAAATGTAAAAAACAGAAAGAAGTATCTTTTATGAAAAGGCCATGTACTGCTGTAGTAGTTAGACTAAAACAGGCAAAGCCATGCCACAAAGTTCTAGTTAACTCCAGGAAAGCTAAAGGCACCAACTACCTTTGAAAGTAGAAGATGAATATAGGTCTTAAGATCAGAATAATAACTTAAAGTTTGTGTAAATGTTCTTAGATTTCCAGGTTTTTACTTTCATAGCACAGATCAAAGCAACTGCCTTTCCTCTACTACGGCATAAACCTAGATTTATGCTGTGAAGCATTTATACCAGGGAGGCTGTGGACTCCGACATTAGTATAGCAGGAATACCATACTGAAGAAGGAATGCATACTCAAGGAAATGCACTATCCTGAACTGAGGAAAACATTTCTCATCTTCAATCAGCTCTGATAAAAATGACAGCCAGACGTCAATACCCCAAAGTGGAACACTGGAGAACTCTTCTATGGGAAAATTATTAATACATAAAAAGAAAAGCTTACACATCTTAGGCAATGTTTCCCAAGGGCACAGCTGAGACGGAAGCCTACTAGTTGACATGTTTTTAACAGAGCTAGAGAACATTGATATTGATTCTGCTTTTTATTTCTCACTCCTGAATATAATTGGATAGCTAAATTTCAACAGATATTTGAGGACAGTCCATAACAAGAAAAAAGAGGCCAAATAGCAAATGACAAAAATAGGGAGGGGGGAATTCATAGAAACCAGAAAGAAATGTGTGGGACAAGAGGGAGTAAAGATAATGCAATCTTAAGTCTGTGAATAATAGCCTCAGAGAGGATATTTCATACGTGGAAAAATAATCCTTAATAAGGAACAATAAATACGTATATTTGAAAATATAGATATAAATGTAGATAGTTATAGAGCTACGTAAATATCCTAGATATGGTTAAATCAAGCCAATTAACATATCCATCTCCTCACTTACCTATCATTTTTTATGGTGAGATATTTGAAATTGCTTTTATAGTTATTTTAAAATATATAATAAATTGCTATTGACTATAGTCTCCCCACTATGCAATAGATCTTAAAACATATTTCTTTTATCTGAAAGTTTATACCCTTTACCACACAGCTCCATATTCCTCTCCTCCCTACCTCTCCAGTCTCTGATAAACATAATTTTACTCTCTACTTTTATGAGTCAGACTTTTTAATATTTCACATTGTATGCATATATCAAAACATCACATTGGACCCCATAACTGTATACACATAATTTGTCAGTTACAAATATTAATAGAAAAATCTCAGAAATAAAAACTCAAATGAGATGATTAAAATAAAGTTGAGGATAATCATAAGCAAATGATCAGGATGACATTCGACTTCTCAAAAGAAGCAATTAAGTCTATAAGTCAGTGAAGCAATACTATCAATATTCTAACAAAATAGTTTTGATTTATGTGGCTAATCAAATTAAAAAATCATGCGTGAGTATATTTAAGATGACATTTCAGGTATTCAAGATTTTGTTTTACTTTATATAATCCATTTGTAGAGGATTATTAGAGTATGAGCTCTATCAAAAGATTAATCTAAAAAGAGGAATAAATATAGTTCAAGTTACAGGACATCCAATACAGGACTACTGGGTTTTATGTTTGTACCAGGAATAATTTTTGGTAGGGATATTTTTAATGAAGCATTTTGCAGAGCAGAAAATGTTGTCTTGACCTAGTGGTTAAAAGGATTTAGAGAAAAAATATATTTGACTATACATTAAGATTTTAAGTACTTTAATGTATTTTTAGTTATACCTCAACATGAAGTAAATAAACCAAAACAACAAAAGAAATGAAGATAATATTAAAATGAATCTAATCAATGTGGAGGATCTAAAATGTTGTTACTAACATAACTAGTGTGCCAGCAGGATGGATGGGATGTTTGGAATTTGATGGCCTTCCCTTTCTCTTAACCTCTAATGCCTCTTTTCCATTTGACTTCTCTCTCTTCATTACTGAAGTCGACTATTTTCCAAAAGCATAAAATGAAAAGCATCAAGAGCTAGATTTAAGGACATACAACGACACCTCTATTGTATGTTTTTGAAAAACTGAGTCACGGGGAAGAAGGAATGAACTCTAACTCCTGATGGGATAAGTGGTATACAAAAGCAGAGATGGAAGAAACTGTTACTGGCTACATTTTGCCCACATGCTATCATGTGATTACTGTGATGGTAACTCATTCATTTTTACTGTCTACAAAAATTCATCTTATGAATATTCCACAAGATTCTTTCTCCCTCCCTTCTTTCTTTCCTTCCCTCTTTCCTTCCTTGTTTCTTTCTTCTCCCTCCTGCCTTTTCTACATTTCTCACTCCCCCTTTTTTCTCTTTATTATTGTTTATTTACTCATTCTTTCTTTTAAATACGTAGCTTGCATCCTTTCCAGTTTCCTTTGTTTTCTTACAAATAATGCTGTAATACTATTTTATGGTGTAATACTGTATACCTATATCACAATGCAAAGTGTTAAGATTATATCAGAACATATAAGTAGGAAGAAAATTAATGTCATAGCATATGTACAACTTCAAATTATTAGATAATGTTTAATTTTATCCAAGTTGCTTATCCAAGTTTGTTATCATTTAAGCTCTCAGTGACGATGTGTGAGAGCTCTGATTCCAATCATTCTGGCTACAGCTTGATATTTTCAGATTTTTGTTTTCTTTTGACTATTTTAGTGGCTATAAAACATTGTTTATTGGCTTTAGTTTTATTTTCATAATAACTGGAAAAATTGAGTATATTTTCATATGTTTGATGATAATTTTTGTGTCCTTTCCAGGAAAAAATATTCATGTGTTTTTACAATATTTTTTGAAAGACATGGTATATCATCCCAATTATATTTTTTTCACAGGCATAAAAATTCTTCCAACTTTTCTTTAGAATTATATATCCTTCCCTACTGAGCTAATATGCTAGTTTGATCATATTTTAAATATTTACACATTTAAACGACACAATTATTTTTTTCTTTTCATTTAAAATGTAAACAGAAATACAAATTTAAAATAAGAGGCTTAATTCTCTCTCTTGAAAATATAGAAAGATATTTCCCTTCCCTATTTCTCTGAGCACTTATCTTAGAAAACTTTTTACTCTAAATATATTCTCCTCTCTTTGAAATGTGTATAAATCTTTCTGAAGACTACATAGACCTTTTGCTAGCTTTGTGACTCAGGACTAGCTTTTTCAAAGACCTTGGAGTCATCTCTTTGAAATGGAAACATCAAGGAAGATAACACCCCTACCTTCCAGTTTCAGTCAAAGGGTAGAAGTCTAACTTTGTGAGTTCCTTGCTCCAAACTGCAAACCTATCTCCTGTTACAAAGATACAGAGAAGTTGTTAGTCCTGTGGATAAAGTCAGTTACCTAAATAGATGATCGCCTCAACTGCTAGGTAAGTTTAAATAAACTATGTGTGGCAAATGTTGCTTGTGAAGTCCTCTTACTTGAGGACTAGCTGTTGTTTATCTTAAAAACAGGTATGTAGTGGGTTGTATCTGCTTTGTCTATATAAGAGGGTAAGATTTCTTTCTGTCTCAGAAATCTCTTAGTAGATTGCCTGTGGTGTGGATTGCATTCTGATGTAACACCTATACAATAATAAAACTGTTTACTTTCTTTCTTTTTCATTTTTGAGATGGAGTCTCACTCTGTCTCCCAGGCTGGTGTGTAGTAGCGCGATCTTGGCTCACTGCAACCTCTGCCTTGCAGGATCAAGCAATTCTCCTGCCTCAATCTCAGAGTAGCTGGGACTACAGGCGCCCATGACCACGCCCAGATGATTTTTGTATTTTTAGTAGAGACGGGGTTTCAACATATTGGTCAGGCTGGTCTTGAACTCCTGAACTTGTGATCTGCCTGCCTTTGCCTCCCAAAGTGCTGGGATTACAGGCATGAGCCACCACGCCTGGCCAACTGTTTCTTTTCTCTACTACCCTTGTGGTAAGTTTTTCTGGGCTGGAAGACTTTTACTTATATTTCCTTAACAAAAACATCTATAAGGCTCTGTACAAAACAATTAGAAATTAAGATAAATTTATATTTATGTCTATTATCTGCTAAAATATGTGGTGCTCTCTGTCTCTCTGTTTTATTTATTTAGTTATTTATTTTGGTCCTTTAATTTAGGTCTGCATGTCAGTTTCAGTTACTGCTGCCCATAATTATAAGACTATGAGGCAAAAGACCTAACAAATTTATACCAATTTTTAGTTTCTGAGTTTTGAGAACTATAAAAGTTATAAAATTTTAGCCCACATCTCTTTTTATGGCATAACTTACAGAGACTTAAATGTACATTATGTGTTACATTTTTATAAACTGTTGCAAATGCATCCAGTCATGACACCCATATCCCTATCATGATAAATAGCAAGGGTTGAAAAACTATAATCTATGGGCTAAGTCAGGCCATTGGCTGATTTGTTTTTTAAAAAATTATTGGAGCACTACTAAGTCCATTTATTTATGCATTTTCTATGGCTACTTTTGTAATAAAGAGTATTACAGAGTAATGAAATATAGAGTGGTTGCAACAGAGAGCCTATGGTCCCAAGAGGTTAAAATATATACTACCTATCAATTTACAGAAATGTTTCCAGACCCCTGATATTTCCACAATGGATTTTCATGCCCCTTCCCAATAGGTACCCAGTCAAAATGTAATCACCTCTCTTCTGATATTTAACCATAGGTTATTTTCACTATCCAAAAATTTTATTTAAGTGTAATCATACAGTATTCACTTCTTTGTGTGCAGAATTCCTAAGCAAAATGTTGGGATAATTATTCATTTATTGTATCAATAATTTACTACTTTATATATTAAGTAGAATTACATTCTAGGAATATATAACATTTTGTTTATCTTGTCCTGTTGATGGACAATTATTAAATTGTTTCCACTTCAGGCTACTATTTGGAAACTGCTATAAATAAATTTTGTGTAAATTCTTTCAATTTCTATCATGTGCATACATAGTGTAGAATAGCTCATTCAAATAAGTTCTTATTTAACTATAAATTAAATACCAAATAATTTTCCAAAGTAGTTTCCCTTTTTAACATTCCACATACAGTGTATGAAAGAACACATCATTTTATATCCATGATAACTTTTTATGTTCAGGTTTTTAAATATTTATTTTACTAGTATTGTATCTGTTTGTTAGTATTTCATTCCAGTCTTCCAATGTATCTTTGTATTTTTATTTAAATTACATATCTTACAAAATTAAGATAGTTCAATCTTGCTTTTTTTGTTTAACCAAGTACTACAGTCTATGCCTTTTCACCAGGATTTTTAATACATTTTTATTTTACAATAATTATGAATATGTTAGGATTAAGTCTACAATAATGTTTTTTTTCTACTTGCCCCATCTCATCTTGTTATTGTCTTCACCCTTTTAAAAAGGCTGTTAGCTTCCCCCCACTCACCCAAAAAAATCAACACTTTTTGAAGGAAGATGATAAAATTCACTTTCAATGTCATAACAATATGATGTACATAATATAGATTTTTAAAACATGCAAAAAAAGCAGGAATGTTAAGTGGCAAAAACAAATAAATAAAACCCAAAACAAACAATAAAGAATGAGATGTGGTGGGGGAGATGAGACAAAACAGTCAGTAGAAACAAGCATTGAGGTGACTGAGATGTTGAAAATTCCAAAGCCAGAACTTTTAAACATCTACTATGCATAGGTTTAGAGATTTAAACAAAAATATATACATAATGAGTGAACATATAAGAACTTCTACAAGAAAAATGAAGGTTATAGATAAAAACAAACATAAAATTCTAGAATAGAAAATTCAATATCTGAAACAAAGTGTCCAATAGATGGTTTCACATCATATTGGATATTGTTGAAAATAGAGGTAATGAACAGGTGAACATAAAAAGAGAAAAATGACTTAAAACATAGAAAATTTGTTTAAACATTAGCAACCTCTGGTATAATATTTCATATTAATATATACATAAATATAATCTCAGAAGTAAATAAGGGGAAGATTGAATTGCAAATATATGGAGATATACTGGCTGATTATTTTCAAACTTAAAATGAAAACTATAAATTCACAGATTCAAGAATTCCCACGAATCCCCCAAGTAAGGCATTTTAGCATCAAATTACAACGAAAAACTATTAAAAACAACCAGCAGGGGAGGTTGCACTCTACATGAGAATTAATGTTCAGAATAACTAATGGCTTCTCATCAGAAAAGGTAGAAAAACAAAAACCCTAAGACATTAGAATGCTATTTTTTAGAGTACTAAGATAGATAGACAGACAGACATAACTATAAATCCACTAAAAATATCCTTTAAGATGAAAAAAAAATTTTAGATAAAATCTGGAAGTATTTGTTAGCACAAAGTCAGCCTTATTAAAAAAATGCTAAATGAAGTCTGTTAAAATGTAAAAAGATGATACTAGAAGAAAACTTGAATACATACAAAAGAATGGAGATTGCTGAAAATGGTATACATGGAGATAAAATACGTCTTTTTTTATTTCTTCAAAAAATATTTTTTATATTATATATTTAAGTAAAATATGTAGCAATAACAGGATAAAATGGGAGAAAAAAATGCAAACATGTTTTTAAGCTTTTTACATGTAAAGTGATATAATATTAATTCAAGGCAGATCATGATAACAGCGTACACTGCAAGTTCTAGAGTATTCAGAAAAATAAAGAAAATTTGGATTAGAACCAATGAGAAAAATTAGAATATTTAAAATAATTGCAATTTCATGTTTTAGTTGAACAAAAATGATTACCATGCTACTTTATTTTCTATAGAAATATAATCATATTTTAAAAATAAACAGGCATAGCTGGGGAAAAATGCATTGTACACATTTTGAAAGTTAATGGTATTTTACATGATTATTACAGCTAATCCCACACAAGTATAATTAAGTAATATCTTGAAGTTCTCTTATATAGATCACTCTAAACAAAATTAAACATAAGCATTAGTATTCCAGAATATTAGAAATTCAAAAATAGCTTTGATTTCTCTCTATGATGAGTAATACTACTAACAAAATGGAAATAACTTTGATTATGATTTCTAGAATTAAAGCTATAATGTTTTTTGTCAAATCTGGTATAATAGGTTGTTCATGAAAAATGTTATTAAGATTCACCTGAATGTTACCACCAGGAAAGTTTGTCTAAATTTGGAATATATGTAGGTAAGTGCAGAGTTAAACTTGAGATAAGAGGAACACATAGTTAATGAGATGAAATATCTAGTACTAAAAACAAATTTCTAAAACGTAATTCACACCTTTTGTCTAAAAAGAAATATTTATAGATAAGTGAAAAGCTAACTTAGGGAAGAGAAAAGAAACATATAATTTATGAAAGAAAATTTTAGTTCAAAAAATTTGTTAAAATTTACTTCACTCAACACTTGTACTAAGAAATCTCTTTAAATACAGTTTTGCAGAAGCCTCAATTAGAGAAATAAAACATATTTTTAAAATATCAAGTGTTGTACACTAAAATCTTAAAACTTCAGTAAGTCAGTTTTTACAGATTGTCAACTTTCAAACATTTTTATACAGAAAACTTATTAAAAATTTGTCACACTTTTTTGTTAAGTATATAATAAGGTAGATAATTTAGACATGTCTGAAAATGGAATTTTTGTGTAAATTAGCAGTTTGAGATATGGGGGGAGGGAAGCCTAAATATGGCAAAGGGAAAAGGACATGATATTTTTTACTCAAAGAAAGTTCATTTTTCTTGACATATCTGATGAGAGTAAAGCTACTCTCCTCCATTTGTAGCAATGCCATCTTGAATAGGTGTCATTCATGATCACATAACAAATAAGAAGAAAACTTGATTGCTTCCATCTGTTGTTTTTTTTTTTTTTTTGAGACGGAGTCTCGCTTTTGCTCTGTCACCCGGGCTCCAAGCAATTCTCCTGCCTCAGCCTCCTGAGTAGCTGGGATTACAGGCACTCACCACCATACCCGGCTAATTTTTGTATTTTTAGTAGAGACGGGGTTTCATCATATTGGTCAGGCTGGTCTCGAACTCCTGATCTCATGATCCACCTGCCTCGGCCTCCCAAAGTGCTGGGATTACAGGCATAAGCCACCACGCCTGGCACTTCCATCTGTTTTTAAACCACTCTTAGAAATGATGCACATATTTTCAGTTTATTCCTAGATTGTTTTGACCCAGACCATACATCTGGCTCAACTGCAAAGGAGAAAAGGAAAATAGATTTTTGCATCCTCATGAAGAAGAAAATAAATTTTTATATTATAATAATATTTCTTTTTACCAGTATCAAATTATGATTTTGCAATTGGCAACTGAAAGAACACACCCTAGTAATCAATGGAGATCAGATAACTAAAACTATTAAGCCCAAATTATGAGAAAAAGTAAAAGTAAAATATTTTACATTATCAGATATTTCAGGCCAAAGGAAAAGCTTGTGCATTATCACCAGTATTATAAATTTGAGCCATGTAAGGGGTAAAGTGTGTATTAATATAGATTAACATGAGGATATGGGATTCAACAGGAAGAAGACGTTAGAGCCAATGAATGAGAGCCTTTGGGAGCAATTAAAAGTGTATTTGAATATAATGATGTTTCAGAGGGGAAAAAAATGTTTGCAGGGAAAGCCTGGAGTCATTGAGACCATTTAGCGTTGAGACCATTTAGAACTTATTAGAGATGATCAAATAAAAGGCAATAAATATCTAACCTGATGAAATAAAATCAATGAAAGGAAGATAAATTTGAAAGATAATGAAGTGGAATTGATTTGAAATATTAGCCATGAAATCTGGGAATGAGAAAAGCAGCAGAGTTACAGCAATTTTTATATGTTGTATTTGATACCATGAAATACTGTTGATTCTGTTAGAAAAGAACCAGGAGACAAAAGGTATGTGTCAGGGAGTCAAGTTGAGTTCTCTTTGGAATAAGGAGTTGGAAAGATTTGCAGGACACAAAGGTGTATATATAGTTGAGGCAATTAGGACATTCATACCTAGAACTACTGAGGTACAAGTACAAGGCACAAATAATAAATATATGTGCCTTGTACTTGTATTTGACAGCCTTAGAGAACATGTTTAGACAACATAAAATTTGAGGATAAATAAGTAATGAGTATAAAGGAATGCTTACTTTTAATGTTGCACAACAAAGGAAAGTCAAAGATGCTTTTGGATTGAGTACTGTAAGTAAGTTAATATAATTGAAGTCAGATATTCTTATAATTTATACCTAGATCTTTGATTATGGTGTAGGTCACTGAATAATATTTCCTCCAAAATGGAAATAAATGATGTTGCTTATTCTCTGATCATAGGAAGCATGCTGAGTGAAGCACATTGTCCACACTGATCCAAGAATTGTTTACAGTCTTCTTCCATAAAGAACAGGAGTGTACAAATATGATACACTATTTGTCCCACGGATATGTGAGGCCTTGATGTTCTGTGTTCAGTTACATTCATCCGAATAAAAACTGTAATAAACTTTTTTATGGCCATTAATATTATGCCATTTTCTTTCTGAACCTCAGTATTGTGATCTCCAACTATTTTACATAAAATTATATAATTGAGGCTATGTCACAAAAGAAATTAAAAGGAGACCTAAATAAATGGCAAAGATAATATGTTCCTGAAAAGAGATATGTTTCAATCATAAAAGTTTCCACACAATTAATTTATAAATTAAACACAATTTCAACTGATATGCTGTTTTTTTAATTGCTTTAAATTCCCAAATCATCTAGAAAAATAAAGAAATATTACAGGTAAGAAAAAAATTAAATGTTAAAGCAAACTTATCTTTACAAATATTAAAGGCTATTAAGTAAGCACGATGCTAAACATAGTATATATCTGAAAGAAAAACTGATGGATAAATGGAATAATGTACATAAAAATTTAATGAAATCTCACTATGAAAGAAAAGTTATTTTGTGAAAAAAGTATTTCAAAATAGGGGACAGATTAATCACTCAATAAATTATGTTACAAGAGAGTAATTGCCTGGAAAACTGATAACACCATTATGATTAAGTAGGTGAATGAACCATTCAATAAATGGTATTGAAACAAGTAACTGTTTAAAAAATATGATAATCCTATTTTTATTAATCTCATTATTAGCTATGCTAATTGCTATAGTACACATACTATGAAAGTATAATGACCTGTGTAATAACCCACAAAATTTTTCCTCATCAGAGAGCAGCTTTCTTTCAGACTCTATCTATTTTAACCTCTCCCATACCCAAGGAATTTGAACTGTTCTATACTCAGTTAAAATAGAAAACAGCGAGATAAAGGGCAAACCACCAAAACTGTGGATTGAAGGTAACACACAATATTTTCACTTAAATTCCATCAGCGAAATGTAGTCATATAATCTAACACATATGCAAATCAGCTATAATACTGGCAGGGAAATAGAGGATTTGTGACGTGGATTGTTGATGGATAGCTATACCTATCACTTCCTACACTGTACACCAAAATAAATAATAAGTAAGTCACATATTTAAATATGAACTAGAATACAATTGTATTTACATTTAGTTACTTTAGGATTTAGCCTTTTAAATAGGTAAACTCCAAAATAAAAACTGATAAATTTGAGTAATAAAATTTTTAAAGGTTTGCATATAAAACAACCCAAAACTTGAGCAAAATTTAAGGAAATACCAAAGGAAAATATGTTCCATATATGACAAAAACTTGAAACATATCTACAAAATTTCATATAAATCAGTAAGAAAATTCAATACAAATACTATGAACTGACAATAAAAAATGAAGGAATTTAAATGGTAACTAGGAATATAAAAGAATACTGTTTTCCATTCAAATTTGTGAAAACTTAAAAATTATAATACCTGGAGTTCCACTTTCAGTCATGACGAAGTTACAAAAACTGGATTTTAACCTCCAACAATAAAAATTAAAAGCTCAACAAAATATAGGAAACAAGTCCTTTCACACACTTAACAGTAAGCCTGCAGAGGAATTAGATCCTTGAGAGGAACAAAATAGTTGAGCAGTGCAATTATCTTTTGTCTGGAGGCGATTTCCAATCAGTGTCAGGGGAGCCACAGAGCACAATGGCGTCACTAAATAGACACGGAGATCAGAATACGAAGCTAAGATGCCTCGAATGGTAAACCAGGGTTATAGGAAGAAGGACATAGAGAATGAGCTACAGATGTCTGCTTAGGCACCCCCTTGAGTGTTTGCTGATCACTAGAATGTGCAGGTACAGACAGAAATTCCACAAACCACGTTTAAAACATGGCGGGTCGTGGGGGAGAACTGGCAACCTCAATAATTCTTGGAGTTCAAATAAGGAGGGAGAGAAGGCACATTTAAGCTACAATCAGGCAGAGTTGATAGTCATCAATCAGTCACTCAGACATTTAGACTCCAGAGTTGTGACACTTAAGTGGTAGAGATGAGCTATACATGTAGTGAAGGTTTCTCTAGAACTAGAATAGCAAAGTTTCAGAGGAAATCTCGAAAGGATTAAAAATAATTTCAAAGCAATGTAAATGCTTGTCAAAATAAAGCTTCCCACCTTCTAGAGACAAAAAAAAAAAAAAAGAAAAAATAGAAATATAAGAATATAGTATCACAATACTGAATATCTGATTTTAAAATTACTGCATAGGCAAATAACCAGAGATATGTGATCCAGCCCATGGAAACAGACTCAACCTTCAGAGATATCCTGGAACTAATGGAAAAGGATATTAAAGCAGATGTCCAGGATGAAAAAGGTAGAAGAATAAATATTGGAAAGGAGTAGCTAAAACTTTTCTAAATCTGACAAAAAGTACAAAGCCGTAGATTGAAGAAAGTCTATGACTCCCAAGGACAATCACAATCGTAAAATCACCACCAAAATGTAAACATTAAAAAATGTAAAAATCTTTAAAACACATTCTTATCAAATTATTGACCACCATTATTGGAGTGTTACATGGAAACGTAAGGAGGCTGTTACTTTGGCTATGGAAAATAATTAGATAGAGAGAGTACAAATGTCTGTATCTTGAACAATACAGAACTGCAAGCAGTTTGGCCTATTGTGAGATTTATGCATAACCATTAGAGTGGAAAAATCAATGGGTTATTTAGTATACGTGATTTATTTTGCTGGAATGGGAATATTTGAAGACAATAACTCTTTTTTAATGTGGTAAAATAATAAAAAGATTTATTAGTTAATTGGTATGTTTTCAAAGTATTATGGAAAAGATACAAAAGATGAAAATGTATTTTTTTAATTTGCTACTTGTAAATTTTTCTTAGCTCACAAATTTAAACGTTTGTCATAAATGAATTAAAACCTGAATTATTACCATATTATATAAATTTAGAAGACATAAAAATGCATCATATGCTTCCTCCAGAAACATCCAGATGCATCAAACTTAACTTGGGCATCTTGCTAAGCCAAGTGTAATTATATTAAAAATACATAGTTTCTACAGAAATATGCATATGCATATTTCTATTGTCATTATACTAGGGTTCTCTAGTGGAACAGAATTAATAGAATAAATGTATATATAAAAGGGAGTTTATTAAGGAGTATTGACTCACATGATCACAAGGTGAAGTCCCACAATAGGCCGTCTGCAAGCTGAGGAGCAAGAAAGCCAGTTTGAGTCCCAAAACCTCAAAAATAGGGAAGCCGACAGTGCAGCCTTCAGTCTGTGGTTGAAGAGTCCCAAAGAGTCCTGGAGTCCCAAAGCTGAAGAACTTGGAGTCCAATGTTGAGGTTAGGAAGCATCCAGCATGGGAGAAAGATGTAGGCTGGAAGACCCAGTTTACTCCTTCAATATTTCTCTGAAAGATACGTTCATTCATATCTTTCATTCTTATCTCTTTCATCCTTGCTGCACTGGCAGCTGATTAGATGGTGCCCACCCAGATTGAGGGTGGATCTGCTTTTCCCAGCCCACTGACTCAAATGTTAATCTCCTTTGGCAACATCCTCTCAGACACACCCAAGAATAATACTTTGCATCCTTCAATCCAATCAAGTTGACACTCAATAGTACCCATCACAGCCATGAAACATAAGCCAATATAGTAAACTTCAAGATAATTTTAACACTGTAATTTTTGACTTATGTACTGTGTTAGCAGTGTTAATGCCAAATTTCTAAATCAGGTAAAGTTTCATGACAAATTGTCTCTGTATATCTTGAACTTTGTGACTTTTTTCTTTCTCTTTGAAAGTTAAGGATTTTACCAGTATTTGTCTAATTTTTTCTTTTAAATTATTTTCACTGGATTACCATGAACATTTCAATGGGCACATTCAAATCTTTCTTCAGGTGAAAGAAATTTGTTTCTATTATGGCTTTTGTTATTTCCTCATATCATTCCATGTTTCTTTTTCTGGAACTTTTATTATTCATCTTATGTCTCTTCTACCTTTCATTCATATCTCTTAATATTTTATTTCATTTTTTTATCTTGTTTTATTTTCATTTATTATCATTACATATTTCTTTATTTTAAAAGCAGTTATTTTCAAAAGTAAATATTACTTTTTTCAATGTACCTAATAAATTTTTATATATGAAATGTGGTTTTCATTATAAAATTTTTCTATCTTTGTTGTTTATGTGTGTGTATGCACATATGTGTATACTCCAGCTGAATTTTCCAATGGGTTTTGCTATTTTATTGCTCATTCTTTTAGCTGATTTGTCTTTTAGTGTCACTTCAACAGGAGGTATATGTTCAAGGCTTCAATGCTGCCATCAGCTTTTGAACCCTGACTCACTTCTTAAAATTATTTTCCTTTTCCTTCATATATCTTCCCTGTATCCCAGAAATCACTTTTGCTTGAGGTACTATTACATGCAAATGCTATTAAATGGAATAGTAGTTTCTGCTCTTAAGGAATTTCTATAAACACACATACACAGAAAAAAACTCTCTTCTGGATAGCCACGTTACTCCAATGCAAGAAGAGACTTCTTCCTACCATTCTGTCTAGGAACAACTTCACCTGCAAATGCAGATTGCTTCTTTGTTCTTAAGGGTCAGAGAGCAAGGAAGCCTTCTCATTATCCCACAAGTGTGCTGGGACAGGCCTTTCAGAAGCTGACTCATAGGTATTTTCAGATAAGAAATCTGAGTCCACAGTCAACCATGTCAAACACTTTATCTATTCTCCTCTTCCCCATTTCTCAGCAGAGTACATTTCTCAGACTACAGAGTTCCAGTTTACGTACATTGCCTCTGCCTCTCCAGAGTTACCTTGAGTGAAGTTGTAAGTTGAGGACTTCAAAGAATCAATAATCAGATGTCATCTTTTCAGGATTGATTCAAGCCTTTCTTTCCCTCCTTCCCTCCCTCCCTCCCTTCCTTCCTTCCTTCCTCTCTATTTCCCTTTCTTTGTTTCTTTCTTTTTTTCTTTTTTTTTTCTTTCTTTCTTTTCTTTGTTTCCTCTTTCTTTCTCCTTCCTTCCTTGCTTCCTTCCTTCTTTTCTTTCCCTTGTTGAGATGCACAGCACAGAGAACAAGTTACTGAGATCTAGACAGCTGGATCACAGCACAAATAATTTTGTAATCTAAATTATTTTAATCAGTTTGTTAAATGAAAAAGCCCACTTCCTATTCAAACATTTTTTGAAAAATATGTTAATAATGCTTTACATCATTAAATTTACTCATCCCTATTTCAAAATTGTCAAGAAATAATAAATTAACCTATTTTTCATAATTAAGTCTAAAATTATATGCTATGTTATTTTCAGAGTCTATGTGTATACAGATTACAAATAAAATAAATTATTTTGATTGACTAGGCTGATTGATTTTATCAGAAATGACAAAATTAGCCTGACTATACTTGCCTAATTTTGAATTGATATATCTGTTTATACTGCACATTTGGCTGACTGAACTTGATGCAAAAAAAAAAAAAAAACCTGTCTGATGTTTGTGCATTTATATGCAAGTATACTTGACTGTGCAAAGCATTTTAAATAACATATTTCTCAAATTTAAAGCCATAACACTTTAATTCAATTATCTTGAAATCTGGTTGGTATTTTGTTTTGAAATGTAATTGAATTTAATTCCATATCTGATCATTGACTTAATGGTGATACACTCTGTCTTTCTCAGATAAAATTAACACTCTGAGAAATGTACATTTTATAAAGCCCTGACAGTTTAAATTCAGTTACTATAATGTTAACACAAATTGAATTTTTAAAATAACCATACTGTGATGAGAAAGGCCATTTGAAATTCTGTGGCATGTAGTTACTTTTAAATGAAGTTTAAGGGTTCAGATATGAGTAGCATAAAGTATAGAACTTGCCTTCTTTACACTAAATATTAAAACATTTAAAGGCATAAGATATATAACTTGCATTTTTCTTAAATTTTGAATTAATTTCTCTAAATATCAGTTGTATCATTAGCATTAAAACAAATATCTACTCCTTAAAAACAAAGCATTTTATTTCTAAGCAGTCTAATCAAATCTAAAGGAAAGTGTGTTGATTAATAAATTGATTGATTTTGACCACAGCCAGTCACCTCATTTTCTCTTTAATCTTTAAGGATTTTAAGATAAAGATACATTTATAGATGTTATAAGAGACAATCATAATATAAAATTGAGTGTATAAGGAGATCTAGCAGGAAATTACAGAATGACAGCTGCCTGCACCTACACATATACAAGTCTAAATTAGCACTTTAAAAATAATTATCCTGTTTGATTTTCTCATTTTCATTTTAGATTATACCTATGACCACATTACTTTTTTTTCTATAAACAGTTTTTTTTTTTACCAACTCCCCACCTCTTCCATTTGCTATATGAAGCTGAAAATCCTATTAGATTTTTGTATTGCTTCTCTCTGCTTCATTGCAATAGTTCAGATGCATAAGTCCATGATAAATTCCATTCTCCATCTCAGTCCAGGGTCTAATCATCTGCTGGAGGATTATTGCTATAATCTTCAACTGACCAGCTGGTCCTGTATGTTTTCCAGTCTTTATATTCTTCAAACTATTTAAACAACATAGTCACTTCCCACCAAAACACATTTATATTCTGACGTTGCTTTTCAAGGCCTTAAATTCATGCTACGCAATAGTTAATCTATCACCAATACATTGTTAGAAACAAACATCTTATTATCTTCACTGTATATATTAATTGAAAAGCTGCTCTACTCAAATTGTTTTATACTGCTGTTAAATAAAAAGGTAAAGATTTATTTAAATTGAAAAAGCAGAAATCCTGACAATTCAGAGTGCACCTCAAAAAATTAGATACATATTAATTTATAAAAATAACTAGTTTTAAATACAGGAGAGTTAGAATTCCTATAAAATTGAGAACATTTATTATAAATGCCTTTTACCAAAGATGAATAACCAGAAGCCAAGAGAGTTTATTGAGTTTTTATAAGGTTATAGAGCTTGGAGTTAACAGCATAGTTAGAATCATTGATTGTCTGGCTCTCATTGGAGCCCTCAATTTGAAGACAATCAACAAACTGTAAAGAAATCATCAAAAGCATTATCTCTTCCTGAGTCTCTATCATATATTTTTCCTTGTGTCTGAAGCAAAGTTCAACTGGGTCACTAAGAAAAGCAGGGCAGATGAAAATATTCAGAACCCCTACATGAGTGGTCAGTAATTTTACAGCATGGGCAGTATAAACAGAAAGAAAGTTGAATTAATGGAAATAGAAACTGGGAAAATGCACGTTTGTCAGTTTTATGTTATTTTCACATGCCTAGTTTGTTGTGGAGACCGTCAAGTGGGTTGTCAATGTTAAAAGGGCAAAAATCGGACCGGCGAGGTGGCTCACATCTGTAACCCCAGCACTTTCGGAGACCGAGGCGGGCGGATCACGAAGTCAGGAGATAGAGACCATCCTGGCTAACACAGTGAAACCCCGTCTCTACTAAAAATACCAAAAATTAGCTGGGCGTGGTGGCAGGTGCCTGTAGTCCCAGCTACTTGGGAGGCTGAGGTGGAGCTTGCAGTGAGCCAAGGTCGTGCCACTGCACTCCAGCCTGGGTGACAGAGTGAGACTCTGTCTAAAAAAAAAAAAAACAAAAAAGCGGGGGGCAAAAATCAGAGTATCCTCTGTGAATTTAAGCTACATGGAACAAAATAAAGGGGAATTGCTGCTTATTCCACATGGGATAAGTGGATTTTATGAGACTGAAGGAGTAATCTATCAGTATTCCTATTCCTTGGTAGTACATTAAAACTCTTTTCACATCCATGTATGTTATGCACTTTTCATGGAAACCTATGTTAAAGTACCAAAGAATGAAAGCAACTGGTGCACTCAGAACATGTATCAAAGCTTTAGGAAAAAACAGAGTAAATTTTTTTCTTGAAAATGTATACGACAATTTGAAATTAAAATAAAATGGAAACTATGGGCAATAGTTTAAAATTATGCAAATTTACGAGTGTTGTTTTTTTGTTATATTTTTTATTAGAAAATTTAGCCAATAAAATCTTTACTATTCAATATTTAAATTTTCTTCAGAGCTAAGATAATGGTCTTTTTTTTTTTTTAAATGAGACAGCGTTTCATTCTGTTACTCAGGCTGGATTACAGTGATGATATCACAGCTCACTGTAGCCTCGACCTCCAGGGCTCAAGTCATCCTCCCACCTCAGTCTCCTGAGTAGCTGAGACTACAGGCATGCACCACCATGCCTGGCTAATTTTCTTTGTCTCGTCTTGTCTCTTGTCTCTTCTCTCTTTTCTTTTTCTTCTCTTCTCTTCTCTCTTTTCCTTTTCTTTCTTTTTTTGAGACACAGTCTTGCTCTGTTGCCCAGGCTGCAGTGCGGTGGCATGATCTTGGCTCACTGCAACCTCTGCCCCCCGTGTTCAAGTGATTCTCATGCCTCAGCCTCCTGAGTAGCCAGGATCACAGACATGTGCCACCATATCCAGCTTATTTTTGTATTTTTAGTAGAGATGGGGTTTTATTGTTTTGGCCAGGCTGGTCTCGAACTTCTGGCCTCAAGTGATCCACATACTTTGGCCTTCCAAAGTGTTGAGATTACAGGCGTGAGTCACTGCACCTGGCTTAATTTTCTTTTTAATTTTTTTTTTTCTTGTAAAGACAGAGTCTTCCTATGATATTGCCTAGGCTGGTCTTGAACTCTTGAGTACCAGGGATTCTCCCACCTCAGCCTCCTAAAGTGCTAGTCTTACAGGTGTAAGCCACTATGCCTGGTCAATCACATAAGTTTCAAAAATTTGTTTAAAATGGGAAATTCTCTACTTGAAAAATTCCACTTTAATTTCAAAGGTTATATATTTTTTCTATTCAGTAATTTAAAAACATACTCTCTTCTGATTTACTGCACTCAGAATTTTGTAAACCTTTGTTATATAAAAATTCAGATTCATCTTTTTTTAATTGTATTATTATTATACTTTAAGTTTTAGGGTACATGTGCACAACGTGCAGGTTTGTTACATATGTATACATGTGCCACGTTGATGTGCTGCACCCAGTAACTCGTCATTCACATTAGGTATATCTCCTAATGCTATCCCTCCCCCCTCCCCCCACCCCACAACAGTCCCCGGTGTGTGATGTTCCCCTTCCTGTGTCCATGTGTTCTCATTGTTCAATTCCCACCTATGAGTGAGAACATTCAGTGTTTGGTTTTTTGTCCTTGTGATAGTTTGCTGAGAATGATAGTTTCCAGTTTCATCCATGTCCCTACAAAGGACATGAACTCATCATTTTTATGGCTGCGTAGTATTCCATGGTGTGTATGTGCCACATTTTCTTCATCCAGTCTATCGTTGTTGGACATTTAGGTTAGCTCCAAGTCTTTGCTATTGTGAATAGTGCCGCTATAAACATACGTGTGCATGTGTCTTTATAGCAGCATGATTTATAATCCTCTGGGTATATACCCAGTAATGGGATGGCTGGGTCAAATGGTATTTCTAGTTCTAGATCCTTGAGGAATCACCACATTGACTTTCACAATGGTTGAACTAGTTTACACTCCCACCAACAGTGTAAAAGCATTCCTATTTCTCCACATCCTCTCCAGAACCTGTTGTTTCCTGACTTTTTAATGATCGCCATTCTAACTGGTGTGAGATGGTATCTCATTGTGCTTTTGATTTGCATTTCTCTGATGGCCAGTGATGATGAGCATTTTTTCATGTGTTTTTTGGCTGCATAAATGTCTTCTTTTGAGAAGTGTCTGTTCATATCCTTTGCCCACTTTTTGATGGGGTTGGTTGTTTTTTTCTTGTAAATTTGTTTGCGTTCATTGTAGATTCTGGATATTAGCCCTTTGTCAGATGAGTAGGTTGCAAAAATTTTCTCCCATTTTGTAGGTTGCCTGTTCACGCTGATGGTAGTTTCTTATGCTACAAGTATTTATTTTTAAATATTAATTCTAAATACATTATGATTACATTTTAATAAGATTTTTAGTTTTTTAAATTAAAGAAAATATTTATAGGACCATCTTCCTGCTTCGTATGACTTGGGTTGGTTTAACAAGTTGACCCATACATGTTTAGATAATCCTTTTTCAATTAAAATATAAGGAGATAGGAAATGTTTTAGAAGAAAATGTACCCAAATCAAAATTGCTCACTTTTAGTCATGAACTTCATGATTCCTATCTGAAAAGCAAGATCAAGTAGAATAATGCAGAATTTAACTCTCCTTTTGCTAACAATGAATATTTGTTTTAGATACCTTATTCAAAGTTAAAATTCTAAACAAATATACAAATAAATTGTACAAGTATAAACTGTTTTGTGATTAAATGTAATGGATAAATCTATAGTAAGAGAGTGTCTTGATTAATTATTGACTGAATGATTTTGGCTACAACCAATTACCTCACGTTAAAAATAATTATGGATTTCAAGATAGAGATAAATTTACAGATATTGTAACTGATAAACATGGGTAGATCTAAATTATAAAAATATCACTAAGAATCTCAGCAACTGCTGAGACACTTTATTTGCTTCCTAATTGCAAGAGTTTGATCAAAGGGAAATTTTGTCCATAATCAAAAGCATAGAAATGCAATCATCAAAAATAAGAAACATTAGATACTTTTCTTTTACCTCCTCCTTCCCCTATCCATTTCTGTTGAAGATATAATACTTACCCGAGACAATAATGGAGGATACATATGTTGGAATATATTATTTTCATTCTAAAAAGAGTTGTCCGAACACTGATTCCCTTTAAATCTAATTATTAGAGGACAGAGTGGAAAGAGGAGTGAGAAAAATAAGTTACTTTTCCTTCTGCTTTAATTTTAATTTGACAATAAGACAGATTTTTTTGGACATTTAATAAGGCAAGTATTTAATTAAAAATAAACCACTATTTAGTAAGGAAAACAAAAGCTATGCCACTTATTTTTACAGAAGGAAATTAATACAAAGAAATCATTAATCAGTTGTTAGATGACTAAACAGCTAAAGAAAGAATCTGGGATAACACATGGATAGAGATTCTAGAAATCATTTAGCAAACAAAGAGAAGAATTTGGCTTATTGGATTCTAAAAGTTTGGGGAAGAGGCTCTATGGAACTGAGACTAGAATTGAGAGGTGAAGCAGGCTGGGCTTCTGGGTGGGGTGGGGACTTGGAGAACTTTTCTGCCTAGCTAAAGGATTGTAAATGCACCAGTCAGCACTCTGTGTCTAGCTAAAGATTTGTAAATGCACCAATCAGTGCTCTGTGTCTAGCTAATCAGGTAGGGGACTTGGAGAACTTTTCTGTCTGGCTGAAGGTTTGTAAATGCACCAATCAGCACTCTGTCAAAACGGACCAATCAGCATTCTGTAAAACGGACCAGTCAGCTCTCTGTAAAATGGACCAATCAGCAGGATGTGGGTGGGGCAATATAAGGGAATAAAAGCAGGCCGCCCTAGCCAGCAGGCAACCTGTTGGGGTCCAATTCCACCACCCCGATTCCAGGACCCCGATTCCACCCTGTAGAAGCTTTGTTCTTTCGCTCTTTGCAATAAATCTTGCTGCTGCTCACTCTTTGGGTCCGCACTACCCTTATGGGCTGTAACACTCACAGCAAATGTCCGCAGCTTCACTCGTGAAGCCAGTGAGGCCACGAACCCACCAGGAGGAACGAACAACTCTGGACAAGCCACCTTTAAGAGCTGTAACACTCACTGCAAAGGTCTGTGGTTTAACTCCTGAAGTCAGCAAGACCATGAACCCACCAAAAGGAAGAAACTCTGGACACATTTGAAAATCTGAAGGAAAAAACTCTGGACACACCATCTTTAAGAACTGTAACACTCACCACGAGGGTCTGCAGCTTCATTCTTGAAGGCAGCAAGACCAAGAACCCATTGGAAGGAACCAATTCCGGACACAGAATCAGGTGTGGGAGTGCTGCTTTCTGATGTTGATACCATTGAAGAGGGAGCATTGCAGGGCTTGTGGTTCCACCTTTAAGGGAGCATGTGGGAAGCTGATTATGAATGAGCATAAGAAAAACTGGATAATGGAGATCTCAGTGCCTCTGCCAGGATAAAGGGCCATTGCTAAATTAATGCTGGCAGGAACAGCGCTACATCAGAAAAAGGCAAGTCTCTTTCTCTCTTCTCTCAGAATTCCAGAACATTCTCTTCGTACAGACACCTCCTTCACTGGCAAAGGAAAAATGCAGTTGGCAGAGTCTGAACCTCCAACATCATGGGCAAAGTTTAGAAGGGTGCCTTTGAGACCCAAGAGATATAACACTAAATGGTGCAGAAAGTTAATCTGTTAATACTTTTTCAAAAAATATGCCGTTATTTCAAACGCTATCTGATTTTCAATACATGAGTGACTGAAAAGGTGAATCATTTGAAATAAAATAGGCTGAGTTTCTTTGAGAGGTATGTCCTAAGGAATTTTCTGTGCCATCAGACTTCCAAACAAGGCTCTGCAGAGCAATAACTATTTAAAATTTGTATTGAAGTAGTATTTCAACATATAATATATTCCTCCCTTTGTCTGATATAAGGACGTAGGTGATCATATAAAATTTCCTATGGATTTATGACATTATGTAATGTATTTGACTTGATGACAAAATATATTAAGGATGAATTATTCTAATAAAATATTTTACTATAAGTTGTATTTAACCTTTCTAAAATCTAAATATTATATATTTTATTTTTTAGGATAAACAGTTTATAACAAACATTACAATAATAACTGGCATAGGGACATATATTTGTAAAACTTCTTTTACATTTGCCATTGGCATAAGGGGCTCCAAATAAGTTAGACGAGTGACATAATTTGGAAAGTTAATGCCCACAAGCTAACAGTAATTCACTTTTTGAAAGCTCATTTCTCAATATTATTAAGAAAAAATGATTTAAAAGAAAATTGTCATTTGGGATTACTCAGGGAAGATACATGAGCTTAAACCATAAATATTCTCTAAAATAAGGATCATTCTGCAATAGAGTACTTCAATAAATCTATTTGGTTATATGGCTAAAATAATCTTCCTATATAGCATTTTCTGCAGTCATGGTCTGTACCTTTTGCTACATAAGCTATCTTCTGTTGAACCACTGATGACCTACATAAAGCTCTTACGTATGAATCTATGTAAAACTCTTAGAACTCTCTTAGTGCGTAATAAACACTCAGTAGATGTTGTTTTGTTTGTTTGTTGTAGTGGTGGTGGTGCTGGAAACTGTGGGAATAGGAAACAGTCTTGAACTTTGCCTGGCATGTTCCCTCACTTGTCACCAGTGTCATCACAAATCAGACTGCAACCCGAAGGAGTTTCAGTCCAAACCCTTAAGTTGCTGGGTTTTAAGCAAATAAAACCAGCATCAATTTAGCCATGGCCCTTAAGTTGCAAATAATTTATGTTATAGAATTCATTACTCAGAATTCATTCTCTAATATAGGTAAAAATAAAAAATATGAGTTAGCATTAATAGGACATCATTATATGTTTTATTATGGCAAGTAACAAATAGCACTGATTTTGAGATTAAAACAATATATTTCAATAATTCTAAAATGCAATATATAAATGATATTTAAGTACTATTTATTGAGTACTTAGGATGATTGCCTGATCCTGCTTGTATGTATGTGTATACATTAGTGTGCATATGCAATTTTGTGTTTTTTTGGCCCTGATATCTAAAACATAATGAAACCCATTGTCTTTTTCTTTTGTCACTTCCACCCAATTTTGACTTTCATTATTTATAGCCCTGAGGTCAACTCATCTGGGTTCTTGCCTTTAATCGAACTATTTTGTCCCAAGTTTAAATCAACAATTCTCTCCTATTTTGATCAAAATATTTTTTAAATGGTATTAAATATAGTAAAGCAATTATCCCTTCTTCTCACACCAAACCAAAAGTAAAATGAACTGTAAGATCTTATTTATAAAATTCAAATCAGAAATGGAAAAAAATATAATTATAATTAAAGGATGCAATGTATCCAGATTTGCAAAATTTTTCAATAAAGAATCAAATACTAAATATTTCAGACTTTGAAAACTACATATGGTCTCTGTGGCTGCAGCTGATTTTGTTTTTGCTGCTTCTGCTTTTTCTTTGCCTTCCTCTTCACAGTGATTTAATAATGTGAAATATCTATATTTTATCAATATTTTATAATTTTAATGATTAATGTCATTAATTTTTAATGCATTTTGGACACTGAGCCATGTAATTTACTGTTTCTTGCCATATATCATTGCTTCTTTTTTTACTTATTATATTTTTGGAAGGATAGTTTATTTTCATGGTTATTTTAATTTACAAGTAAAAAGTGTAAATATGTATAGTATATATGTTTTGATAATGTGTACATTTTACTACGCTTAACTGAAGCTATTTAATATATGTATTATCTCACATGCCAGTTTTGTGTGTGATGAGAATACTCAAAAGCTACTTTCTTTTCAGTGTTCAAATATACAATATATTGTTATTAACTGTAATCACCATAATCTCTTGAACGTATTCTAAATAAAATTTTTTGTTCTTTGACTAACACAACCTCTATTCCTCCATCGTTTAGCCTCTGTTAATTATTATATTACTCTCTGTTTGTGAGTTAGACTTTTTTACACCCCACATTCAAGTCAGCATGCAATATTTGTCTTAGTGTGACTGGCTTATTTTGCTTAATATAATGTCCTTCACATTCACCCATGTGGTTGCAAATGATAAGACTTCCTTCATTTTTAAGTTTAAATACTATCTGTGTGTGTGTGTGTCTGTGTGTGTGTGTGTGTGTGTGTGTAGAATGATAGATTATAGATAGATAGATAGATAGATAGATAGATAGATAGATAGATGATAGATAGATCACATATTTTTAACCATTCATCCATTAATGGACACTCAGATTGATTCAATATCTTGGCTATTATGAATTATTCTGCAATGACTAGGGGAGTTCAGGTATCTCTTCAACAAACTGACTTCATATTTTTTGGATATATACTCAGTAGTTTACTAGATCATATGGTTCTTATATTTTTAATTTTTTTGAGGAAACATTAAACTGTTTCCCTAATGGCTGCAGTAATTTATATTTTTACAAAAAAAGGAAAAAGTTCTCTTTTTTCCACCGCCACACAAACACTTGTTTTGTTTTGTTTTTATCTTTTTGAAAATAATGATTCTAACAGGTGCACGTATCTTGTTGTGGTATTAATTAGCATTTCCCTGATTATTAGTGAAGTTAAGCATTTTTTTATACTTCTTGGCCATGTGTATGTCTTCTTTTAAGATCTATCTATTCAGGTCATTTGCTCTATCTATTCAGGTCATTTTTAATTAGGTTTTCTGTTTTCTTGGTATTGATTTGTTTGCATTCCTTATACATTTGTGGTATTAACCTCTTATTATAAGTTTGGTTTGCAAATATATTCTCTCATTCTGTAGATTGTCTCTTTGCTCTGATGATTGTTTCCTTGACTGTGCAGAAGCTTATTTGTTTGATGTAATACCACTTGTTTATTTTTACTTTTGTTGCATGGGCTTTTGGGGTCATATCCAAAGAATAATTACTCATCCAATGTCATGGTGCATTTACTCTATTTTTTTCCTAGTAGTTTTACAGTTTCTGATCTGTGTTTAAATCTCTAATCCATTTTGAGCTGATTTTTGTTTGTAATATGAAATATGGGTCTGATTATTTGTCTGCACGTGAATCTTCAATTTTTTCAGCTCAATTTATTGAAGAAATTTCCCTTTTCTCATTGTATTTTTGTGGCAACTTGTTTAAAATCAGTTGACTACAAACATGAATTTATTTTTGGACTCTCCATTCTGTTCCATTAATGTGTGTGTGTGTGTGTGTGTGTGTGTGTGTGTGTGTGTGTAATGCTGTCATCATACTGTTTATAACTACAGCTTTGTAGTATAATTTGAAGTCAGGTAAGTGTGAGGCCTCCAGCTTTGTTCTTACTACTCAAGATTTATTGTTTTTCAGGATGTGCTGTGGTTTTACACAAATTTTAGGGCTGGTCTTTCTATTTCTACAAAACTGTCCTTGGAATTTGGATAGGGATTACCTTGAATCTGTGGAACACTTTGGGCAGTATTGACGTTTTAACAATATTAATTTTTTCAATCCATGAACACAGAATATCTTCCTTTTTTTTTGGATTTTTTGTGTCCTCTTCAGTTTCTTTTATCAGTATTTTACAGTTTTCAATGTACATTTCTTTTACTTCATTGGTAAAAGGTATTAACTTTTTATTACTTTTTTGTAGCTATTACAAATGGAATTATTTTCTTGATTCCTTTTTCGGATAATTTATTGTTGGTGTATGGAAATGCTGTTGCTTTTTGTATGTTGATTTTGTATGCTATAACTTGAATTTGTTTATTAGTGTCAGCAGCTTTTTGAAGTCTTTACAGTTTCATATATATATATATATATATATATTCAGCATAGAAAATTTAAATTATTTCTTTTTATTTGAATATATCTTTTATTTCATTCTCTTTCTTAATCGTTCTGGCTAGGACTTCCAGTACTACGTTAAATAGAAGTGGTGAGAGTGAGCATTCTTCCTTTCTTCAAGTCTTATAGGGAAAGCTTGCAACTTTTCCCAATTCAATATGAAATCTGCTATGAGCTTGTCCTATATGGACTTTACTGTGTTGAGGCACACTACCTCCATACCTAGTTTGTTGAGAGTTTTTATCATTAAAGGGTGTTGAATTTTGTGAAAAGCCTATTCTGACCCGAGTGTGAGGATCATATGGCTTTTGTTTTTGTTTTTCATCTAGTAATGTGGTATAAAACATTTATTTGCATACATTGCATCATACTTGCATCCTAGTTATCTGGATAAACCCCACCTGTTTATGCAAAACTATTATTTTAATGTACTGTTGAATGTACCCATTTTTCGTATGTTCAGATTATCTGTTTCTTCGTGACTCGGTATGTTGTATGTTTCTAGACATTTATCCATTTCTTCTTATACAGTTTGTTGTCATATAAGTGTTTATAGTAATCTCTTATGTCATTTGTGTTTCTGTGGTATCTGTTATATCTCCTTTTTCATTTCTGATATATTTATTTGATTCTTCTGTTATTTTCTTAGTCTAGCTAAAAGTTTGCCCATTTCATCTTTTCAAAACCCAACTCTTATTATTATTGATCTTTTATATTGATTTTCTAGGATCATTTTATTTATTGCTGCTCTGATTTTTATTATTTTTTTTCTTCAGCTAACTGTGGGACTAGTTTGTTCTTCTTTCTGAGTTTCTTTATTGTAACATTAGATTGTTTATTTGAATACCTATTTTTTGTGGGAGGCATGGGTGTTTTTTCCTCTTAGAACCATTTTTGCTGTATCCCATATGTTTTATTGTGTTATGTTTCTATTTTTATTTGCCTCAGGATATTTTTAACTTTCTTTTTGATGTTCTTTGGTCCATTGATTGTTTATAAACATGATCTTTACTTTCCATGTATTTGTAAATATTCCAAAATTTTTCCTATTGTTGATTCTAGTTTCATATGATTGTGATCAAAAATGGTATGTGATATGATTTCAGTCTTCCGAAATGAGTTCAGACTTGTTTTTTTGGTCTAACATATGATCTATTCTGTAGAATGATCTGTGTACACTTGAAAAGAACATGTATTCTTCTACTGTTGGATAGAATGATCTGTACATGTCTTGTAGGTCTCTTTGGTCTAAAATATACTCAAGTCCAGTATTTCATTATTGATTTGCTGCCTAGATGATATTTCCATAGCTGAAAGTGAGATATTGAAGTCCCCTACTATTATTGCATTGCATCATTTTTATCTTTTTGGATCTATTAATATTTTCTATATATTTAGGTGCTACAATGTTGGGTACATATATGCATTTATTATATCCTCTTGATGAATTAACCCATTTGTTATTATATAATGACCATCTTTGTTTTTACAGTCTTGGGCATCGAATCTATTTTATCTGTTATTAAGTATAGCTTACCCTGGTCTCTTTTGGTTTCCATTTTCATGAAACATATTTTTATTTCTTTTAACTTTTAATCTGTATGTGTCTTTAAAGATGAAGTGAGTCATCAGTAGACAGCATAGAGTGGAGTCTTGTTTTTTATCCATTCAGCCACTCTATGTCTTTTGATTGCGGAATTTAATCTATTTACATTAAAAATAATTATTAATAGGTAAGGACTTATTACTGCTATTTTATTAGTTGTTTACTGATTGTTTTGTGAATTATTTGTCCCTTTCTTTCCCCTTTCCTGCCTTCTTTAGTGACTACATGATTTTCTCTAGGGGTAAGCTTTGACTCCTTACTTTTTATATTTTGTATATCTATGCTACATTTTTGCTTTGTAGTTATCATGAGGCTTACATATATCTCCCAATTGTATCAGGTAATTCTAAACTGATAAAGACTTAACTTTGATTACACAAAATAGCTCTACACTTTTATTTCACCCCCCTCCCAGTTTATGTTTTTGATGTCACAGTTTCCATCATTTTATGTTGTATATTCCTCAACAAATTGTTTTAGCTGTTATTACACTGAATACTTTTGTTTTCAACCTTTACACTAAAAATGTAGGCTGTGTAAACATGATTGTGTACTTAACTTGACAAGTGAGTTCTATACATTCACACATGTATTGTGTTACTAACTGGTGTTTTTTTTTTTTTTTCACAGCTTGAAGGAATGACTTGAACATTTCTTATTACAGGTGTGGTTGTAATAACCTCCCTCAGGTTTTGCTTGTTTGGGAAAGTCTTTTTCTCTCCATTTCTGAATGATTGCTTTGTGATAGAACATATTAGTGGTCAGGATTTTTTTTTCTTTCAGCACTTTAAATATATCATCCCACTGTCTCCTGGCCTGTAAGGTTCCTGCTGAAAAGTCTATTGCCATTCTTACTAGAACTCTCTCATGTGTGATATGCTTCTTTTCTTTTGCTGCTTTCAGGATTCTCTCTTTGTCTTTGATTTCATTTTTTTCTTTTTTCTTTTTTTTTCACTATTTGATTATAAAATGTCCTTGTGTATTCTTGTTTGTATTGAATCTACTTGAAGAACTTTGACCCTGCTGTAGTTGTACCTGGATATTTGTACCTTTCTCCAGATTTGTAAAGTTACTGATATTAGTTTTTTTCAGTAAGTTTTCACCCCTGTATTCCTTTTCTTCCCTTCTGAAATTGCTGTAGCTTGAAAATGTGCTCTTTTGATGTTGTTCCATAAATCCCATAAACTTTGTTTCTTTTAATTATTTTTTTAAATTTTTATCCTTTGTGTTTTTCAAATAACCAGTCTTCAAATTCACAGATTCTTTCCTCTACTTGATCAATTTTGCGGCTGATGCATTCTGGTGCATTTTTTATTTAATTCATTGCATTTTAGCTCAATAATTTCTGCTTGATTTTATTTCATAATTTCAATCTCTCTGTAAAAAATATTGCTTTGGGCTGGCCTTGGTGGCTCAAGCCTGTAATCCCAGCCCTTTGGGAGGCCGAGGTAGATGAATCACCTGAGGTCAAGAGTTAGAGACTAGCCTTACCAACATGGAGAAACCCCGTCTCTACTAAAAATACAAAATTAGCTGGGTGTGGTGGCACATGCCTGTAACCCCAGATACTCGGGAGGCTGACGCAGGAGAATCACTTGAACCGGATAGGCGGAGGTTGCTGTGAGCAGAGATTGTGCCATTGCACTCCAGCCTGGGCCCCAAGAGTTAAACTCCGTCTCAAAAAAAAAATATTGTTTTGGTCTTTTATTGTTCATCTGATTTCATTGAATTGTTTATGTGTATTTTCCCAAAGTTTGCTGGGCTCCTTACAATAATTATTTTGAATATCTTGTCAGGCAGTTTGTATATATTAGTCACCCCTTACTTATGGGGGACACATTCAAAGATCCCCCAGTGGATTCTTACAATCATGGATAGTTCCAAATCCTATATATATACTATGCATTTTAAAACGTACATAAACACCTGTGATAAAATTTTGTTTAAAAATTAAGCACAATAGTACATTGACAATAACTCTTAATAAAATAGAATGATTATAATAATATGCTGTAAGTTATGAGAATGTTCTCTCTCTCACTCTTTATCTCCCTCTCTCAGAAAAAAAAATCTGATTGTACTGTACTCACCCTTCTTGTGATGATGTGAGATAAAAAAAATATGCCTGCATGATTAGATAAAGTAGGGGGATTACATAGGCATTGTGATGAATCTTAGACTACTATTGACTCCTTACAATATGTTAAAAGGAGGACTATCTGTTTTGAGTAATCTTGGATCATCTAGCCATGATGATGTTGATGGTTATCTGTTAGGAGAAGATGATGTTGATGACTAACTGGTAGGTGACGTATATAGCATGGATACACAGGACAAAGAGATTATTTATTTCCTGGATGAGACAGAGTGAAACAGCATGAGATTTAATCACTCTACTCAGGACCATGCAAAATTTAAGACTCAAAAATTGCTTAATCGTGTAATTTTTCACTTACCATGAGTAACTGAAACTATGGAAAGTGAAACCGCAGATAAGACAGGGCTACTATGTCTCCATTTCTTTGGGATCAGCTACTGTGAGTTCATTGTATTCTTTTGGTAGTTTGATGTCTTCCTGGTCTTTCATGTTTCTCATTGCCTTATGTTGATGTCTGGAGACTTGGTGGAATAGTCACATCTTGCAGACTTTACAGGGTAATTTCATTGTGAGAAGACCCTTATCTACAGGGTTGTGTAAGGGTGCTTTCTGGGTTACTTGCAGTAGTTCTGGCAACTAATTAATGTGTTCCAGCTATTATTCTCTGTGCAGCATTGTCACCTGGGACAGTGCTAATGAAAACTGCTGGTATCATTAGTGGCCAACATTACAAATTTCAGGAATGGTGGTGAGGATGGTTGAGGTATTCAGTGGAGATGACTGTTAAGGTCTTCTTGATCTCTTTGTCTTCCATTGGGGAGGTTGTGGTATAGGGGATCCCTCTTGGCACTGTGTCTGGTTGGTGAGCTTGCTTGCAGTGGCAGTGTCATTGGTGTCTGTGAGTAATACCCACAGAGTGGCTATGGAAATGAGGCTTGGAGCACAGGCACAGGTGGTGACACTACAGCTCTGGGACCAGAACAATAATTGCACTGGATCCCAGGGCACAGACACCCCTACTACCACCTTGGTAAGAGTATAAAAGGTGTGAATATTTGTGAAGTAGCCAGGAAACCAAGAATGGGAGCATAGGCATATGCAAACCGAGTGCGCCTCTGGGGCTAGGGCCAAGTCTGGCTTTCTATGGTGGCTGAGACAGTACCTGGAATGAGAGCATGCATAGTGAAGGCTTTGCTCTGGGGTCTAGAGTGCAAAGTAGCTCACTGATAATGGCCTTTATATCTGAGATATGGGCAGGCTCAGTGCAACTGCAGGGCCTGGGTCTGGGTGTGGGCACTTATGGAGAAGTCACAGCTGTAGGGTCAGCTCATGCATGTGATTGGATTGGGTGGTGGCACCTTTCCCAAAGCAACTCAACAGCAGCAGCTTCTTGGGAGTTGGATGATAGTGCAGCCATATCTACCTCTCTAAGTTTTTTCCCAGCAGAAATGATGGTTGGCTACTGCAGAGGCAAGAGTTTCTGGTGTCCTCTGCCGAGGAGTTCACTGGTGACTATGGTGGTCCCCACTACATGGCTGATACCAATGCCTCCACCTTTCTTTTTTGCTCCTAGGCATCTCCTGCCATCTCAGGTATGCCACTCTCTCCAGCAATTCCTTCTATGTGGTTATTCTCCTTTATATTCTTTTGCTCTACTGTGCTGTTGCAGATTCCTTAATGGGCCCTTGAGCCCTACCTGTGCTATTATGTCATATATATATATACATATATATATGTGTGTGTGTGTGTGTGTGTGTGTGTGTGTGAAATAAGACTGGCATCTCCTACTCTCTTACTCTGCCATTTTAGTGGAAATTTTAAAAATTTCTAAGTGTAATAATTTATTTTAAATTTATTTTATAATAATAATTTCAAACATTTATTAAGATATATTATAATCAGTTATATTATGATAGATAACTTGTTTCTCATCCCATCTTTCTGCTCCCAATTTAAGCTGTCTTCAATGTTAGAGGATGTTTCCTGGGGGACATGGGGTCTCTCCGTATTGACTCAGATGTCAGTTTTCTGTGTTTTATATTCTGTTTAACATTTTATGACAGCAATACAATGTCATTTTCCAAATCACAAAATTCAAGGAACTTGTATAAGCATAATTGATTGTTATAAGGGCTTTATTTTTGATAACACGATAAATTTCTTATCTGTCAAATTAGTTCTTCTTTGTCCTCAGGCAATTTAGTCATTAACTTCTCATTTTCAATCGTAAATTTTTCGTACTGTACTTTCTCATCAGATAAGGTGAAAAGCAGCATTTAGACATTTTCCTCCAGGATTTCATATCTCATGTTACATATTTGACTTTCAAGAAAATATCTCCTTTGTATCACAAATGTAAAGAAGTAGCTATATACCTAAAATTTTAAGAGAGGTAAACAGAAAATCATTTAATTGAAAGAAAGAAGAAAGAAAGAAAGAAAGAAAGAAAGAAAGAAAGAAAGAAAGAAAGAAAGAAAGAAAGAAAGAAAGAAAGAGAGACAGGAGTTTTACAAAAATTGAGACACAGGAAGAAAAAAGCAAAGGGAAGTGGGAACAAAAATAACTAAATCATAAGTGATTTTATAGTTATAATGATAGTTATAATAGAACAATTCTTTATTATTAGCTAAAAATAGTTATAATAAAAATAACTATAATAAGAACAAGATGCAATAAAGCACACAAAAATGTCACATATGAGCAGTATTAGTATCATTGTTTTGCTAGATTATTTAAAATACATTATTCCATTTAATCTTAAGTACAGTATTATAAAGAGGAAACTTTTATTCCGATTTTGTAGGTCCATATTTTTTGAGTTCACTTGAGTTAATTAAATATGAACTTATGTAATAAATTAGCTATAAAAAATTTCAAGTTAGGTCTACATTGTTAGCAGGGTAATGAGGAGAATGAGTATTAGACATGGTATTGACAATCTTCTACTTTTATATTCAGCAACAAGTGATTAGCATGGTAAGTACAACTGATATTATGCAATGTGATATCAAACATTCATTATGATTGTGTGCCTTCTGACTACAATTAAGACATAATTAAGAATGATTATGATTAAGTGTCTTCTGACTACAATCCTTGTGCAAGGCACACAGTAGATATTTTTAAATAAACTTTATTTTGCAGAGCAGTTTTAAGCAAAACTGTGTGTCAAGTACAGAATTCTCATATAGTTCCTGCTGCCACACGGGCACAGCCTATCCTGCACCAGAGCGGCATATTTGTTATGTTCAATGAACCTATATTAATGCAGTATTGTCACCCAAATTCCATACTTTACATTAGAGTTCACTCTTGGTGTTGCGCATTCTATGGTTTTGGACAATATATAATGATATGTGTATATGATTATCATACCACACATAATAGTTTCATTCTACTAAAAATAATCTCTCCTCTATTCTTCCCTTCCTCTCCCATGAGCCCTGGCAACCATAGCTCCTTTTAGTGTCTCCATAGCTTTTCCTTTCCCAGAATGTCATGTAGTTGAAATCATATACCACGTAGCCTTTTAAGATGCTCTTATTTCCACTTAGTAATTTGCATTTATGTTTCCTCCATATCTTTTCATGGCTTAGTTAATTTCTTTTTAGCAATATATTATATCCCATTGTCTAAATGCACCATAGTTTATTTATCCATTCACCTACCAAAGTACATCTTGATTGCTTCCAAGTTTAAATATTTATGATTACATTTGCTATAAACATCTAAATGCAGGTTTTTGTGTAGACATAAGTTTCCAGTACATTTGGATGAATACCAACACAATTGCTGGATTGCTCAGTAGTTATTTTGATTGGTTCATTTAAGTCCTTCATATATTTCAAGCAGCAGCAACTCTATCTTCATTTGGTTATTCTCCTGCCTCATTCTACATCATCTCTGCACAAATATTGATACTCATTAGAAGATCATTTTACTGGTACTTATGCTGCAATAGATCAAGTATATCTACAGTGATAAATTATTACTACAGTACAGTATGTTGATAGAAAATGATTTCTATTAAACTCCAGTGTCTTTTGAGAGTTTCTTTCTTTTTTTCCTTTATGGATTAGGAAAAGCATCTGAAATATGTATTTGCTACATTTGAAATTTAATCTTGTAAAATGACCAATACCTACCAAAATATGTAATTAATTCAAAACAGAAGTATGCAGATTTTTATCTAAAGGGACAGATAATAATTTGTTTAAGAATTGTTGACTCAGATGTAGAATTGGAGATAATTCATAGGAACTTATATAAACAGATTGCCACAAATTTTTGTTGCTGGAATTCAAAATGTAATAATTGTTTTATAATACAGATCCACTGAAAAGAAAGAAATACTCTTGATTTGGGTTTAAAGTTAATATTTCTTATCTTCAAGATTGATTGCAAGTACAGTTAATGATAATCTGTAATGATATTTTGCACGTTTTTGTGTACAAAATATATTTTCATACAGTTACTGTCAAGCATTGCTATATCTCTACAACCATATAATACTAATTGATTATATTTATTATATTGAAGGCATTTGTAGAATTCTGGGATTTTTTTCTTGAAAGTTTTGACAAATGCGTTGTTACAATTTGCTGTTTGCTACTATTTTAAATTATTGGATTCTCAAATTGTCGCAGATTTGCTTACTGAGAGCACCTTCCTTTTGACCCATCATTTTCTTAGAACTTCCTTATGTTGAGGGATATCTATGTTTATATCTCTATCTATATGGTCACCCTGAATTTCTTGTTCTTTCCAGGCCTTGTGCCTTGGAATCAGTCATTTCTCCAAGAAGCACTAGTTGCTTTTGTTGGAGAACGATATTTAGAAGTTACGAATTGGATGCTTATGGCACCAGTTCATGTGTATGAATATATACACATTTATACATAATACAAAAATATACACATTTACATCTCCAGGGGTCTTACATCCATTTCTTTATACCAATGATGAGCATTAGCAACAGTACTTCCAATTCACATCCAAATCTATAGTATTCACTTTAGCTTACTTATTTTCCATAATAGTAATTTCCTATTCTGAGGGTGAGAAATGTAGCTCTCATTATTCTTGGGATATTTAATTATTTGTTAAAATCCCCTGCCCATATAGCACTAATCTTCCATCACCACAGCCAATTTCTCCTGCATGTGGATGCCTGATCCCTTTGTAGCACCACCACACCTTGATTGGCCTGCGTGGGTTCTGACACACCTTGCTAAGCTGCCTCTCTTCATGAGAGTCCCCTTTCCCACATTTAGACTCTGACAGTCAGTGTCAGAGTGCCCTTATTTAATAGACCTTTCCTAGTACATCTGGATTGAGACATCCTGCAATATGTGTTCTCACCTCACTCCGTTTCCAAACATTCACTCTAAAACTCTCCTCTGAAAGAATATTCTCCACAAGCTACCTAGACTCCAACATTCAATGCTGAGCTTCTCCACTTCATCCGATTTGCCCTGTAGCTTGATTATACTCTGATGCAACAAACAAGGGCACTCATCTGTGGAGATGCTTCTCATGATTGGGCTTGGATTCCAGTGCACCTCCACCTCTGCTCCCAATTGGACCATCCCTCTCCAACACTTCTCTCACTGCTCAGGCTCTGACACCCTGTGCCAGCGTAGGCCTCTTAGGGAAAACACCTTATACATTCTTCTCAGGCCTCCAGCTGTCCTCCACCCTTGTCGATCCTTCTCTCCTCCCCAAGATGCCTACATGTTTTTCCCCCCCACTTAGTGTGTTTAAGATGGAACTTCCAAGGCAGAGAAGAGAAGGAAAAAAGAAAGAGAAAGAGCTTAGCCTAATATTTAAAATACGTGTTCTCCAAAGGTCCTTTTTCAATCTATTGAATTTATCCTTTCTCCTTTACACATTGTGCTAGAATAAGGCAATAAATGGGTTCTTAACTGAAATGTATTTCAACAATTACTCAATGTACTGATTTATCTTCAAATTAAAGTGCTAGGTAACACATCAGACTTGTGATGGTTAATATCATATGTCAGTTTGACTGGGCTGTCATGCTCAGATAGCCTGAAAAACATTTTTTCTGGGTTATCGTGAGGGTGTTTCTGGAAGAGATTAACATTTGAACCAATAAACTGAGTAAAGAAGATTGTACTCAGCAATGTGTGGGGCCATCATCCAATCCACTAAGGGTCCAAATAGAATAAAAAGGTAGATGAAAGGTGAACTTTCTTAATTTGTTTGATCTTGGACATCTATTTTCTCCTACCCTTGGGCATCAACCATAAGTACTGCTGTTCCTTTGGTCTTCAGGCTTGGACCAGAACTTCCATTACTGGCTCCCCTGGTTCTCAGGCCCTTGGGTTTGGACTGGAACTACAACACTGGCTTTTTTAGTCCTGCCATTTACAGATGGCAGATTGGGGATTTCTTTGTCTCCATAATCATATGAGTTAATCTCTCATAAGAAACCTCTTTCTATATATTTATCTATGTATCTGTCTATGTATCTCTGTGTATCTATGTATCTCTCTATATATTTATCTAACTATATATCTATCTGTGTATCCTATTGGTTCTGCTTCTCTGGAAAACTCTAATACAAGTCCTTAAGTTTCATATTTTAAGTCTAAATATCAGTTTTGCATAACCATCTAGAGATCCCAGGAAAATTTCATAATGTAAGAAACTATGATTCTTAAGCCATCATTAATATGTTCAGTATCATTTATCCCCACCCCTAAAGCACAAAGTGCTTCTTGCTTTACATACCTTTTATTCACATCTTTTCCCTTTTTTTTCATGGAGCTTTCAATGGCAGAAAGTTTCCCAGAAACAAGTGGCAAAATAATGCTTTAAATTTGAATGTTAATGAGCTCTTAAACATTACATTATACCATCATTAATTTGCTTTGGACATGCTACACTCTTTATCCTTATCTCTTGATGATTTCTTCTTCTCATTTTAGATCATGGGTATTTATTTCTTTATAGTAACATGTGTGCATAATATTGACACTTTACTCATGCTCTCCCCATGATTGGAATATGTCTTTTTTATTCCTTCATTCCCATTAATTTCTGCTAATTTTAAAATCTAAACTCAGACATGACTTACACTAAAATTTTCCTTGTAATTTGGGCTATTTATAGCTCCATATTTACTACATTGTTTTACAATGATTGTTTAGGTTTCTTTTCTCCAAGACTGTATTGTGGTTTCTTGAAAGCAGGTTGCAGTATATCCCTTTACCTAATCTGACTGTAATAAAACCTTTCATTTGTAGTATACTCTGGATGAATAACTTGTAATCTTTGACAATTAGTATTTATGAATATTTTTTCAAATTTGCTATTTTGTCTGACTGACAGTACAGGATTTAATGACCAGCTTATTCTTAGTTCAGATTGTTCTGTTTTGCTAGAGTATATTTTCAAAATATCTCTTAACTCTCCAAGTTCTGATTTCTAATTTTGCAGGCTCAGTATGTGAACTCCTAATTTCCTCTTTAAGTGACAAAGGCACTTCATGTATAAACAAACTAATTATTATCCCTGACTTTGAAATTAATGGATATAACAAGGGGGGAAGTTGTTATACTTTATTGAAGAACTTTATCTTATTTTATTTCATTTCATTTTTGAAATTATAACCTTACAAATAAGAACAGTCTCCGTGTTACTTTACATATAATATTATTTATTTTTCACAATAAGACTCTGGAGCTTTTACTAACGTTATTACTATTTTTGAAATGAGAAAAATGAACTGAAAGATGTAAGTGATTTGATCAGATCACCCATTTGATTAAAATTCAGAAGTATCTGCTCTTAAAGCTCAGATTCTTAACTTACATAAATCAGAAAACACATATGTGTGTGGCCAAAAAAAGTAGTTACTATGTGAATTATTATTACTATTACTGTTATTATTTTATATAAGATATTAGTAGACTAAATAAACAGGGTCATCAGCTTAGCAAATCAAAACATTTAACACCAAGTTAATATTGCATGAGATATTCTTGTACTAAAAATTGACTTGTGTATCTGACATTCAAATGTTACTAGTCTTCCTGTATTGTATTTGGCAACCCTAAAAAAATGCCAAAGAACAGTCACGCTCAGAATTTGGTGAATATCCATTATTAAATGTTGTCAATGTATAGGACTTGAAATTATTTGAATAGGCCCTTTACACTGGTAAAATTTACTGGGTCTTCTCAAGTAAGCATGTACAAAATGAAGAGAAAAAAAGAAATGATGGAAGAAACAAAACGAGGAAAAAAGGAAGGAAGAAGGGAGAGCTAGAGCAAAGAAGAAGGAAAAAGTGAAAAAAAAAGAGACAAAACACGGGAAAGAGATAAATGAAATAAAGAGTATCATTGAAAATAATAGTAAGGCCAGGCACAGTAGCTCACTCCTGTAGCCTCAGCACTTTGGAAAGCCCAAGATGGAGGATCACTTGAGCCCAGGAGTTCTAGGCTGCAGTGGGCTATATTCAGGCCACTGCATTCTAGCCCGAGTAACAGAGTAGACCCTGTTACAATAAATAGCTAAATAATCAGATGGGTAGATAGATAAATATTTAAAATGCATCCAGTGTTTACACTTAGAAATAATGTTGTTTCTTAGTCCCGTGATGCCCGCAAATGTTTCATAAATTATAAACCTGAAGAGATTTGGCTCATTCATAAACTATGTCAACACTCATACTTCTTAGTTTCCTCCCATACTTCTTGCCATTATTGTTTTTTATTTCCATTAATGTCTTTTCCTGTTGCACCACGATTCTCCTCTGTGTCATTATTTGGATCATCCCATTTTCCTCTTTTGCAAGAGCTTGGGACATGATTCCCTATACATTATTTTTTGTATGTCTGGATCTCAACTTGGGATCTTAGAGTATAGATTTTCACAGTGCTTTTCCAGTAAAGACAAGAGATATGTTGAGCGATTTTCAATATAGTGACAGCAAAATCACCGCCTTTATACCTTGTGAAAATTGCTAGTGCATTTTTGGGGCACCAGGCTTAAAAAGCACAACTTCCATATTCTAAAATACATTACATACTTGATATCCTGTTAATTTACATAAAAAACTTTTAAATTTAATAATTTATACTGTGGAAAATATTTTTAAAGTTAATATTTATTAGAATGTCTAACTTACCCAACTGCTTAATTTTCTATTTGAAAAATAATCTTTAAAAAGATTTCTTACTGTAATCAAAGTATAATTGCCTTATTTTCTCCTTCTGAAAAAAATGACAGATTTATTATAAAATAAGTTATTTCTTTATTTCTACTTTATAGTTAGATGTTTAATTATCACAGAGATGCTACTAGAAACATTTAGAAATTCAGGGCTTTAAACTAAAACGTACTGTTATGTTGTCATACAAAGGATAATAAACTTACGTGACTAGTTTAAGGTTATAATTCCCTATGAACTATGTGATCCTAGGTCTGTCATGTCACATTCTGGAGCTCTGTTTTTATACCTAAGAAATAATACTTTTAAAGTGACTGATTCCACATTTTCTTTCCACCTCAATTTTCTGTTTTTTAAAAATGAAATTAATATACTTTTATATTTTTGTTTAATCTTATCAGTATAGATGATTTGGCATCTTACATACATTAATTTTAGCTTTGCAGTTACTCAATATATCTTGGAATAAGGCAAAATAAATTTACTAGACGGTAAAGAAACCTTACAGAAACTCTTTAAATTTCCTGGTTCTTAGTTTCCTTTGCTTTAAGTGGCTTTGGTTGTGGTGGAGTTAGACATTCACGATCCCTTCTTGAGCCATAAATAAAATAGACAAAATATGTACTTGCCAAGTCACCACTTTATTTTGTGATCTATAGACACAGTCATTAAATACAGGTACAATATGAAAGAAATGATCCACATTGAGGTGATGTGGGCCACCTTAAATCTAAGGAAACTGCATTTTCAACCATGAAATCTAATAAGCTTGAGGTTCATAAAATAACTGGAGGAAAGCCATGTGTATGAGCAAACTCTCAATTTAGACCTGGAAAACTACGGATGCTGCAGCATTTGCACACTGGCCAAACAAAGAAAATCATTAGGCAGCATCATAAAATTCCTCTAATCCATAAAATGCTACTATTTTATTTCTGCAAACAGCAATTTCACCCCTGTTTTTCTGTGCATTTTATGACATGGAATTTTTTTATGGTACCATATATATTTAAATTCAGTTTCTTTAAATATTTTTTTCTAATCCTTTATCTTTTGAAAATACTGCATCCCACAATGGAATAATCAGTGTTTCTAAAACAAAACATTCTCTATTATATACAATAAAGTCTTTCAGAACAAACGAAAAATACATTTTACTTCAATATGAGACGTCATTGTTATGCTTGGAAGGTTTTCTTTCAAGGATACTTTCCTCATTTGCTTCTGGAAGGACTTAACACGTTTGTTTCTATAATACAGGAAATACTATAAAGAAGTCCTTGGTAAAAATTTGTTTACCTTCAGGTAGTTTGATCCATCTCCCTCACCTTTTTTATGTGTACATTCATGAATCCTATGGCATAGTAAGTCTCTAAGTAATCAGGTGTCACACATTAAAACCCTTGCCATCAATGTTGTTGTGACTTTGACTCTGACAGCAGCTTTTGTGCTAAATAGCAGCAGAGTTTAGAACACTCATTCAACTGTTTTTGTCTTTTGAATCAATGATAAAATTTTAATACCATCAATATGTCTCTCCCAAAATATAATGATAATATAATCAGACAAAGCCAGTGAAAATTTTGTTAACCATCACGCCCTTTCCAAACTATTAATTGCCATCTGCACTCATTGAAATTGTCTTACAAAATTCAATTTATTTTATCAGTCTCATAAAAGTCCATGTCTTTTATGGTAGCTGAAGTGGTATTGGACATCTCTTGTGCTTCAACTACTGTTTTCAAGACAACTATTTACTTGTCGCTATGGTGACTAGATGTATTTTGACAACATCTCACTTTAGCTGTGATTAGCATATTTCTCTCTTTATTTTCTAAAACTCCCTTTCACCACCATGAGGGAAAGCCTATAATATATGTACATATTCATATACATGTACAAACTTGGAAATTTTAACTATCTTAACATCCTGTGGAGCAAAACTTAATAAAATGGTGGTGAGGCATTAGTGTACAAACATTTTTGTTTCTCAGAGAGAAAAGTTGGAAAAGATCCAACCTGGCTTCTCAGTGAGTCTCTTGCTTGACACCTACTTTCTCCTACTGATGAAAAGCTTGATAACTCACTGTTTCTTCCTTTCTTCTGTCTTTTGTTCTTCTGCTTCTGCTCTCTTGTTTTCATGGATCACATCACAATACAAATACCTGACTCCTTCCTTAGGGTCAGGATTTTGAAGGCAACTGAGCTAATATAGGCCATAGAAAGTATACTCTCATCATGGCATTCTATAAAAAGTTTGAACAGAGAAAACTCAGTCATTGTACAACCATCGTTAATTATAAGTTGGGTGGGTGAAACCCCTAGCATGGAGTATTATTCTAATTAACATGATTTCATTCATACTAGATTGAGATTTGATGCACATAGAATGTTGGCTTATGCAGTAGTGGTGCGAGTAGCGATATATAAATGGTAATTTAAAAGACTACAGAGTTCACTGGGTTTTAGACAGTCAACTAAATAGTCTTTTAAATTACCATTTTTATACCTGGAAACCATAGCCCTAGAAAGTATACATATTCATATGCATATACATATGTGTGTGTGTTTTGTGTGTGTGTGTGTGTGTGTGTGTGTGTGTGCAGGCACAAATATGCTTTTTAATATTGATATATAATTAGTTAAAATTAATTAAAATTGATATACAAATTAGTCCCATAAGATGAGAGCAGCATATGTTAGCATTTTACTTCCCACTTCTGTGTGTGTGTGTTTTCTGTTTTACTAAATTGGAATCATAAGCCATTTTTCAACTTCATCTTCCGTGAAATGGAAAATGATAGTATTACAAAATTTTGAATATTGTAGATAGAACACCAGGAAAAGGGAAAACTAAAGGCAAGATGTCCCAATTTACTATAAGTATTTAAAAAATATAAGGACTAGTTATAATGAATGACTCTAGTGCCATTTGAATTTACTGGTTTAAAGGTTAACATAATAAAAAATAAAATAATTTAGAAAATAAACCTATGGATTAGAAGTAAAAATACAAAGTTCTAATAGTTTTCTTTGGGTTAGTCAACATCTAAAAAATTATATTTAATTTTATATCAAGAAAATTATTAAATTTTCCCTTTGAACAATCATCATTATTATTTTTGGTCAACCACACTGCATAAGTTTCCATGTTAGGGATTGAAACAGAATTCAGAATAATAGTTGGCATATTTATAATTCTCTTTTTTGCTTATGTATCAGGTAGAGGATTACAGGTGAGACAGCAACAAACACACTCTTATTTTTTAAACAAATACAGTAAATGTGTACCACGTAAATTAATCTTATTAAACTTTTATCTGATTAATTTATGAGTCTAAAAAGTCAATATTTTTGGATCATAATTCTGAACATTCTGGACAAGTACGTCACATAAATGAGAGTTTGGCAATAAGACAAAGAGAAGATTTGAACTAAAGGTTCCGTGAACCTTTAACTGTTTGAGTCAAGGTTTTCTCTCATCGCATAAGTGAAAAATAAAATAGTCTACACAAATATTGAAGACTTATTATAACAAAATTGCATCATAACAGAATTACTAGACAGATTATTTCTTTTATAAAAGCTTTCTTCTAGGTAAATGTTTTTATCATTATTAATTTTCTCTGAATTTGCTATATAATTTCTGGTATATTATTTATCTCATCCTACTTAACTTCCTGTCTCTAAGTTCGTCACAGTTTTAAAAACTAACTGATTTTAATAATAATCTTTCCAAATATTTATTCAGAGGATTTTATGTGGTCAACATACAGTGTCCTCTGAACAATGACAAGCACCTGATGAATGAAATAAATGACCAGAAAATGTTTAAAGGTAGTTTTCTATTATCTATTACATTTCTATCATGAACAGCGTACTTTGCCTAAACATGTTTCTTGCACTATCCATTTTCATTTCATTCAATCATGAATTTTCATTGGTGGAATTATGTTCTTATTGTAGCAAACAGTTCTCAATGCCATTATCTTGCTGGTACTGTCACTGATGACATTCTATATAAGTAGAACAAAATATACTATCACCAAAGCATAAAAAAAGTTATTTTGTGTGAAAGATAATATCACTTATTTATAGAAAAAATCCACCAAATTTACATAAAACACATTCTACTATAAAAAGCTTTTTTTGGTAACTAATCCATGAATTTGAATGTGTAATTATGATTTAGTAAATGTAAGTTCATGAACTCTCATCCATCCATTATTTAAGAATACTTATTATGCAAGGCAAAGTAAAGTGTCTTTTTAAATATGTAAATAAAATTAATTTTAAAACATTCTGATTAGATACAATTTACTTTATTTTAGAGTTTTTATAAATAATATGGTTACTTTATTAAGTTAGTAACTATCCAACTTGGTGACTGATTTTAAATATACTGGCTGAGCATGGTGGCTCACACCTGTAATCTTAGTAGTTTGGGGGGCCAAGGCAGGAGGATTGCTTGATTCCAGGAGTTCGTGACCAGCCTGGGCAACACGGCAAAAGCCCCTTCTCTACAAAAAATACAAACGTTAGCATCACTGTCCAGCACATGTTCAAAAGCAGGCATCTACATCAAGTCATTTTCTATTAATTCCTCTAGTGTAGTGTCTCTTATAATAGCTCTTGAATTTCTTCAAAATGTATATTTTGAAACCCTTCACTGCCCATTTGATATGGATAGGAGAATGGGAGTACCAGGTAGAAGAGGATGGTTCCATGGCAAAGGCCGCACCCTCAAGCCTGGATACCCGAGACCCTAAATGGGGACAGTCATTCCTGGTTTCATGCCCCAGAAGCAGTCTTCGGGCCTACCACGCCCCCTATCCTGTACCCATGCAAACTCCGAACCCCAGGCTCCGAAAGCAGATGAGCAGACAGGGAGATGAGACAAGCAGACAAAGGGTGAAACAAGGTGGCAGAGAAAGAGAGAAGAGGAGGAATGTCTGAATTCTAAGAGAGGTGGTTAGAAAGGACTTTGATCGCTGGACCACCAAACTCCAGGTGAAGATCACCTTCCCACTCCATCCCCCTCTTCCGGCTCCCCATCCATCCTGCTGAGAGCCAATTCTACCATTTAATAAATCCCTGAATTTGTCAAGCCCCTGTGTGACCCAATTCTTCTGGGACACTAGGCAAGAGCTTGGATACAGAAAGCTGTCACACTGGGCCTCTGCCCTTGTGAAAAGGCAGAGGGTTCATTGAGCTGGTTAACACTTAAGCTGTCTGCGGATGGCAGGGCTAAAAGGGCACACTGTAACACATACCCGCTTGGGCTCCTGCACCTGTCTGTCTGTGTGCTCCCTCTCCTCTCAGGGGTTTGAGCAGCAGCAGTAACCTAACAGGCTAGCCACACCCCTGTTATATGTCCTGTGAGGGAGATCAGGGAACTGTCCTATTTCACATTGTTTTTGAGAAATCCATAATCTTCCACGATTTCCTTGACTGGCTTTGTTGTAAATCCTGTAAAGTGACGTACAACATTTAGACACTGTTTTCTCCGCAGGAATTTATTGCTTTGGGCTTAATATCTTTCAGAGCTTGTTCTATAATAATGATGACATCTTCAATGGTGTAATTATTCCAGACTTTCAAAATGGTCTCTCTATAGGGGTTCTCTACCATAACATTGACAATCCTTTCCATAGTGTAATTTGTGTAATGAGACCTAAAGGTCTTTATAACCCCCTGATCTAGAAACTGAATCAGACACATGGTGTGTGGGGGGCAAGTACAATAGACCACTTCAACATGTTTGGGGTTGAACTCATGAGGATCTTGGTGGCCAGGGACTTTGTTCAAAATCAAACAACAGTTTAAAGGTAGCCTCTTACTGATAAGGTAAGAGAAATCTTTCTGATTTCAGGAGCAAAGCATCAGTTTAACCAATCCAGAAAATGGGTTTTCATTTTCCAGGCCTTCTTATTGTACAAACAAAAGACTGAAAGCTGGTGTTTATCTTTTTCTTCAAGGCTCAGGGATAAACAGCTTTACAGGTAAGGGCAGTCCTTATCCATAAAGTGCAAGGCCATTTGTATTTGTACAGAACTGTAGATTTAGCCTTTCTGCCTTAAATCCTAGTGCTCACTTCTTTTTTTTTTTTTTCTAATAAATGTCATTTTGACTTTCCCCCCTCAGAATAGGACACTTTCATCTACATTTAAAACCTGTTCACCCAGGAAAGAATTCAAGAGTGGGCAAGGCAGTGGTGTTAAACAGCAACTTGTATTGAAATGGCAGTGTACGGCAGCGGCAAAAGTACAGCTCCTTGTGGAGCAGAGATACTCCACAGGCAGTGTGACCAGAGTAGCAACCCAGAGGCAGGTCTGCACGCACATTTATACCCACTTTTAATGACATGCAAGTTGAAGGACGGATTATGCAGCAATTTTTAGAAAATGGGTGGTAACTTCTGTGCCATTGGATTGTTGCCATGGAAGGGGGTGGTAACTTCTGGGCATTGCCATGACAATGGTAAACTGACATAACACACTGGTGGGTGTGTCTAATGGAAAGCTGTTTCTGCCTCATTCCGTGTTTTAGCTAGTCCTCAACTCAGTCCAGTGTCCAAGCCCTATCTCTGTAGTCAAGTCCCAACTCCTGAGTCAAGTCCTTCCTCTTACCTCACGATGAACATTTGTGTTTAAATTTTTATATTGAAATGTATTTCCCTTTCTCTTTGGTAAATACCTGGGAGTAGAATGGCTGAATCATGTGGTCGATATGAGTTTAACTTTTTTTTTTATTATACTTTAAGTTCTAGGGTACATGTGCACAACGTGCAGGTTTGTTACATATGTATACATGTGCCATGTTGGTGTGCTGCACCCATTAACTCATCAAATCAAGAACCTTCCCGGGCTAAGCCCCAGAGTTGGGATTTGCCTGCCCTGCATCATGAGTAGTATTATTTGTAATAGGCAAAAACAGTAAACAACACAAATGTCCTCAGCAGGTAAATAAAGAAAGAAATTGTGTCATATTCATAAAATGGGATACTACTCAATCAAAAAATGGAATGAACCACACAGACACTCAGCAACATGGATGAGTCACAAAATCATTACGCTGAGAAAAAGAAACATATCAAAAAAGCCACATATTGTATGATTTCATTTATAAAGAATTCTAAAAAACTGCAAACTAACAGAGTGACAGAAAGGAGATCAGTGGTTACTGGGTATGGGGTATGTGAGAAGGGGTAGAAGGAAAGAATTACCAAGGGGTACTGGAAAACTTTTAGGGGGGATGGATATGTTCACAATCTTGATTGTGGTGATGGTTTCAATGGGGTATACATATGTCGAAGCTTAGTAAATTGCATACCCCAAAGTGTGCCAATTTTTTGTATGTTAATTATACCTCTCTGCAACTATTTTAAAATTAATTTTTAAATTTAAAAACAGGCCTCTGCATTTGAAAGAAATTGTTCTCTATCTTGCTTTCAGTAAAAATCAGGAAGAACCTTTGGAGACCAAATTAAGTGATCCTGATCTTTTCATTCATTGACTCAAACAGTGGTTCTCCAAATTTAGTATGCATGAGAGTATCTGAGATGTTAATTTGAAATGCAGTTTCCAGGGTTTTATATAGAGGTATGCTAGAAAATATTACTGATAAAAGAATATGTAGCACCTAATTTATGAGTAATAATACATCCAATATTTTTTATTGTAAATTTAATAAATCTTACAAAATGCAAAACAAAAAACAAAAAACAAAAACAACAAAAAACCTGTTCAGGCAGACATTCTTTCTCCTCAATGATTTCCTTAATGACATCTGGGATGCTAAGTTAATAAAAGGTGCTTCTCCTGTTATCTTGCCATTTTTAAGCCAAATCTATTTCTAAAATCATCAAACTATCCTTAGCTGGCATTAAAATATACAGCTTTAGAGGCCTCAGCTTCTTTTTGCTTTAGGCTGCCATAAAATAACTTCACTTCTTGAATCCAGTTAGAGTATTCAGGTATTCCTTTCTCATACTAACCCTTCAGCCATGTAAAAACTGTATTTTCAATATGAGATAAGAGAGTATTTTGACAAAAGTGCAAGGCTTTTATGTCTGCTGGCATAGCTGCAGTGAGAACCTCATGAATTTCCCATTTCTTTTTTTCATAGTGGTTCTTACATTGGATTCATTTATCTTATAATGGTGGGTAACTGCAGGTGCAGACCTTAATCTATAGTACATGTCAAGCAATTCAATTTTTTATTGTACTGTGATGGCATTGCTCTGCTTTTTGGGAGGACTTCCAGCATTGCTAATGGCATTTTGTATGGGTCCCCTGGTGTTACTTGAGGTTTTAACATATTGCACTAAACATGATGAAAACAATGAGAGATTACTTTTTGCTGTAATAAACAATTTACTGGAGAGACAAACCGCTAACACAGAAAGGATTACTGGCACATGACATTTTAAGTGGATATTTGCAAGACTTGAGATCACCACCACAACAACAGGCTTCAAAATTATTATAGTATTACGGTATGTATTACAGTTAATTTTATGCAGCTAAGATTTAATACTGCATCTTTATGTTTGTTTATGTTTCCTTGTGAATGGTGCTAGGTATGCTCTGTGTTTGCATTTTGATAAATTTTTAATTTTCATAAGGGATTTTTTGAATTTTATAATAATAAATAATAAAATAGGTTAGTATCCAAATATATTTTATGCAATTATGACATATGTAATTTAATTTTTTTGATATTTCTAAGCTATGTAGTTTGTAAGTTTTTTCAAGTTATTACAAATCCCTTAAAAATTTTTAAATATATTTATTGAAAAAAAGTCTGTGTACAAGTGGACCCACACAATTCAACTCCAAGTGGTTCAACGTATTTACTACAATAATGAAGACAGCCTTTTCATAAATGTATAATTGTTGGCCTATCTTTATCATTACATAATTTGTAGAGAGTTCTACATGTTAATATTTATTACATAAAATACCGCACTCACTGACTGTAACACTACAGCTACCAAGGAAGTTAATATTGGTAAAATAATAAACAAATGCATGGAACAGAATAGAGAGCCCAGAGACAGACAAGTACAAATATAGTCAACCTATCTTTGACAAAGGGCATACGATGGAGAAAAGATAGCTTTTACAACAAATGGTACCAGAATCACTGGACATCTACATGCAAAGAAATAATGATGAATATAGACATAGACCTTAGACCTTTTGAAATATTCAATCAAAATCGATCATAAATGTAAATTTCAAAATAATAAAATTTCTAGAAGATAATCTCAAGGAAAATTTATATGATCTTGGATTTAGCAATGAGTTTGTAGATACAACACCAAAGGCATAATCCATTGAATAAATAATGAGATAAATGTGAAATTTGCGGGAAAAAAGTAGCTAATGACCTAAGGCCTATGATACCAGCCCATTTATCAGCAATAGTAATTTGTAGACACTTTTCACATAGAAGAGAATACAACGTAATGATTTATTAACTTCTAAGCTACTATTTTTTTTTATTATCTATGTGTTGTGATTTAAACTACTCTTGTTTAGGGCCAGTATATTTAGGTATAAGATGTTTATGATTAAAATTCATCTAAATATACTATGTTGTCTGACATAATACTTTAAAAAGTGCAAAATTTTTATTGTTGCTGCTACCATGGTGTGGTCAGCTACCTGTAAAATGGCTTGCAATGAACCATGCTTCCTGTTATTTATGACCTTATAAAATTGTCTCTCTTTGACTGTGGGCTATTTGGCAACCTTTACTTGCCTCACATGAAAGGAATATGGCAAAATTAAATGTTGTTTTTGAGATTAGGTTTAAAAAGTTTCTGTCTTCCTTTTTGTTTGAACCCCCACCATTCTCTCCTTGATCCTCTGGATAAAGCAAGCTGCCATGCTGTTGGTAGCATTTTAAAAAGACAAGCATGGCGAAGAAAGGATATCTCTGCCAAGCAGCCAGGAACATCCTGAGGCCTGTCAGCAGCCCTTTCCGTGAAACTGGAAATGGATCTTCCCCTTGTGATGACTACAGTCCCAACTGAGAGCTTGACTGCAACCTCATGAGCAGCCCTGAGCCAGAGACACTGAGCTAATTTCTGCCTGAATTCCTGATTCATGGAAATTATGGGCTAATAAATATATCTCATTTTAAGCTACTAACTTCTGAGGTGATTTGTTATACAGAATATATATATATATATATATATATATATATATATAGAGAGAGAGAGAGAGAGAGAGAGAGATCAAATCCAAGATCATTTTTCCCCCAAATTTCACATTTTCTCAGTATTTATTCAGTGGATTATGCCCCTGGTGTTCTATCTACAGATTCATTGCTAAATCCAAGAGATAATATATATATACACACACACACACACACACATATATATATATACACACACATATATATATATAGAGAGAGAGTAACAGATATTCTGGCATTCTTCAGAAACTGTATGAAAAACTAGAGAGAGGCAGAGAGTGAGAGTAAGCAAAAGAGAGAGAGAGAGAGAGGAGAGAGGAAATCAAGAGAGAAAAGTAAGCTAAATAGGTACTTCTCATCTACGAACTAAATTTTCAAAAAATGTCCTGAAGGAGTAGAATCAGATAACACTTGTAATACTCTAAAAAAGGTGCCGTGTTTTTTGGAGACAACCAATAGACCTTTTTATTTCAAATTTTCTTACTACAGGTTCGTAGAAGCCAATGAAAAATACAGAAACATAGTAATTGTGTAATTCACAATATCTGTAATATTTTTTACAAGTTACTTACAGTGAGAGATAAATCAATTTTTTTCCATGCAGAGTCTTTGAAGCCATTTATCATTTGCCTTTAGTTTCTCCATCATACAATCACCACAGTTTGGAATAAAATTATAAACAACTGAATATATTTGTTAAATAAAACGACAACTACAAACATTCCTAAGATTTATTATTTCCTAATTCATTTTTCTTCTTTTTAAAAAGTGGACTAAACAGTTCAACTTTTCTAACAAATATTGATTATATATTAATTTATAAATTAATATATAATATATAATTAAAGGAAGTTGTTTTAAATGTTGCTTTTATATTTGTGTTGTGTTGATTTTTAAATGATTATACAATAGATAGTATATTTAAATCTTTTATATTTATTTTCACATTAGCACAATTTGTCCCTAACATACTGTAAACCTTAACAGAAACACACTTACACTTTATAGCCTCACACTTCACAATACAGATCATTTAATAGTGTGCTGTAACACAGTAAGGGCTCTATAAAAAAGTGTATGTACTGTTATAAGGTCGACAATATTATCTAAAAGTGTTTTTCCTAGTAGTCTCTTACTCTATCAAATATATCTTTAGGTCATATTGAAATAAAAGTAGATGAAAACAATCTAATATTTTGTTTAGGAACAATCTAGTACTTGACTTTTAATTATGAAGAAACAATTATTACATCTATTTCTTATACACCTTCCCTTACTGGAAAATTCACTGCCAGTACCTACACTGTGTACATTGCTCTCTACACAATAAACAATAAATGCTTGTAACCAGCCTAGGATGCTAAGAAGCTTCATTTTAAAAATTGCATTTTTTGCTATCATATTGTTGCCATTAAGTTAGGGTATCAAGAAAAAATGAGCATAGCCTCAAGCAGAGAAAATATTTATAAGTATCTGATAAACATGAAAAAGATCTTCAATTCCATTTTTCCTGCTCTAAATTAGGTTTTAGTTTCTAATCTAATTTAGCATTCAGTTTCCATAGAAATTTTCAAGATAACATTTCAGCTCTCCACTTCACTTAATCTATCAAACCCAATCTTATCTTTATAATGAAGACTATACCTATTGAAGAACATCAAAATTGGATAGAGCAGAATAATCTTTTTATTTTGCCACTTGTCTACATGACAGTACTATTCAGTAGGGACCTAGTAATTCTACACATGCAGTTGATCTACTTGCAATATGAACTAAAACTCATATTCAGGGAATGCTTTCATATAGCTAATGTGGCTGCAGTTTTAGAGTCAGCTTCAAATAAATATAAGAAGAATATTATTTTATTTTTCTTCTAAATATTAACTTATTTCCTTCTTTTTATTAAAAAACTATATTTAACTAATATCTTAACTCAAAATTAATATGTTAACACTTGTACTGCCATGATTAATATATATTAATATTCTTTAATATATTTATTTTATTTTTCTATGAATTGTGCACATTTGTAAATGTGATGGAATTTTATTCAATTGTATAATTTTTTAAATTGTGGCATTTCACATTGTATACTACACATTTGTGAATTTCTTTTTGGATTACATTTTCTACTCTGCTGTATGCAATATTATTGAGAAATAACTCTGGGCTAAGTATTTTTTTTTTCTGTCTCTATAGCATTCCCAATAAAGGTGAGTGGTATTAATCTATGCTTGCTTGAACAAGCAGAGACTCTCTCCTCCGTGACTTTATATTATATGCATGTGACACAGGACATGAGTAATAAATGTAGGTCATTCATCATAGTAAAAGTGATCTGACCTGACCAGATTGTATTTTCACAAACTCACCTGTTCTATTTCTTGTTCCCTACACAGCAAAACTCCCTGCCTAATCTCAAAACCAAACCTCCAAATTCTCATCTACCTCTGGTTCCCTTATATATTTCCATAAAATCCGGTTTTTCAGAGTCAAGAACTGTTGAATTTAACCAGGAAACATAAATGATCTAGAATGTAGTTGTGTTTAAAATTATAATACAACTAAAATTCATATTTTTTACATAAAGTAAATGTAAAATTGTGTGTCACAACTCGATAAAATAATGACACCAGAAAAACAACACCTAAAATATGGTAAATTTCAGGAACATAATTTGTAAAGACACTATTAGGATAAGCATCAACTTGACGTGATTTTAAATTTAAAAGAATACTTCTATATATTATGAAGATAGCTTAAAATGAAATAAAATGTAATAAATTTTAAAATTTAACCATTTAAAGTGTATATTATAGGTAGGCTAGGAATTATAATTCTACTTTAAAAAATAAAGGGAGAGTGATGCCATCAAGATGGCAAAATAGGAGACTTCAGCCCTCATGCCCCCAAGAAACACAGTTGTTGTCAACTGCTCACAGACAAAAACACCTATGTGTGAGCTCTAAAATCTAAAGGAGTGGTTTCAAAATCCCAGTGAAGCATAAAATCTCATAGTGGACATATTGAAAAGAGTAAGAAAACTAGTTTCACTTTATGACGTTACATCTCACCAAAGGTGACAAGGTTTGGTGTGGAAATAAGCCCCTTTAGACTACAATTTCTACCATAAGGAAAAGTAAAAGAGAAATGGGTGCCCAGCTTCCCCAGTCTAGTGGGCTACTGCCTAGTAGGTCCATTTCTGTCTCTCCCTACTGTGAACACTGAAGGATTATGCATGACTGAGTCATCTGCGGATAGTTGTTAGGGGCAAGGAAAAGAGGTGGGAGTGCACAGCAAATGGCATGTGGTTCTTAACGGCATGCTATGTATCCTGCTAACCATCTAGTGAAATCCAGGAATCTCACACATGAACCCTGCAGGTTAAGCACCTATAGGTCCCAACCAACAGGCAAGAATTCCCCAACACCTTACGTACTCTTTCATGAAGGAGGCACTCAAAACTATGTGCGAGGCACTCAAAACTATGTGCAAGGCCCTCATGTAATTCTGTAGACAGGATGTGGATCTCAATAGCTGGTACAGATCTTAACAGTCAGCTCAATTCTGCTGGTTTGTGATAAGGCAAATAATCTTTAACACTTCAGGTCACTAACCTAGGAAAACTTAATGGGGGGCTTTCAGCACCAGGTGCAGCTTTGTGGGATTGGAAGAAGACAGTGATACAATCCCAAGATTTTCATGCTAAAAGAATATGAGAGTAAAGTGGATAAATTCATATAAAAGGTCTAACAGAACCTCAGAATCTCTACCTGTGCCTGTCAGTAAAGACTGATGGTGACTGTTTCATCAGTTCTAAAGACAGCAGTGAGTGCATGGTTTATTGCATGTTCTTACTTATAAGTGGGAGCTGAATGATGAGAACACATGAACACATAGAGGGCAACAACACATGGGGCCTTCTGGAGTGTGGAGGATGGGAGAACGGAGAGGATTAGGAAAAATAACTAATGGGTACTAGGCTTAATACCTGGGAGATTAAATAATCTTGTACAAGAAACCCCCATGGTACGTTTACCTTTATGTAACAAACCTGCACTTGTACCCCTGAACTTAAGTAAAAGTTAAAAAAAAGACAAAAAAAAAAAGCTCCAGTGTCTGACGCCAAAGAAAAATTTGTAAATTTCCTGACAAAAAACTCAAAATAATTGTCTTCAAGGGGATCAGTGAACTTCTAAGGAAGACCGATAATCTATTAAAATAAAATTTTTAAAAGAAATGAACATATTAAAATGTTCAACATAGAGCAAGAAAAACAAAACGAATTTTAGAATTGAAGAATAAGAGTGCCTGATTTTTTAAAAAAATCAAGGAAAACCTTTAACAGCAGACTTGACCAAGCAGAAAAAGTTGAAGGTAGATTATTTGAAGCTATCCAGTCAGAGAAACAAAAACAAGAGAAAGAATAAAAAACAGTGAAGAACACCTAAAGGCTTTATGGGACATCATCAAACAGACGAACATACACATAAAGGGAACCTCAGTAGCATCAGAGAAAGAGAAAAAGGCAGACGCTTATAATGAAATAATTACATAAAATTTACCAATATAGAGGGAAATAAACATCCAGATACCTTAAGCCCAAAGAATTCCATATAATGTTGAACATAAAAAAGTTCAACCTTCTTTCATTGTTATTATGAGGCAAGTTATAATCAAAGTTCAATGTGCTTATAAGCCATGTTGTAATCAATATGTCAAAAGTCAAATACAAACAGAGAATATTAAAAGCCATAAGACAAAAGAGACTGATCACATAAAAGGGAACCTCCATAATGTTATCAGAAGATTTATCAGCAGAAACCTTGTAGGTCAGGAGAAAGTGAGACATTACATTAAAAATGCCAACATTTAAAAAAGCTGCCAACAAAGAATAATATACAATCCAAAACTGTTCTTCAGAATGAAGGAAAGATACTTTCCCAGACAAACAAATACTGAAATTCATCACCTCTAGACATCCTTACAAGAAATTCTACAAGTCCTTTAAGTTGAAACGAAAGGAATCTAATTAGAATATAAAAATTGTTAATTTATCAAACTCACTAATAAAGGTACATATGTAGTCAAATTTAAAATATTGCAATACTGTAATGGTAGTACATAAATCACTTTTAACTCTAGCATAAATAAAAAATAAAAAGATAAACATTTAAAGTAAGTATAACTACAAAAATTTGTTAATGGATACACACTATAATAAAGATGTAAATTGTCATATCAATAATGTAAAATGTGTTGAGGGAGAAGTAAAAGGGCAGAGTTTTTGTATGCAATTAAGTTAAATTATTAATTTAAATTAGACTGTTACAAGGTATTTTATGTAGGCTCATAGTAATCAAAAAGCATAAACTTAAAGTATATACACAAAAGATAAAGATAAATGAATTAAAGCATACAGAAAATCATCAAATCACAAAGAAAGACCACAAGGGAGGAAGAAAGGAGCAAATGATTTACAAAACACTTAGAAAACATTTAGTAAATTGACAATAGTAAGTTCTTACCTATCAATAATTACTTTAAATATAAATGAAATAAATTAGTTAGAAAACAGAAAGTGCCTCAATGAATAATAAAATAAGATATGTCTCTATACTCCCTACAGGAGACTCATTTAGATTTAAAGACAGACATAGGCTGAAATTGAAGGGATATCAAAAAGATATCCCATGCCAATGGTAATCAAGAAAGAAGAGTGGTCTATATTTACAGAAGATGAAATAGACTGTAGTCAAAAACTATCAGAAGAGATGAGGAAGATTATAAAATAAAAAGGAGGTTAATTGATCAACAGTATAAACAACTATAAATATATATGCATCCAATATTATAGCACTCAAAAAAATAAAGCAAATTGGGCCAGGCACAGAGGCTCACACCTGTAATCCCAGCATTTTGGGGTGCCAAGGCAGATGGGTCATTTGAGGTCAGGAGTTCAAGACCAGCCTGGTCAACATGGTAAAAACCCATCTCCACTAAAATTACAAAAAAATGAGCCAGCGTGGTGGCATGTACCTGTAATCCCACCTACTTGGGAGGCTGAGGCATGAGAATCACTTGAACCCAGGAGGCGGAGGTTGCAGTGAGCCTAGATCGTGCACTGCACTCCAGCCTAGGTAATAGAGCAAGACCCTGTCTCAAAAATAAATAAATAAATAATAAATAAAGCAAATATGAACAGAAATGAAGAGAGTAATAGACAATAATACAGCAATAGTAGGATACTTCATTACCCTAATAATCAATAGATTATTCAGACAGAATATCAATAAAAAGACATTACACTTGAAAACACTGTAGACCAACTGGGCCTAGCAGACATACAGAACGTTCTATCTAAATGCAGCAGAGTATACCACATTCTTATGTAGAGTAAAAAGAACATTCTCTGGGGCATAGTGTATACTTGGTCACAAAACAAGACATAACAACTTAAGAAGATTAAAATAACATCAAGCATTTTTTTTTTCTAATTGCAGAGATAGAAAATTAGAACTCAATAATAGTAGAAAAATTTAAAAATTCCAAATGTGGAAATTAACACATTTTTGGACAATCAATTGGTCAAAAAAAATTAAAAGAGAAATCAAATTATGTCTTGAGACAAACTAAAATGAAAATGTAACATATCAAAACTCACAAAATGCAGCTAAAGTAATTCTAAGAGATAAGTTTGTAATTTTTTTTATTTTTATTTTTTTAGATGGAGTCTCTCTCTGTCACCCAGGCTGGATTGCAGTGGCACAATCTCAGCTCACGGCGAGCTCCACCTCCTGGGTTCATGCCATTCTCCTGCCTCAGTCTCTGGAGTAGCTAGGACTACAGGAGCCTGCCACCACGCCTGGCTAATTTCTTGTATTTTTAGTAGAGACGGGGTTTCACCATGTTAGCTAGTACGGTCTCAATCTCCTGACCTCGTGATCTGCCTGCCTCAGCCTCCCAAAGTGCTGGTATTCACAGGCGTGAGCGCCCAGCCAACAAGTTTATAATGATAAATTCCTGCATTAAGGAGCATGAAAAGATCTCCAAAACTTAACTTCACATCAACAGGAACTAGAATAAGAGAATAAAATGAGTCCCCAGTTAAGAGAAGAAAGGAAATAATAAACAGAGGAGAGATTAATGAAGTAAATAACAGAAAACAACATAAAAATTAACAAAATTAGTGTTTTTTAAAAAGATAAAATTGACAAAACTTTAGCTAGAATAGTCAAGAAAATTAATGAGCAGGAATCAAATCAAGAAAATTACAAATGAAAGAGAAGACGTCAAAATTGATATCACTGAAATACAAAGGATCATAAAAGAATCCTATGGACAATTACGCACCAAAAAGTTTAAGAACTCAAAAAATAAAATAACTTCTAGAAACATAAAATGTACTATGTTTGAACCATAAAGAAAAAGAAAATCAGAACAGACCTTTTATAAGTAAAGAAATTGAATATGCAATTTAAAAAAACCTCTAAAATACAGATTATTTCAGGCTAAGATGAATTAAAGATAAATTATATAAATATTTAAATAAGAATTAATGCCAATTCTAATCACCTTTTCCCCCCAAAAAAGTGAGGAACACTTCCAAACTCATTTTATGAGACCAGTCCCTGATATAAAAGCCAGGGACATTATAAGAAAATAAAATTACAGGTCAAGATTTCTGATGAATATTGATGCAAACATTCTCAACAAAATACTAGCAAAATGAATTCAGTAGTGCATTAAAATAATTATACCCTATGATCAATTTGGATTTAGCCAAGGAATGCAAGGATGGTTAAACATATGCAAATCAATAAATGTAGTACACTACATTAGCAGAATAAAGGAAAACCTCAATCATCTCACTATATGCAGAAAAATTATTTGACAAAATTTAACATTTGTAATGATAAAAATTCTAAGTTATTGAAGGAATGTACTTTAACATAATAAATGCGATATATATCAAGCTCACAGCTAACATCATACTCAATGGTGAAAAGCTGAAAGCATTTCTTCTATAATTAGAAAGAAGACCAGAATAATCACTTTTGCCACTTTTATTTAACATACTACTGGAATTTCTATTCAGAGCAATTAGGCAAAAAGAAAAAGGAAATAAAGTCATTCAAAGTGGAAAGGAAGAGATAAAAACATTATCTATTTGCAGATGTCATGACCTTGTATGTAGAAAACCTTAAAAACTTCAGCAGAAATACTGTTAGAACTAAAAACTGAATTTAGTAACTTGGCCAAATACAAAATCACCATACAAAAACGAGTTGCTATTTTATACACTACAAACAAACTACACAAAAAAATTTAAAAATTGCATTAATAATGGCCATGAGTAGAAATAAAATTCATGGGTATATAGTTAACTAGGGAAGAGAAAAACCTATACACTCAAAACTCTTAAAAATTGAGGAAAGTCTCCCTGAGGCCTCACCAGAAGCTGAGCAAATGCCAACACCAGGTTTTCTATACAGCCTGCAGAACTGTGAGTCAATTAAAACTCTTGTCTTTATGAACTACCCAGTCTCAGGTAGTTCTTTATAGCAATGCAAAACCAGACTTTGTAATACTGTAGATCTCTGGAGGGTATTTGTCTTGCATAGCTGAAACTTTGTACGCTTCAAAATTTGCATAGCTAAAACTTTGTACCCAAATTGTTGAGATTACAGGTGTGAGCCACTGTATCTGGCCCTTTATACCCTTTCCTAACTTGATTGTTTGTTTGGTTATTCAGTGGTATAAGTTCCTTGGCTATTTTGAATATTAACCCTTTATCAGGTATATGGTTTGCAAATATTTTCTTTCAGTTCATAGGTAGAACAGACATTTTAACAATATTATCACTTTCAATTAATGAACGGGATATCTTTCAATTTATTTGTGTGTGTACTTTAATTTCTTTGGTCAATGTTGGAAGAAGGTTAAGTGGGAGCTTGTATGTTACATGGCAAGAAAAGAAGCAGAAAAGAGAACGGGGAGGTCCGAGGCTCTATTAAACAACCAGATCATGAGTGAAGTAACAGTGAGAATTCACGGGGCCGGGTACAGTGGCTCACGCCTGTAATCCCAGCATTTTGGGAGGCCGAGGTGGGTGGATCACGAGGTCAGGAGATCAAGACCATCCTGGCTAACACGGTGAAACCCCATCTCTGCTAAAAATACAAAAAAAAGTTAGCTGAGAATGGTGGTGGGTGCCTGTAGTCCCAGCTACTCGGAGGCTGAGGCAGGAGAATGGCATGAACCCGAGAGGTGGAGCTTTCAGTGAGCCCAGATCATGCCACTGCACTCCAGCCTGGGCGACAGAGCAAGACTCCGTCTTAAAAAAAAAAAAAGAGAATTCACTTACCAGCAAGGGTACCATGCTAAACTCTTCATGAGAAAACTGCTCCCATGCTCCCATGGTCCTATCACCTCCCACTTGGCTCCACTTCCAACACTGAGAATCAAATTTCAACATGAGATTTGGAGGGGACAAGCATTCAAACCATATTAGTGCCTACATATAATAATACTGAACTTGTGTATTAAATTTTGTTAAGAGAAGAAATATTAAATTTTCTTGTCATGAAAAAGCAATAATAATAATAAAGAGAGGAGGAGAAAATTTTGGAAGGTGATACACGTATGTATATAGCCTTGATGGTGGTGATGGTTTCATGGATAGATACATCCTCCAAACTCCTCAAAATGTATACATTAAATATTTACAGCAATTTATATACCAATATCTCAATAAATTATTTTAAAGAAAAAAGGAAAATATTCTTTCAATGAAATAAGAAAATGAGAAATGCAAAACTCAGGAAAAGGTAAAAATATTTCAAAACCCAGCTTAATGAAGAAAGTCCCACATCTTTCTCATTTTTACTTTGAATTTTTGCTTCCTGATCTTAATAGACCATAACACATACACACACACACACACACACACACACACACACTTCATATAAAAATAATTAACCTTTAGAGTTTATTTATAATAAACAAATAGGACTATTTGTAATAGATTTTCATTTGCCCATATTCATCACATAAGCTTTTTAAAACCTTAACTTTGCAAAGAACAGTTCCGTTTACATCTACTGTGATTATTCGTTACTGTTTTCCTAATTCATTATATAAAGAAAATATTTAAATATGCCATTAACAATTTAGAATACAAATATTGTTAAACACATTTTGAACTCATTTTCTTTGATATAAATATTTTTTATTTGCTTAAGCCTAAAGTATTTTATAATGCATTGCTCTATATGGTAGCGTGTCTGGAATTGGTGGGTTCTTGGTCTTGCTGACTTCAAGAATGAAGCCGTGGACCCTCGCGGTGAGTGTTACAGTTCTTAAAGATGGTGTGTCTGGAGTTTGTTCCTTCTGATTGTCAGACATGTTTGGAATTTCTTCCTTCTGGTGGGTTCGTGGTCTCACTGGCTTCAGGAGTGAACCTGCAGACTTTCGCGGTCAGTGTTACAGCTCTTAAGGCGGCGCATCTGGAGTTGTTCATTCCTCCTGGTGGGTTCGTGGTCTTGCTGGCCTCAGGAGTGAAGCTGCAGAACTTCACGGTGAGTGTTACAGCTCATAAAGGCAGTGTGAACCCAAACAGTGAGCACCAGCAAAATTTATTGCAAAAAGCAAAAGAACAAAGCTTCCACAATCCGGAAAGGAACCCAAGCGGGTTGCCACTGCTGGCTGGGGCAGCCTGCTTTTATTCCCTTAGCTGGCCCCACCCACATCCTGCTGATTGGTCCATTTTACAGAGAGCTAACTGACCCGTTTTGACAGGGTGCTGATTGGTGCATTTACAATCCCTGAGCTAGACACAGAGTGCTGATTGGTGTATTTACAATCCTCTAGCTAGACACAAAAATTCTCCAAGTCCCCACTAGATTAGCTAGACACAGAGCACTGAATGGTGCATTTACAAACCTTGAGCTAGACACAGAGTGCTGATTGGTGCATTTACAATCCTTTAGCTAGACACAAAAGTTCTCCAAGTCCCCCATTAGATGAGCTAGACACAGAGCACTGATTGGTGCGTTTACAAACCTTGAACTAGACACACGGTTCTGATTGGTGTGTTTACAAACCTTGAGCTAGACACAGAGTGCTGATTGGTGTATTTACAATCCTTTAGCTAGACATAAAGGTTTTCCAAGTCCCCAGCAGATTAGCTAGATACAGAATGCTGATTGGTGCATCCACAAACCTCAAGCTAGACACAGAGTGCTGATTGGTGCATATACAACCCTCTGGCTAGACATAAAAGTTGTCCAAGTCCTCACCCAACTCAGGAGCCCAGCTGGCTTCGCCTAGTGGATCCCACAGCAGGGGCCATAGGCAGAGCTGCCTGCTAGTCCCTAGCGGTGTGCCCACACTCCTCAGCCCTTGGGCGGTGGATGGGACTGGGTGCCTGGGAGCAGGGGTCAGTGCTTGTTGGGGAGGCTCGGGCAGCGCAGGAGCCCACGCTGCGGGGAGGCTCGGGCATGGCGGGCTGCAGGTCCTGAGCCCTGCCCTGCGGGAGTCAGCTGACTCCCCGCGAGAATTCGAGCACAGCACTGGCGGGCCAACACTGCTGGGGGACCCAGTGCACCCTCTGCAGCTGCTGGCCCGGGTGCTAAGCCCCGCACTGCCTGGGGGCGGTGGCACCCGCCGGGCTGCTCGGAGTACTGGGCCTGCTGAGCCCCCACCCACTCGTAGCTCACACCCACTCGTAGCTCGCGCTGGCCCTCTAGCGCCACGCTGCGCCGCACTCGCAGCCCCAGTTCCTGCCTGCGCCTCTCCCTCCACACCTCCCTGCAAGCAGAGGGAGCCGGCTACAGCCTCAGCCAGCCCAGAGAGGGACTCCCACAGTGCAGCTGCAGGCTGAAGGCTTCTCAAGTGCGGCCAGAGTGGGCGAGGAGGCCTAGGAGGCGCCAAGAGCGAGTGAGGGCTGCCAGCAGCTGTCACCTCTTAGTAGTGCTCTAAACGATGATTAATTTAAATGCTTAATTATGTAAAGACATAATTATTTCAAAAAAAAATTTAGGTTTAATTATTCCTAGTGGAAAGGATGTAGACTGAGGTGGCTTTTGTAAACAAGCTTTCCTATTATCAAGGAACACTTTATTAATAATCTTTTTGTAAAGTGATTTGCAAATGATTTGTATCATATGTCACTGCATATGATTAATCAATGCTCCTGAAAATTTGGATTTGGTCAACTTATTATTTAACTTGTAATTATTTAGCTTACATCTAGAATGTTGATAATACGATGACCTTCTCTTTTCCTGTTTTCAACGAAGGAATGCAAAATACTAGAAGTTCACAAGTAGTAGGAAATAATGTGTATTGCGGATAGTGTTGAGCTGGAAAACAGTTTGCAAATCAATCCATTATATGAACATTGGCTTGCTCGGCTGTGAGCTTCTCCCACAAAATTTGATTGTGTGATGACAGCTGGTTATGAATTACAAAAAAGAAAAATAGGTGTTCCTTTATACCAATAATTAATGGCATATTTTAAAAACATTATTTCTAGAAGACTTGAGGAATTAGTGTAAAAATAAACAGCATAGAATATCTGTTTTTGAAACTCTATAGACTCCGTATTTTTCCCCTCAAAATGATTTTTTCTTCACTTTGTCAAACAAAGCAAATGTAAATAACTAATATCTTCTCACTGAAATAATTTTCTAGAGAATGAAATGAGTATATCAAGCATTATTCATATTAGTACTAATAGTAACTTTTTCCATTTTGTGCTCTTCAATAAATAGACATCTATAGATTTAAGTTTGTTAGGCTTCCATAGATTTAAGTACCTTAGAAAGAGTATTATCATCTTGGTTTATTTGCAGTTACTATTTTCAAAAACAAAAGTGTAATAAATTTCAAAATTAATATTTTAGCTGTTACTGATATGCATACAACATGTAGATGTTAACATCAGGAAGTGTTACTTGTTTTAAAAAATCAGGTGGGTTTGGGTATATGTGTGTGTCTGAGAGACAGTAAGAGAGAGATACACTATTCAAGAATTCTCACATCTCAACAAAAAGAAGACAAGTAAATGAAGAAAATGGTTAACCCAGGTTGAATAAACCATTCACCAAAAAAAAAAGCATGGCTAATAAATACTTTAAAATATTTTAGTAGTTTTAGTAATCAAGGGAATATTGATAAATCCACAATGTGATGTCATTTCATACCAAAAAGAAGAGTTATTTTTTTAAGACATCAAACTACTGACAAGAATGTGGAGAAATTGGAAATATCTCATATATTTCAGGTGGAAATTTTAAAAAGTAAAAACGAAACGGCAAAATGGTTTAGCAATTTTTTACAAAGTTCTCAGCACACATGCTTGTATGAGAAAGTATACTCCTATGTATTTAAATAGCATAAAGAAATACAAATATAAGTCAGGAAAAGACATGTACTCAAATGCCCATACTAACTTTTTTATATAGCAAATAAAAGTGAACAAACTGCTGACAAATGCAAAGGCATCAACACAACTCATAGACATTGTGTGTAGAAATGGAATCCAGACCCAACCAAATACATCTTGTATGAATATGTGTATGCAAAATTCTAGAACAGGAAATACTAATTTATGAGGACATAAGCCACATCAATATTTACCCATGGTAAGTGGGGTGGATGCATGCAAGCTGTCACAAGATTCTGGGGTTACGGAAATTTTCTATCTTGATTGGCGTGGGGGGTTCATGGAGGTATATATGTGTGTGTGTGTTTGTGTGTGTATGTGTGCGTGTATTTGTCAATACTAAAAGAGGTATATATATCTATATATTTGTGCAGATATGTATCTGTATATATGTATATATACATATATCTATATTTGTATATATAGATATGCGTACACCTATATCATTTTTATGTTTTATATATATATACACACACACATACACACACACATATATATCCATGTATGTGTGCATGCATGTTTGTGTCACCAGCGAAGCCATCAAGGCACCCTCATATTACCTAATAATACCCACTTTCAAGGATTTAAGGCTGTTCACCTAGCAGAGTGAACAGGGTGAAGCAGTTCAGCCTAGCTTCCCCAATGTTAGCTAAGAAGTAACATGGAGACCACTTAACAAAGAAGCACTTTCTAGAAGGAGCTGCAAGACAGACTTGCTAAGAAACATACTTCACAGCGAAAGCATCAGATTTGTTGGAGATTTTCAGGAAAACTACATTCTCAACCTTAAGAGACATAAAAGGAATAAAATGTTAGACAAAAAGGAGCATATTTGTGATGAACATCAATCCATACTTTTTAAAAAAAAACATTATAATTAGACCTACATAGGTATTTATATGCTGTTGTCTATTTTTTATATGTGTGTGGTTTTAAGATATACTAACTTATTTTATGCTTGTTTACGTTCAAAAGAATTTGTTGAACTGAATGAACTGCTTTCCAACCAAAACACAAGGATGATTAAATGGAGACTTTCCACAATAAAGCGAGAGTAACTCAACATTCATATGCAAAACAAAATAAAAGAAAACCCAAAAGTCAACTTAAACATGAAACTTACACCTTTCACAACAACAAAAAATCTCAAAATATATCAGAGACTTAAAAAAAACAGGACACAAAATTTACCTACATAGCAAACCTGCACAATTACCCTTGAATGTAATAGAAAATTAAAAAAAAAAACAAAAATGGGTAAAAATATAAACCGACACTTCAGCAAGAAGATAAATAACAAATAAGTATATGAAATAATGTTCAACGTTATTTGTCATTAGAGAAATGCAACTCTAAAAAATGATGGTGTACTATTACACACCTATTAGAATGGCTAAAATCTAAACATCTGACAGTACCAATTGTTCAGAATATATGGAGAAACAAAAACCCTTATTAATTGTTATTGAGAATTCAAGCTGGTACAGTCACTTCAGAATACAAGTTAGAAGTCTTTTATTAAACAGTATTACCATATGATTCAAGAATCACACCCTAGGTATTTACTCAACTGACTTGAAAACTTATGTTCACGCAAAAACTTGCTTGAAAATCTTTATATCTGTTCTATTCATAATTGCCCCAAACTGGAACCAACCAAAATATCTTTTCATAGATGCATAGATTTAAAAAAAATACTATGGTTCATCCATACACAGAAATTGTCTGGGGTTCAGGGAAAAGTAGGGTTGAAAAGCTGAAGTACTACACAAATTTAAGACATTGACACTATTCTGTGTGATATTATAATGATGGATAAATAACAATCATCATTTGTCAGAATACATAGAACTTTATAGCACAAAGAGTGAAACTTAATGTAAGCAAATTTTGTAAAATCATCTAATATGTTGTGAGGTCTCAACATAGAAAATAGAATATGAGAAAATATTACACCTGTATTACAAATGTTGGGAACATTCTCACTGAAAGGAACAAGGGAAAAGTTATTGACCTAAGTAATTTTGGAAAAAAAGAGGAATCTGTAAGACTAAAGGCAAAATCTGTACATAAGCACTTGACTGTAGGTAGTGCAGTTGTTCCCACAGGGTTGTGGATTGAAAATCATGAATGCTATACCTGTATGAAATCAATCTTTTAAGTAAATGGATGGCAGGTGGTATGAGTTAGTTTTCCCACTGTTAGTGTAGGAGATCAGAGACAAGTAAGAAGGGAAAGGTAGAATAATTCATGTGGTACCTGATTAGAGTTATAAACATCAGTGTGAACTCATGTTTATCTTAATATAGACACAGATGTTTACATGGATAAGTATTTATAGACATCTGCATGGACATGGGTTAGTACACACATATACATTTCCTTGCTGTGTTAGCTGAGTGGGCCTAGAAGCAATGTCATCCAAGTGAGCACACTTAGCACCCAGATCTTGGTTTCCAATACCATTTCAATACAGGAGCCAAGAATTATTGGAGAAATGGTTGACATTATAACTGGAGAAGAAAACACACAAGATTAGCCTACAGCAACTTGTAAAGTCTGAAAGTAATGAAGTGCTTAGAAAACACTACAATGGTAGGGATAGGTCAATGGGAAATAGGAGCCAACTGAAAGAGCACCCAATGGCCAAAGCTAGAATAACTTGAACAATAAAATAAATAAAATTATTTTGGAACATAACCTAAAATTTAAAATTAACACCCATGTTGCAGGACAATATAAGGAATTAATACATTAGGTAATGAATGACAGAGAATAAAAACATGTCCTATTCACTGGAATTTAAATAATTTATGTAGATATTCTGGCATTAAGGTTATGTAGCATAAATCCTCACTCTGTAAGTGTGGGCTGCATAGAGTGACTTCTTTCCAAAGTTTGCCGAATGGAGAGTGGAAAAATTGTAACTCTAATGTAGAAAAAACCTGGCAAACATCACCTCATCCTAGGTGATCAAGATGAACATCAACATTGATAACTCAGGTTGATAATACATACACTTGATAAGATAGGATGAACATAGCACGTTATCACTACGATTTTCTTTTTCCAAAATGCATAATTCCAGTGTAATGAAAAAAAACATTAGACAAATTCCTATTTGAATAATGATGTGAAATATGGAGGAACATTTCACAGTTACTTGTCCAGTACTGCTCAAAATTATCAAGGTTATCAAAAACAAGGAAAGTCCGAAAAACTATCATAGTCAAAAGCAGCCTAAGGATACATGACAATTTAATGTGATGTGGCATTCTGGACAAGTTTCAGGAGGAAAAAAAATAGGGAAAAATTAATGGGAAATTTTAATAATGGTAACAGAATACACAAAATTATAACCAGTCATAAATGTATTTTTTTTAGTAAATCAGTAAAGAGAAAAAAATATAATCAAAGTATGGGAAAGAGATAGTAACAATCACTGTTTCCAGATATTTAAACAAAATATTTTTCTGGTGGTCTTATGTGAAAATTGTTTACTTTATTAAGCTATTTGCTTTCCATTGTTATTGGATCATCTATGACTGCTTTTGGAGGTTCTCTAATTAAAATACTTTATTAGTACTTTATTAATTATTTTATTTTATTAATTATCATGATTTGAGGATGGCTTATGTTAGTAGTTAAGTGTACACCCAAAGGGAAATGTTTTTTAACTTCATTGGGAGAGCACCATAAGGTAATTTACATTGAATATCAATATCAATCTGGCAGTGATTAAGGATACATCATAGTCACATAGAAGACAATTAGATAGTTGGAGAGTCAAAATATCCTGTACTTATTATTGATAGAAAAGACTATACTTCTTAAGTTCCTCACAACATTTAGATAGATAAAAATGTAAAGGATTGAATTCAGAATCAGTTCTTAGACTGAAGCTATGACTCCCTCAAAGATAAGAATGCACTGTCATGACAGCTAAGAAAAGTACTTTAACCCATGGGATTTCAAGGTTATTTGCTAGTTCAACTAATTTCTATGCTAATGTTTCATTTAATTTTTTATCTTATTCATATTATTTGCCATAATAAGTACAATGAGTCTCCTGAGTAAAAGGCAATGTTTTTTTGTATTGTTTACACATAACTGTTGTGGGAAAATGTACTTCTTCATCACTAAATAAGTAAATTGGTATAATCTAAGTATTGTCATAGTTTGCTAAGGCACAGGTATGCTGCTTTTTAAATAGGCAAAAGTTTCAACACAAAAAACATATATTCATTAATGTATTTTCTTACCTTATCGTGGGAAGCAGCAACATAAAATTCATCTAGAGGTGCTTGTATCTTCCCATAGGATACAGTTCTCGTGTATGTGCTACCCTTACAGCGTTTTCAGCATGTTGTTGGTTACAGATGAATCATGAGTTGCTATTTCAGAGTGGTTTTCCCAGCAGTGTTTGACTCTATTTAGAGAGTTGTCTCATTATGTCCACTTGAGGTTTCTGGTCCCAATACACAGCCACCTGGCTTTGCTAATTATTTTCCATTTGTTCTGACAAGCTGATTTTTCCTAGTATATTTTCAGGCTCAGGAGTCAGAGATTGTGCATCTACGGCAAAATCTACAAATGTCTCCATGGATTTGTCTTTGCAAAAAAACTTAAGTCAGAACACTTTATTTAGCATAACGATTTGCTAAAGCATTTTCTCTAACTTTTATAGTATATATATATATTTTTTACTGTGGGCTAGTGCCATTCATTTTTGTGTGTTCAATATTTTTGTTAGATGCATTGAGACAATAATTCAATCACATATTTCTTGTCCATTTTTTAACATGTTACGGAGAAGGTTAACTCACAATTTTGTTTCTAAAGCATTTCAAAATCAGGAAATACATAAAAGTGTCATGAATATTAGAGTACATTTTAGCCTTCCATGTTTAGTGATTTGTAATGCCCCAGGCAGACCATAAGTTTGGCCACTGAGTCAATTTGGAATTTGATAATAGCTTTGATTCTTCAAAGAAGTCTAGAGTAGTTCTTGCAAAAATAGGCTAAAACTGTAAAATTTTCCATTTTTTTTAATAAAACATATGAAAAATGACATTGTCAGTATTTACTTAACTACAGCGGTGTCTAAAGATCTATTCTTGGCATAGACATGAACAAAATTCAATAATATTATCATGAGTTTCTCACTCATAGATCAGCATAATAGTATTTCTTGAATCACAGTGTTACATTGGCAGATAGAATTATAAGAAACAAACAGTACTGTGATTAATTAATTGTCAGGAAGATGTTAGGGACTCTCCCTTAGCAATAAGGATTGGATTACACTTGGTGACATTAGATTTAATGGTAATCATAGTTCAACAAAGATGTGTTGATTAATTTAACGAAGACTGAAATTGTTCTGAAGCAAAGATAAGCTTGGCTACTGAATTAAGAGATGATGGGTTATAATAGACAGTGGATCTTGTTATATAACATATTGTTGAGATAAAATTATAGAACATGGCTTAACTTTTCGTGTAATGTGTATATATATATATGCTTGTATGTGTGTATTTGTATATTTATGTGTGTATCTTGATATGACATTGTTGAACAGGTATTTTTAGATTGTATGAAGGACTTGGTTTCTATATTTCATGGAGTTAGTTTCAATATCCTAGTCAAACACATAGAAGCATTACTATTTCAAAAAATTAGGGGGCTGGGCTCAGTGGCTCACGCCTGTAATCCCAGCACTTTGGGAAGCCGAGGCGGGCAGATCATCTGAGGTCAGGAGTTCAAGACCAGCCTGGCCAACATGGTGAAACCCCATCTCTGCTAAAAAAAAATACAAAAATTAGCTGGGCGTGGTGGTGCGTGCCTGTAATCCCAGCTACTAAGGAGGCTGAGGCAGGAGAATCACTTGAACCCAGGAGGTGGAGGTTGCAGTGATCGGAGATCATGCCACTGCACTCCAGCTTGGGCAACAAGAGTGAAATTCCATGTCAAAAAATATATATATATATATATATATATAGATGCTAATTGCACAACAAATATGTTACTATCAGAAATCCTTGTATGATTATTTTAGTAGTTTGTCTTAAGTAACTTTGAATTATTTGTGATGTACCCTTAGATAATATTCTTTCTTCACCTAAGTTTTTATTACTATTCAGACAGATTAGAAAATAAATGTATAGAATTGTGATAGAATGTCATCTCAAAGATGAGCACACCCTAATTTTTCTAACCTACAAATATATTATCTTACATAGCAAAAAAAAGAAAAAGATTTTGCAGATGTGATTAAGTTAAGGACCTTGGAATAGAGAGATTACCTGTATAATTTTACTAAGGACGGTCGAGCAGAATCATATGGGTTCCCATAACAGGGAGGCAAGCAGGTCACAGTCACAGAAAAGAGATGTGAGGACAGAAGCAGTGGTTGGAATAATGTGCTTTGAACAAGGAAGATGATCATGAGTCAAGGAATGCAGGTGGCTCCAGATGCTGAAAAAAGAAAGAAAATAAATTATCCCATGGAGCCTCCGGAATAAACCAGCCCGGCTGACACCTTAGCTGTAGACCAGCGAGACTTATTTTGACCTCCTGACTTCCCAAATTGTACATATTGCTTATTTTTAAATATAAAACTCTAAGTTTGTGGTAATTATTATAGCAGAAACTAATAATAGACAAGTACTACAAGAATCAGAGAGTTCTCTCATGTATTACTAGCATGACCCCACAAGGAAAGTACATATCCTTAAAATTCTGGTGTAAGGTTTATGATGAGGAATATTGAGTTTCAATGTATCTTTGCAGCATGTTTGCAATATATATGTACTGGGTGTTTCATTTGTTCCTTCTCAATTCTTAGAATAAAAGGATATATGTAAACATTTTGAGGGGGAGAAGGCATTATGTAAAGGGACATTATTGGGCTTTTAGTAGTAACATTTATTTTTCTAGGGCTCTTTGAAAATGTTCAGGCACATATAGGAGAGTTTCTAATTACATGATTTGCCTTCCAAAATATTTATTATTTTTTTCTGACTAGATCTCCTATTTCAAGTATGAATGCATTTTCAAAAAACAGTACAAATCTCCCTTTACCTTGTTAGTTTTTTCTACCACAGAATATTGTGTTAAAGTTTCCTGAAGCCTAATTTTAAAATCTCAAATTGATTTCACTGTATTTTGATTGCGACTTTGAATCTTAGCCTGTTTACTCTGAGATAAAAAACCTTTAAAATGCTCTTATGCCATGTATTTTTTACGTTTCTTGTGCTATCAAGATTATTAAAAATAAATAAATACAGTTGGTTTACATGAATCCTGTCTTACTGTTTTCTTCCTTGTTTCCTTTAAATACATTTTGCATCTGAAGTAATAATAATAAAGTCAAATAATTGGTATTAAACTTGCTCTAGGACAATAAGCCTCTATTAAATCCTGAATTTTGGTGTCAGATTTTAATCTTTGTGTGTGTATGTGTGTGTGTGTGTGTGTGTGTGTGTGTGTGCTTTAGGAAAATCTTTTGATTGTAAAATTCAGTTGCATTCTATACCCCAGGATTTAGATTTAACTTCTAAAGATATTCCTTCTGGATTAGTAATTCTAAGACGTTTGTGTGCCATGTGAGTTTCTTTTACATGAAAAAGATGTAAAAGCTTAAGACAAATTTATTTGGTTCATGTTTTAGGTTTTGTTTCTTAACAAAAGAAACAAACTTTTAAAGTAAATGAGTATATGGAGAAGTTAAAGTTGAAATATTTATATATATACACACTATATATATTCTAATATAAATATATATTTTATATAATATAAATATAATTTGTATAAATATATATTTTATATAATATAAATATATTTTGTATAAATATATATTTTATATAATATAAATATATTATATTTTGTATAAATATATATTTTATATAATATCAATATATTATATTTTGTATAATATCAATATATATTATATTTTGTATAATATCAATATATATTATATTTTGTATAATATCAATATATTATATTTTGTATAATATAAATGTATTATATTTTGTATATCAATATATTATATTTTGTATAATATCAATATATTATATTTTGTATAATATCAATATATTATATTTTGTATAATATCAATATATTATATTTTGTATAATATAAATATATTATATTTTATATGATATAAATATATATATTTATATAAGTATATTTATATGATATAAATATATATTATATAATATAAAATATATTTATATTATATAAATATATATATTATATTATATAATATATATTTATTTTATATAATATAAATATATATTTATATAATATAATATATATATTTATATAATATATGTTTAGAGACAGAGGGAGTGAGAGAGAGAAAGAGAGAGGAAATAGAGGAAGAGAAACAGAAAAATGCAGAGAAAAGGAAAAAGAGAGAAGATATTCCAGGAAGTTTAGTTTCAGAAGGCTTTAAGTAGAATCATATGTGACAGAAAATGTTTCAAGGATAAAATAATATTGGATTATTTTGGTAGAGGCAGAAGACAGAAATTCTAGGCAGACAGGGGCGGGTCCCTTGTGTTACCCCACCTTCATGCAGAAAAGCCTGAAACCCATGGCCCAAAGTGAAAATTTCTATCCCTGTTTGTCTACTCTCCCAATCATTTTTTTCTGAATAATGTCTTTTTACCAATAGAATGTTGCCTTTTCCAAAACTACCTACAACCACCCACTCAACCCATCCTGTGCCCCAGACTCAGTAGAAGAGAGAGAGGCGACTTGACTTTAGAGGGATGGCTGGACTTAGGAGGAGAGATGGCTTGACTTCGGAGAGATAGCTTGACTTCAAGGAAGAGCTGACTGGAGACCGCTGGACTTCAGGGGAAGATGACCTGTCCTTCCGGTCCCCTCTAGCTCCTCTCTCCACTGACAGCCATTTCCATTGCTAAGTAAAATTATCTGCCTCCACAATCCTTCAAGTGTCCATGTGACCTCATTTTTCTTGGATGCTAGGCAAGAGCTCTGGTATCCACTAAGGGTGGGTACCTAAAAAGAGGTTGTCACACTGGCCCTTTGTTCTAGCTGGCAGAGGGCAGCCACCCCATGTGACTAGGCATGCGGCCAACTGAGCTGATAACACACTTCTGACCATGGACAACAGAGCTAAGACAGCATTGTAACAGGGTCACAGACACCCCCACCTGGACACCACCATGGGGCCTGCATAGACCTTGCTCCTGCCAGTACCTAAAATAGTTGGCCAGATCCTGCGCTTATTCACTCAGGCCTAGTCTGGCCGCTGGGTGCAAATGGAGCTTGTTCCTGCTGGTGCCCAAAGGGGCTGACCATATCCCACACTCACACACTCACGTGCTCCCTCACACGAGGGGCTGAGCGCTGTGGGCTGAGTGAACAGGGCTCCCCCACTGCAAGTCCCATGAAGGGGTCAAGAAAAATCCTGCATGAATTTCATTTTTAATCACACGCATTCAAATCAAAAGAATTTGGTCATTGTTTGGTATTTTTGCCTTCGTGGTTTTCTAGAGTCGTTGTTAGTATTAATTAAGACATGTCATAAATTCAACATAATGATCGATATAATTTTAAGTCACTTTTAGTGAAATATTGTCATTTGCAAAGAAAAGTGTAAGATTAGGGTTATGTAGTAGTATATACATACGATGCAAGCTCATGCTACCTGGATTTTACGGCTTTCACTCAGAAAATTCATGGGAAACAAAAAAGTCACTATAGTCAGTCCAAACTGTGTGCCTATTAATTTTCAAAGAAAGAATATGAAATAGTGACAAGATTAGTTCAGTAACTATAGATCCCAGACTATGAACCTCATTTAATTTTTAGTTGCTTTTTTTTTCATCTTGTTTATTACTTTGAGAACAAACTCAAAATATGAGTGTGGTGTGCTACAGTGGAAATATAATAAACTTTGAAGTCAGGAAGACACAAATTCAAATCCCATCTAGGTTACCTATGAACTAGGTTCCTGATCGTCTGTGAGGAACATTAGTAAGCTAAGATGAGGCTACTAATAACCATGTCAAGATAACTGTACTTATTCAGCAAGTTAAAAAATATAAAATACCTACTACGACTGGTAATTAGCAAGTATTGTCTCATTAAATATTAAGACAATTAAATATTAGTTTCCTCATCATTGTGGAAGTCAACCTAAATGATAAAATAAAATAGAATAAAGAATACTTTATTAATAAACAAAGGAAAGTATTTACTAAAGTTAACCAGAGAAAGTGGCCTACTAAGAATATTAACTTTTCTTTTTTCTTTTGACTCATAAATCCAGTGCTTTGTTTTATACTACCCAAAAAATTTTCACGCCTTCTTAAAATATTCTGGATCCAAGTAGTTATTAGTGCATTTGTTTTGTTTTCAATCTGTCTCTTCTTTTAAAGCCATTTAATATCTGTGCCTTAAAGGCTTGACTGACAGACCGAAATCTCTCACCAATTTCTTCAAAAGGATTTAGGTTGTACTTAGGCAAATGAATTCCCAGTAGCCTGTCTCCGAATTCTTCTTGAGAACACAAAATAGAAACTTACATAAATTTGAAAGCATAGATAAGTAATAAAGCATTAAAATGAAATATACTAAACTGGAAAATGTAACACTTTTAAGAAAGTAATCAGAAATAAATCATTGCAAAGCACTTTTATTCAAATATTTTTATTTGAAAATAGCAATGAATTATAGAACACAAGTGCATCTTATATTAAGTTTATCATCAGGTAATTTTTGGAATAATTGAAAATGACTCTCTTTTATTCCGCACAGAAAACCATTTAGCTCAATTTTATAATCAGGAAGTGCTTTATTATAGTAGTTTTATTCTTTGTTCTCCATGATTTTATTTTTCAGCAAACCAACCAATTTAGAACGTTATTTGTAGTCATTAAATTTAAAGTTATTCCCAAGTTACTATAGAACTACTTAGTAAAGATAGCAATCTTACGAGCTGCTATCAGCCTCACTGCAATCCTGACGGTTTATGAAAGAAAAAGATGAGAAAGAAATACTGTATTTTCACAAGAAGCAGATAACTTTTTCTTATTAACTTTGGGCTATGTTTCTTTCTTTTTTTCATTCTTTTTATTTTTTTTCCATTAGACAGTTTCAGGAGTACCGGGGCCTAATCCATCTACCACTTTTAAGTCTTGAGTATTCATATCAAACATTTAAAACCATAATTTACCAACATTGTTAACATAGAAGTTTGCCAGTTTTCAAGAGATATTGACATTGTTTTGTAAAACTACAAACCTAGGTCTGAACAAAATGTTATATATATCATGCTAAAAATATTTATAAAAAAATTTAAAATATGCTTTTATTATGTTCTTAACACTGTACATTTACATTTGCATAGAGTGAATAGAATCATATTCTGCATACTTAAATAATATACATCTGAAAAGTTCACATCCATTGGTGATATTATACCAAATTATTCAAGTATTCTGTAACATGTGTTATATAATACTTTGTCTACAAATGAACAAAACACTTTTGGAAAATAAGTTTCACTAGTTTTAAAAAGTAATACTTGGAAACAATACTGATACTTCAAGAAGATCTGTACTAATTGCACACTACCTACCTATTAATCCAAGTCGTTAGTTTCACTTTAGGCAAATTGCTTAATTTCTCTAATTCTCCTTGTTTCCATCTGTAAAATAAGTAAAGTATGTACCTTAACTTAAGGTTTCTCTAGACACTGATTTAGAAGGACAATGCACAGCAGATAGCAAGATACATGGCACATGACAATCATTCAATAAATATAATAATATATTATTATTAATACTATTGCTATTTTTTCCAGTTTGGGTTTCCCAGGAAGCCAACTGAGGAGTTTATAGCTCAGGATAAATTTATTTAGGTGGGCTCTCAGGCTTAACATAACTGGAACTGAAGGGAAGGGATCAGGAATGGCTAGAGAAAGAAGCTGAGCTGTGATACAGGCCTACTGACAGCTTTGGCCATCCCCACTACGAGTTCTGGAGCCGAAAGGGCCCTTCAGGGTTGTCCCAAGTCAGGCCTTAATGTCCAGGCCTTTAATCTCCTGAGTGGATCAATTATTTGATGTGGACACCCTGCGGAGGGAAGTGGTGTTGGGAAGGCAGCTCTGTGCAGCTGACGCAATTTCTGAAGGAGCTGATAGCTGAAGGCTAACTTTTAACAGCCCTCTCTGTACTGAGGCAACAGATTCTTCTTTGAAGGAGAAATTAAGTGGCACATTACAGCATCTGCCACAGTTATTAATGTCCAATCATAATTCTTCAGTTAATTTTCAGTACCATCAATATTGTAAAATCAAATTATTACAATTCATCTTACTTTTCAAGTTTTTCAATATCTTTCATAGAAAATGATTACCAAATCAGTAAATCATAATGCTATTTTCAGAAAATTTAATATTAATTTTTATAATAGATATTTTCATCCTCTATTGGTATACCTGATGAACAATCTCTCTTATATTAAAAGTAATTTGCGAATGAGTCATCAGAAGAGTTTACTTTGGCCCTTGGGAAAAGAAGGTAACCTTGTTGAACATTGTTAAATATGCCAACTACCTTTGTAACAACTTACTGAATTTCCAGGACCAGATGGGAGTGAAAGTGAAGGTTGAATTTCCTCTAACGCTTTGCTGTTGTTTATATGCATGCTATGTAAGTAATACTTAAGTTCCATTCCACATTGAGTCTGCATGAGAAATCTACACTTAAAATGGCATTCATCCGGTGTTAAACAAGTTCTAGAAAATAATGAACCACTTTACATGCGGAATCTCTTATTTTAATTTCATAACAATTCTTCCCTTTTTGCAGAGGAGGAAACTGAGTTTTGGAGGTTAAATAACTCATGTAAGAGAAAAAATAATTTGAACTCAGGGAGTTATATTCCAAAGCTTATGCCCTTAAACAGACACCTCTTGACTATCTTAGCCTCTTGGATAAAAACAACAACAAACCACCACCCATCTGTCACTTTCCTGAGTCTAATAGATTTTATAAAATAATTGTATACCTGTGCGGGGGGGATGGTGGGGGAGGTTAATTACAGAAAGATACATTTAGAAGTTAATATCCAGGCTCTTAAATTGTCTTCTTATCATTTCAACACAGAGCATTCCCCTTGTCCTTCAATTTAAAAAGCTTCAAATTTATGCCATTTCTCTGGCTCTTCTCCCCTTGTCTGCTTGTATGGCTTTAACTCCACTTTTTTTCAACAGTGTTAAATCAAAACCACAAAACCTAAAACTCCACAAATTCTTTAAAATCTGACTTTCAGAGCAACTCAACCACCATACAATTTACAAATAGATTTTCTACATGGTGGCTCATGAACAGTGTTTTAGATGTCGGTAAAGGGGTGCTTCACATCTTCTCACACATTGAGCAAAATATGTAATGATTTTTAGGACTTTCTTAAATAACAAATTTATGATTACTTCAATTCCTCATGTCAACAAGTAATTAATGATTTGAAAATATTTTCTCGACCTTCCTGATACTTCAATATTATGGATTTGATCTGTGAAAAGTAAAACTAAGACCTGATACCCGTAAGCTCTAAGATTATACGATCCTAAAGTTTCATATTTAGTAGATAAAATGAAATTTCCAGATTTTATGCTAGCCAACAGGTAGCCAAAAGTGATCCGATTTTTAGGTTTGTTTTTATGAATGTGTACTATAGATTAAATACACATTTTCGATCAATTTAAATATAAGTTTAAACATCATTGGGAATTTTAATAATAATAAAGAATCCAATCAAATTATTGAAATAATCAACTCTTATCAAAATATGTCATCTTGATTCACTTTGAAAAAAATTATATTGCTAAGGGAATAATGTAACAAGGTCCATAGGTTCACGTAGAATTATTACTTCTTATTGTTAAAGTAACTTAAAACTAGTTATTTTTAGCTTCTTATTCAAATGACTGTATTTAAAATGCTCATGTACGTATGTTTGGGTGGTTTGATATACAGATGAATCTGTATTAATCCCATGGATAATTGTTTGTGTTAATTTGGTGTTCTATTAAAAATAAAAATAAAAATAAAAAATTTTAACCTTCCTTCTACACCCACTTTACTGTTGCCCTTGATTTAAAAGTACAAAATTTATAATTTTTATATCATTAAAATATACATTTAAAAGTAACAGTTTTCACAAGATTTATTCTTCAGACAAGAGAAAGCATACTGAGAGGTGACAGCGTGCTAGCAGTCCTCACAGCCCTCGCTCGCTCTCGGCGCCTCCTCTGCCTGGGCTCCCACTTTGGCGGCGCTTGAGGAGCCCTTCAGTCCACCGCTGCACTGTGGCAGCCCCTTTCTGGGCTGGCCAAGGCCGGAGCCTGCTCCCTCAGCTTGCAGGGAGGTGTGGAGGGAGAGGCGCCAGCGGGCACCGGGGCTGTGCGCGGCGCTTGCGGGCCAGCTGGAGTTCCGGGTGGGCGTGGGCTTGGCGGGTCCCGCACTGGGAGCAGCCGGCAGGCCCTGCCGGCCCCCGGCAATGAGGGGCTTAGCACCCGGCCAGCGGCTGCGGAGGGTGTACTGGGTCCCCCAGCAGTGCCAGCTCACCGGCGCTGCGCTCGATTTCTCACCGGGCCTTAGCTGCCTTCCCACGGGGCAGGGCTCTGGACCTGCAGCCCGCCATGCCTGAGCCTCCCACCCACTCCATGGGCTCCCGTGCGGCCCGAGCCTCCCAGATGAGCGCCGCCCCCTGCTCCAAAGCGCCCAGTCCCATCGACCACCCAAGGGCTGAGGAGTGCCCGCGCACAGCGAGGGACTGGCAGGCAGCTCCACCTGCAGCCTCAGTGCAGGATCCACTGGGTGAAGCCAGCTGGGCTCCTGAGTCTGGTGGGGACATGGAGAACCTTTAGGTCTAGCTCAGGGATTGTAAATACACCAATCAGCACCCTGTGTCTACCTCAGGGTTTGTGAATGCACCAATCGACACTCTGTATCTAGCTACTCTGGTGGGGCCTTGGAGAACCTTTATGTCTAGCTCAGGGATTGTAAATATACCAATCAGCACTCTGTATCTAGCTCAAGGTTTGTAAACACACCAATCACCACCCTGTGTCTAGCTCAGGGTTTGTGAATGCACCAACCCACACTCTGTATCTAGCTAATCTGGTGGGGACGTGGAGAACCTTTGTGTCTAGCTCAGGGATTGTAAACACACCAATCTGCGCCATGTCAAAACAGAGCACTTGGCTCTAACAATCAGCAGGATGTGGGTGGGGCCAGATAAGAGAATAAAAGCAGGCTGCCAGAGCCAGCAGTGGCAACCTGCTCGGGTCCCCTTCCACACTGTGTAAGCTTTGTTCTTTCACTCTTTGCAATAAACCTTGCTACTGCTCACTCTTTGGGTCCACACCGCTTTTATGAGCTTAACACTCACCGCGAAGGTCTACAGCGTCACTCCTGAAGGCAGCGAGGCCACGAGCCCACCGGGAGGAACGAACAACTCCAGACGCGCCACCTTAAGAGCTGTAACACTCACCACGAAGGTCTGCAGCTTCACTCCTGAGCCAGCGAGACCGTGAACCCACCAGAAGGAAGAAACTCTGAACACATCCGAACATCAGAAGAAACAAACTCCAGACGCGCCACCTTAAGAGCTGTGACACTCACTGCGAGGGTCCGTGGCTTCATTCTTGAAGTCAGTGAGACCAAGAAGTCTTCATTCTTGAAGTCAGTGAGACCAATACTATTTTAAAATACTAAGAAAAATTGAAATAAAATTTGAAATAAATAGTCTTATATGCTTGCTTGTTTGTTAAAAAAGATATTGCAATAACTTTATTGGGTGCATTGGAAAGAGTAAAAGAAGATTATTTCATTCATGGACATTTTTTCCTTACCTTAAGAAAAAGTATTACACTTAGTATGATTTCTTTTTTTTTTTTTTTTTTTTTTGAGACGGAGTCTCGCTCTTTCGCCCAGGCTGGACTGCAGTGGCGCTATCTCGGCTTACTGCAAGCTCCGCCTCCCGGGTTCACGCCATTCTCCTGCCTCAACCTCCCGAGCAGCTGGGACTACAGGCACCCGCCACCATGCCCGGCTAATTTTTTTTTTGTATTTTTAGTAGAGACGGGGTTTCACCATATTAGCCAGGATGGTCTCGACCTCCCGACCTCGTGATCCACCCGCCTCGGCCTCCCAAAGTGCTGGGATTACAGGCGTGAGCCACCGCGCCCGGCCTGTATGATTTCTTATTATAGAAATACTAAGTGTAAATGATACAAGATGTGTTTCCCTGGCTTTAATGTCAATTTCATGTGGCCAAACGTGAGAAAAATTGAGACTGAAACGTTTGGGGCAAGATGAGATAGAATTGAGGTGTTCAAAAGCATAAGACATGAAGATCAAAAAGTATTTTACTCCAAGCTCATATTTATAAAATGTGAAATAAAAAATACATTAGAAAGGAATTGCAAGTTTATTCTCAGTGATATTTACTTTTTAAATTCACGTTGGTGCAATTCAACCTTAAAAAAAAAATCTCTGCTTTATCCTAGGTGCTATTTTAAAGTATTAAGGAAATGAATGTTTAATACAACTTTATAAGATTTGTTTGAAGTAATCTGACCAACTCTACTCCTCAAAGCTCTACTGTGCTAACAATTGAGACTTTTTAAAATATATATATATATATATATTAATCTGGAAGAAAATTAACCAATTACATCTTCTAATGTTGATAATGTACAATAATTTTTTCAATAAGTGTTTCTAATTTTGCCATATTTTCTACAACCAGCTGATATTGTCTTTAAATTATTTAAAAAGTTTTACAAAATTCTGCAACAATTCAACAACCTCTTATTTTTACCACTCCAAGGTCTTGTGGGTGATAGGTACAGGCCTTTCCAATATAAACATAAGCAGGCATTTTCTCTGGGATCTTAGGCAGCGACATCTTGGGGGACTTCACCTAAGGATTTTCTTTTTTTTTTCCAAGTTTTTTTTTTTTAATTATACTTTAAGTTCTAGGGTACATGTGCACAACGTGCAGGTTTGTTACATTTGTATACATGTGCCATGTTGGTGTGCTGCACCCGTTAACTCGTCATTCACATTAGGTATATCTCATAATGCTATGCCTCCCCCCTCCTCCCACCTCACAACAGGCCCCAGTGTGTGATGTTCCCCTTCCTGTGTCCCAGTGTTCTCATTGTTCAATTCCCACCTATGAGTGAGAACATGCGGTGTTTGGTTTTTGTCTTTCTGATAGTTTGCTGAGAATGATGGTTTCCAGCTTCATCCATATCCCTACAAAGGACACGAACTATCCTTTTTTATGGCTGCATAGTACTCCATGGTGTATATGTGCCACATTTTCTTCATCCAGTCTATCACTGATGGACATTTGGGTTGGTTCTAAGTCTTTGCTGTTGTGAATAGTGCCACAATAAACATACGTGTGCATGTGTCTTTATAAAAGCATGATTTATAATCCTTTGGGTATATACCCAGTAATGGGATGGCTGGGTCAAATGGTATTTCTAGTTCTAGATCCCTGAGTAATCACCACACTGTCTTCCACAATGGTTGAACTAGTTTACAGTCCCACCAACATGGTAAAAGTGTTCCTATTTCTCCACATCTTCTCTAGCACCTGTTGTTTCCTGACTTTTTAATGATTGCCATTCTAACTGGTGTGAGATGGTATCTCATTGTGGTTTTGATTTGCATTTCTCTGATGGCTAGTGATGATGAGCATTTTTTCATGTGTCTTTTGGCTGCCTAAATGTCTTCTTTTGAGAAGTGTCTGTTCATATCCTTCACCCACTTGTCGATGGGGTTGTTTATTTCTTGTAAATTTGTTTGAGTTCTTTGTAGATTCTGGATATTAGCCTTCTGTTGGATGAGTAGATAGCAAAAATTTTCTCCCATTCTGTAGGTTGTCTGTTCACTCTGATGGTAGTTTCTTTTGCTGTGCAGAAGCTCTTTAGTTTAATTAGATTCCAGTTGTCAATTATGGCTTTTGTTGCCATTGCTTTTGGTGTTTTAGACATGAATTGCTTGCCCATGCCTATGTCCTGAATGGTATTGCCTAGGTTTTCTTCTAGGGTTTTTATGGTTTTAGGTCTAACATTTAAGTCTTTAATCCATGTTGAATTAATTTTTGTATAAGGTGTAAGGAAGGGATCCAGTTTCAGCTTTCTACATATGGCTAGCCAGTTTTCCCAGCACCATTTATTTATAGATTCAATGCCATACCCATCAAGCTACCAATGACTTTCTTCACAGAATTGGAAAAAACTACTTTAAAGTTCATATGGATCCAAAAAAGAGCCCGCATTGTCAAGTCAATCCTAAGCCAAAAGAACAAAGCTGGAGGCATCATGCTACCTGACTTCAAACTATACTACAAGGCTACAGTAACCAAAACAGCATGGTACTGGTACCAAAACAGAAATATAGAGCAATGGAACAGAACAGAGCCTTCAGAAATAATACCACACATCTATAACCATCTGATCTTTGACAAACCTGACAAAAACAAGAAATGGGGAAACAAATGAGACTTTATTCAGAGCTCTAGGATCAGTCCATCTACTAGGTTCCAGAGGTTGCCTTGAATCATTCAGAGGGAATTAAGAAATCCTAGGTTACTATCTCAGGTTGAATTACTAGGTCATTCTTAATGCAAATCCAAAGCACAATGAGATGCCATCTCACACCAGTTAGAATGGCAATCATTAAAAAGTCAGGAAACAACAGGTGCTGGAGAGGATGTGGAGAAATAGGAACACTTTTACACTGTTGGTGGGACTGTAAACTAGTTCAACCATTGTGGAAGACAGTGTGGCAATTCCTCAAGGATCTAGAACTAGAAATACCATTTGACCCAGCCATCCCATTACTGGGTATATACCCAAAGGATTACAAAGACACATGCACATGTATGTTTATTGCGGCACTATTCACAATAGCAAAGACTTGGAACCAACCCAAATGTCCATCAGTGATAGACTGGATGGAGAAAATGTGGCACATATACACATGGAATACTATGCAGCCATAAAAAAGGATGAGTTCATGTCCTTTGTAGGGACATGGGTGAATCTGGAAACCAGCATTCTCAGCAAACTCTCGCAAGGACAAAAAAACAAACACTGCGTGTTCTCACTCACAGGTGGGAATTGAAAAATGAGAACACTGGGACACAGGAAGGGGAACATCACACACCGGGGCCTGTTGTGGGGTGGGGGGAGCAGGGAGGGATAGCATTAGGAGATATACCTAATATAAATGACGAGTTAATAGGTGCAGCACACCAACATGGCACATGTATACATATGTAATAAACCTGCACGTTGTGCACATATACCCTAAAACTTAAAGCATAATTTAAAAAAAGAAAAAAATAAATACTAGGCCATTCTTAAAGACACTGGGACACTGCTTATACTCTGATCCTAGTAATTGGGTTTAGGCCTTGTTTTGTTGTCAGTCCTTTAGTTATAGAAGAGAATACCTTATTTATTTTCCTACTTTTAAAATCTGTTCATGACCTTGTTCTACCTGAACTATATTTCTAAGTAATGACTCTGAACTCTGAACTAATGACAGCTGACTTAAGTCCTCCTACCTGAAAAATGTCCTTAATGTTAAACCTGAGCTTGTCTGTTTGTTACTGCAAGGTCTGTTGTCCTACAGCAAATAACAGAGCCCACATTTCTCTCTTGACAGCCACATATTTAACTCTTCCTATGCCTTCTTCTTCCTATCTATACAGAGCGAAACCTTTCTTCTATCACCATCCGCTCTAGAAACCATGATGTACTCCCAGACAATGGAGCATCTGTGCCTGCTTTAATTTTCTACTTGTCACATCTGCTGTTTATTGCTCTGAAATCTGTAATCATGAGTAAGCTCCCAAGGGGACTTTTTATAGTTACTGACCCAAAGGAACTTAATATATATTTCATGTATGCATGTACATATATTAAAGGGCTAGGAATATTATGAGGGGGATAATAATGTAAATCATGAATAACACATAAATGTTTTATATTAAGTGTTACAAAAGAGATAACATTTTATGGGTGTTTGAAGGAAGAAGTCATATCTAACTAAGGGAAGGCATGATGACAGAATGTCTCAGGTAGCAATTTCATAACAAGGTGATAAAAATTGATACCTATAGAGTGGATTTTAGAATTTCTTTGCTAATATTGGTAAATATAAAGCAAGAGTAACTGTGTCTGAATCTCTGCTCTGTGTGATCTTTTACAAGTAATAACACTGCTTTGCTTGATTTTCCTCATCCAAAAAAAGAGGATTTATCACAGAGCGTTAGAGGATCAAATTAGTTACTATAATAATTACTATTTTAACAAAGTTAAACATTTCCTGGCATGAGGAAATGCCAGGACATTTGGCAATTAACTTTATTAGTAGTAATAATTAGTAATTATTACTGTCATCATCACCAGGATTATCATTTTTATTATCATCATCATCTTATTAAGGAAAACGGTAAAAATAAGACAATTGGAGGCAAGCAGTGTGACATATATTGGATAGAATGAAGGTAATTCTGCTTATATGTTATTATTTTAGGTTGCTTTAAAAAATTAAATTGGGTTTGAAAAGAGATGCAGAAGATTTAAAATGGCATAATACAGTATATTAAAAATAATTCCCATTAGCAATAATAAAGTTAATGCCAAATTGCCTAGGTCTCATTAACGCATTAATTGTTCTTGCTATCTGTTAGAAATGAAGAGGCAGACATATGACTGAGGGAAATGAATTGTTCATAGTGTTCTGCTACTTTTTGTCATGATTAGCCTCAAAGTTTATTCGGTGTAATCAAATATAAATATTGAGTTTTGTCGATGGAGTGGAATCATCCTCTGAGAAATTAAATTTTCACCCTCTTTGTGGTAAACATATTAGTAATTTCATCCAAAGGTTTTCTGTTAAAAAAACAAAAAGGTCTTGGGAAGCAAAAAATGAGAAATTGGATAACCATGAGTATTCTGAAGATAAATAAGGAATTGTTTAAATGTAATTTAAATAGTTGATCAAGGATCTAAAATGGATAAGAACTGTAGTTTACAAAGTTTATATTGAACTAAGTAAAGTTGGCTTTTGGACACTTTTGGTAAACATTTGAGGACTTAGTAATAGATAAATGGAATTTTTAGTATTCCTTAAGGCATGTTAAGCAAAAGAGTATATTAGTGCATTTGTGCTTCTATAACAAATATCTGAGATTGGGTAATGTGCAAAGAAGATAAATTTTTTTCTCATACTTATGGAGGCTGAAAGTCTAAGATAAGGCACTGGAAGCTTTGGTGTCTGGTGAAGGCCCAGGCTCCGCTTCCAAAGGCACCTTGTTGCTGCATCCTCACAAGGCAGAAGGTGGAAAGGAAACTGGACTATCTAGTTTCCTCTAGCCCTTTTTTTTTTTTTTTTTTTTTTTTTGAGACAAAGTCTCCCTCTATCGCCCAGGCTGGAGTGCAGTGGCGTGATCTCGGCTCACTGCAAGCTCTGCCTCCCGAGTTCACGCCATTCTCCTGCCTCAGCCTCCCGAGTAGCTGGGACTACAGGCGCCCGTCACCACGCCCAGCTAATTTTTTTGTATTTTTAGTAAAGATGGAGTTTCACCGTGTTAGCCAGGATGGTCTGGTTCTCCTGACCTCTTGATCCGCCAACCTCAGCCTCCCAAAGTGCTGGGATTACAGGCGTGAGCCACCGCGCCCGGCCTCCTCTAGCCCTCTTATAAAGCCACTAATCTCACTCATGACGATGGAGCCCTCATGGCCTAATCACCTCCTAAAGGCCCCATCTTTTAATACTGTTTCATTGGGGATTCAGGTTTAGCCTGAAATTTGGAGGGGACACAAACATTCAAGCCATAGCAGAAAATAACAGATGAAACTTCCACAGAGTCATATAGTGTATTTCTTAAGTCCTGCAAAACTTTATGTGTCTTTCTCATTAATTAATTTTTACCTGAGTCCATTCCCTACACTTCCGATTGATTATGTGGGTAAAGAGTCTTTCCCTTTGCCTTTTTCATAAGAGCAGTGCCCTGGACAGATTTTGCCTATCCTCACATTTAAAAGTGCATCTACTTTATAATACCCAATCTCATATGTATCATTAAAATAATATATTCTAAAAGTTTGGGTTATTTTAATAGATATAACTAGAACTCTCAGACAAAAAAGAAAGCAAGAAAAGCTTACTGGTTACTGAGCAATTATAATTATGCCCAGTTATTGAGCAACATATATTAACTTTGTCTTATTTTATCACAACAGGAATTAATATTGATTTTAAAGATGTGAAAATAGAGTCTTAGATATAATATATTGTCCAAGCTTCCATATCTAGAAATTTCACGATTTTTTTTAATGAAAAGCTTAATTAGTCCTAAAGTAGTAAACTGGCTTAGTTATGCTTTTGATTTGGATAGAAAATATTCAGATTAGCAGTTATACATGAATATTAAAAATCAACGAGGAAGATTCTACCTATTGATAGCAAGTAGGCTCAGAAACTAATATATACAGAATTCCCCAAAGCAGTGAGCTTTTCTAATTTAATAAGGATATAAATAATATTTTTCTATTCCAATAGAATAGTTACAGGCCACACATATGCACAAGATGAGATAAATATCAGACAGTATATTTAAGTACAATTCATTGATCCGATTTTAAGAATGTTGATTAAATTTCCAACTATCTTGCAACATTATTGTTTAAATATTATTTTGCTAACATATGTGTTTACTTTATTATAGTTGAATGTCATTTGGGGAATTTTGAAAATAGTGAATAAAGTTAAATGAAAGTAAACTTTTAAGAATGGGGATTTGAAGTTTGCTATTGACTTAGAAAATTTTGTTTTATTAAATTTTACACATGAAAGAGCATTAATATAGACTATAGAGTAAAATATATCAGTGATGTTAACATTTTATTTTGGGGATGAAAGTTCTTTTGTCTACTGTCTCTCAATTCACCTTAAACAACATGGAAAAAGCACACTACCAAACCCTTTTCGTAAAACTACTTAGACTATTACCAGCGGTGACTTTCCTAATTTGGATTATTTTGTTTTATGAAATAAAATCTACAGCTATATCATATTGCAACATTGCAAAATTAAGTTTTTGACAACATTATTGAGGTATAATTTATATAACATACATTTTACCCATTGTAAATACATTAATATATGATTTTTAGTAAATGTATAGTTTTGTGCATCTATCACCAAAATGCAGTTTTAGAATATTCTCATCACCCCTAAATTGTTCCCTGAACCCTTCTGGAATTAATACTTACTCCCACACTGAGCCCTAGGCAACCACTGAACTCTTGTCTTCACAAATTTGCCTTTTGTGGACATTTTATATGAATGGAATCATACAATATTCAATCTGTTGAGTCTGGTGTGTTTCATTTAGCATAATGCTTTGGAGGCACATCCCTGTTGTAGCATATATCAGTAGTGTATTCCTGTTATTTCTGAATAGTATTCTGCAAGTACACGCCGTATAGTATTTATCAATTTACCAGTTCATAAATCATTTTATTCTTTCAATGTTTTGTCTTTTATAAATAATGATGCTATGAATATAAACTATATATAAATATATATATAATTTATTTTCTAAGATTGCTAGATGTAGAATGACTGGGTCATATTTTTTTTTAACTTTTTAAATAGTTGTAAAACGTTTTCAAAATGACTACCATTTTGCATTTCCACCAGTAAAAGGTTTTTGGTTTTGCTTTCCTATGATAGCCAAAGCTTTTTCTCCCCTTATAGTCCTTCTAACAGGTGTAAAGTATTTCATTGTGGTTTCAATGCACATTTCAAATATGAATAATATTGTTGTACATCTTGTCGTATGACTATTTATCACTAATATACCTTCTTTAGTGAAATGTCTTTGCAAATTTGTGTTCAAATTTTATTTGAGATTTTACCTATCTGCTCTTCTTCCTTATAAATTCTGGATACAAATCCTTTATCTGGTATAATTCGCAATTAATTTTTCTTATTTTGCAATTTGCCCTTTCATTTTCTTAATGGTATCTTTTTTGCAGTGGAAAACACTTTTAATTTGATAAACTCCAATTTTCTGTTTTTTTAAATAGATAATGCACTTGGTATTATATTTAAAAAATCTTTGTCTAGCCCTAAATTTAAAAAAAGTCTTAATGTTTTCTTTTAGAAATTTTATGGTTTTAACTATTATACATCAATCTATGATCGATTTTTAGATATTTTCATGCATGGTTTGAATTAAAACTACTATTTCATTTATTTGCTTTTAGATATTCAGTTGTCTAAAAACTACTTGTTATAAAGACTTATTCTCGATCTGTTGAATTATCCTGTATCTTTGTCAAATTCAATTGACCATAAATGTTAAGATTTATTTCTGGACTCAATTCTATCACATCTTGACATCAATACCACACTCTTGATTGCTATGGGTTTATAGTAAATTGTACAATACAGAAATGTAAGTTCTCTAGCACTCTTCTTCTTTTAAAAAATTGTATTGTCTGTTGTAGGTTCTTTGCTTACCCCTATAAACTTTAGTATCATCAAGTAAGTTTCTAGAAAAGAAAGTAGGCTAGGTATTTCATGGGAAATATGTTGGAATTAGATCAGTTTGGGAGAATTGACATTTTCATTTATTCAGATCTTCGATTTCCTCACAATGTTTTTAGTGTACATCTTCCGCACATTTTTGCTAAGTATATTTCTAAATATTCATTATTATTTATATTATTTTATTGTTTTCTTTGCTGTTATTATAAATGATAAATTTTCTCTTAATTTCCTTTTTCAGAGTTTTGTTTTTAGTTTATAAAATGCAATTTCCTTATGTATATTGATCTAGTATCCTGTGACCTTCCTAAAGCATTTTATTCCTTCTGGTATTTTTCCTTTTGTAAACTCCTTGGAGTATCATGTTTGGAAATCCTAATAGTTTTTCTTCCTTGTTTCAATTTAAGTGCTTGAACTTATCTTCAAACATCACAGGTAAAACTTTCTATACTGACAAAATGCCAAAAGTGGGCACCTTAAATTAGTCCCAATTTTAAGGAAAAATAAATAAGTCTTTCATCATTTAGCATGATATATGTTTTGGTAGACACATTTTGTCAAGTGGAAGAAGACCCGATTTAATAGTAGTTTGTTGAGAAGTTTTATCATCAGTGGCTTTTAGATTTTGGCAAATTCTTTTTATGCATCTATAGCACTAACCATGCGGTTTTTGCTCTTTTGTCTTTTACTATTATATACAACATTGAATGAATTTTTTTAACATTGAATGAATTTTGAATGCTAATACATTTTGTATTTCTACATTAGTCTAATTCATCTTTTGCTAATATTTTAAGGACTTTTTGTATCTGTATTACTGAGACGTATTGGTCATAATGTTTTTTCTTTAAATGAGGTATCTTTTTATGGCTTTGGTATTGGGGATAACAGTGGTTTCACAGAAGGAGTTGAGGTATTCTATTTGCTAAAAGTTCTTGTAAAAATTTGTATGTATATATATGTATGTATATATACACATATACATACATATATATACACATATATAAATACATATATATGTATATATAACTAGCTGAAATAAAACATGAATAATACCACCTAAGACTTTGATTTTATTTGTGGAAAGTGTTGTTGTTGTTGTTGTTGTTTTTGAGAAAGGGTCTCAATTCTTTCCCCCAGGCTGGGGTGCAGTGGCAAGATCATAGCTCACTGCAGCATTGAACTCTTAGGCTCAAGTGATCCTCCCACCACCACTTTCTGAATAGCTAAGGCTACAGGTGCACGAAATCACATCTGGCTTAATTTTACTTTTAGCAGAGTCAGGACTTGCTATGTTGTCCAGATTGGTCTCTAAACACCTGGCCTCAGCAATCCTCTCACCTCAGCCTCCAAAAATGTTCGGTTTCAGGCATCTGCCACTGCATTCAGCTTATTTTTATTTTTATTTTTTAATTACAAATTCAGTCTTCTTACTTAGGCCTTTGTTTATTTTCTGTTTGTTTTAGAACCACTTTTGGTGACTTGTATCTTTAGGAAATTTCTTTTTCTCTAAATTTTTAAATTTGCTCATTATTATTGCTACTAATATTTTATATTTGCTTAGCTATTTATTAAACTTTCTCACACATCTTTTAATTTCTGCAATGCCAGTAGTGAGATCTCCTTTACCATTTCTGATATTAGTGGTATATAGTTCCATTTATTCTTTTCTACTTTATTTTTTTCTGCCAGAAAGAGACTTCCATTTTTTATCTTTTTAAAAAACAAACACTGATTTATGCAATTTTTTTGATATAATGTACTTTCATTATTTTGCTTATTTTAAACAGTTTGCTTTTTCCAGGTTTTTAAGGCAGAAACTTACAAATATTCAATTAAAAACAAAATATGGATACATCCCTGGAACAGTAAACAGAGATAATAAAATCAATCCAATAAAGAAAATGTGGCACATATACACCATGGAATACTTTGCAGCCATAAAAAAGGATGAGTTCATGTCCTTTGCAGGGACATGGATGAAGCTAGAGACTATCATTCTCAGCAAACTATCACAAGGACAGAAAACCAAACACCACATGTTCTCACTCATAAGTGGGAGTTGAAAAATGAGAACACATGGTCACAGGGAGGGGAACATCACACACCGGGGCCTGTTGGGGGTGGGGGGTAGGGGAGGGATAGCGTTAGGAGAAATACCTAATGTAAATGGCAATTGTATACCTATGTAACAAACCTGTACATTGTGCACATGTGCCCTAGAACTTAAATAATAATAATAAATAAAATAAAATAAATTCAAAAATAATTAGACAAAATATTTACAAGGAATGATTGAATCTATTCTCAAAGTAATAATTGAATGTTATATCTTATAATAAAAGAATAAACATAACTGAGAGAAAAATAACTTGATATATGTAACAGTCCATGAACATAAAATATAATATATAAAGAGTATATCATGTGTATTCTAAGAATATACAATGATATAGATATTCAGCAGGTGTGGGGTATGACCTAGACATCTGCCATTTTTGTTTGTTTTTGTTTTGTTTTGATTCCATAGGTAAAATGATATGTGTATCCAATTAAATACTACTAGCCTGGAATAGGCTAGATGCAAATTCAAAAACTGAGGCAGTAACCAAGACAATTTTAATTGAAATTAAGACCAATAATACTATTCTCTTGTTTTCTATTTTTGTTAGACAATGCAAAGCGTAGCATGGCAGACTTGAGCAAATATAGAAAAATATCACAGAAATTATAAAATAAATTAGTTTTTTCCTGAAATTAAAGTAATATTATGGATAATGAGGGGACTGACAGATATTGAGGGGCTTTCCGTAAATTATATAGTATTTGAGATTTTTACAGTAGAATTTATATTAATAACAATTTATCTATACAGTTATAGCATGGAGATGGGTGAGATTCTGTTCTTATTAGATAACTCTAATTTGATTAGAGTCATCTGTGAAGCAATTTATTCTCTAAGAATATTGTGGAAAGCAATAGCACAATCAGCCAGGAAGTAATGGAATGTAACAGCTGGGTATGGTCAATGAGAGGATAGAATCAAAGATAATCCTCCTGAAACCACTGTTGTCCCAATGTAACTGTAGTTACACATGAAGCTATATCCATTGAGGAAAAACATCAGAGGCTTCACAATACATTGGAAAAATGAACTTCTCTAAAATAACCCAGCCAGACAATAAAAAGTGAACAAGCTGATAACAATACGAAGACCCAGGTTGGGAGTGGGTGTAGAGCAATATTCAGATTTGCTAAAATATATTTTCTAAGATATCCAGTTTTTAACAGAAATTACAAGACATGCAAAAAAATAATAAAGAAAGAAGAGAAAAAGGAAAGTTTGAACCATATGACAGATAAAAACATCAGGCAATAGAACTGCCTATTAGAGAAACTGCATATTGAATTTAGAAGACAAAGACATCAATGTAGCCATTGTTAATACATTCAAAGAGCCAAAAGAAACCACAGTTAAAGAAAGGTATAATTATAATGTATTATCAAATTGAGAAGATCAACAAAGATAAATTTCAAAAAAGGAATAAGTAGAAATTCTCAAGTTGATAAATACAATAATGAATGAAAATTTACTGGGGACTTCATGAATAGATTTAAACTGACAGAAGAAAGAATTCATGAACTGGAAGATAGATTGATATCGATTATACAGTCTAAGGAACACACACACACAAAAGAATGAAGATAAATGAACAAATGATCAGAGAAATGTGGACACCATTAAGTGTACCAACATGCATAATAAGAATAGCAGGAGAGAAGAGAAAGAAAGGAAGAAACTCAAATAGACACATCACAGTAAAAATGCTGAAAGCCAAAGATAAGAAGTAAAACTTGAAAGAAGCATAAGTAAAATGACTAATCACAAAGGAAGATTAACAGCTAGCTTTCATCAAAAACAAAGAACACAATGCGGAGGAATAACACATTTAAAATGTTCAACGGGGTCAAAAAAGAGACTCAACAAAGAATTCTGCATTCAAAAAAGCTTCTTTAAAAGAAAAAAAAAAAGATAAATTAAAGACATTCCCAGAAAAACAAAAACTGAAAGAATAAATGGATTCTGTTGGTGCATGCTGACTTTACAGGAAATACTAAATGTTGTTCTTCAGGCTGAAATTAAGAGACTCTGGAAAATAATTTTAACTCATACAAGAAAAGAAAAAGAAACAGTAAATGTAATTATATAATTGCAGAAGACAAATAAATGCAGATTTTTTCTTGTTTTAACTGATTTAAAGAGCCATTATTGTGTAGAATAATATGCATATGATATATTGTTAAGCATATAACATATAGAAAAGTAATATATTGCACAATAACAACACAGAAATTGGATTGGAGCAAAGCTATATTGGGGTAAATTATCTAATACTCATGGTAACTTGAATCTCCAGAAACAAATGAAAAGAGCCAGAATGATAAGATTAACATACCAACAGCTGTCATTGTATAGTTCCTTTCTTAAATTATATCCTTTAATAAATATAAAATTACAGAAAATAATAACTGTAACAATGTATTGTTGGGTTTGTAACATTTAAATATGTAATAACATGTATAGAATGCCCCATCAAATGGCAGAATTTTAACCAGGACAGACCAAATGCTAGGACATAAAGCAAATCTCTAAATTTAAAAGAACAGAAATAGTATAAAATATGTTCTGAACACTGCCTTAGACCATTTTGTGTTGCTATAACAGAATACTGAGTCTGGGTAATTTGAAAGAACAGACATTTATTTTTCACAGGACATATTGAAGATGTCCAAGATCAAAGTGCCAATAGGTGGTCTCGTGGAAACCTGGTCTCCACTTCGAAGATGATACCTTGAATGCTGAGTCTTCTGGAGGGCAGGAACAGTATTCCTCACAAGGCAAAAGAATGGAAGAGAGGGAATCCTTTTTTATAGCCGCATTAATCCATTCAAGGTAGAGTTTTCATGACCTAAACAGTTCACATTTGGTCCCACCTCCCAACACTGTTGGATTAGGGATTAAGCTTCTCATACATGAATTTAGAGGGGATGGAAATATTCATATCATAATAAACACCATTAATAAAATCAGATATGAAAAAGGAGAAATTACTCCTAATCTTACGGCAATAAAAATGATTATAAAGAAATGTTATTGAAAACTGTATTCCAATGAATTAGACAACTTAAATGGGCAAATTTTTAAAAATATGTAAACAACCAGAACTGACAGAAGAAGTAAATGACCTGAATAGACCTACAAGTAAAGAGATTAAATTAGTTATCAAAAAATACCAACAAAGCTTAGCACCAGATTTCATTAGAGAATTCTATCAAATATCATCATGTATCATTTAACAAGGAGACATTTTGAGAAATGTATTGCTAGACAATGTCATTGTTCTGCAAACATTTCAGAGTATCTATACCAACATAAATGGTATAGCCTACTACACACCTAAGCTATGTTGTATAGCTTACTGCTCTTGGGCTACACACCTGTACAGTGTGTTAGTCTACTCTAGGCAATTGTGAAACAAAGGTAGGTATTTGCGTTTCTAAACATTAAAAAGGTAGAGTAAAATTAAAGAGTAAAATATTAAAAATGAAACACCTGTATAGGGCGCTTACCATGAATAAAGCTTGCACAACTGGAAGTTGCTCTGGTGAGTCAGCAAGTAAATAGCAAGTGAATGTAAAGGCCTTGGACATGACTGCATGCTGCTGTAGATTTTATAAACACTGTATGCTTAGGCTACATTAAATTTATTAAAAAAAATCATTGTGTTATAACAGTTAGAGAGCTACAAAGTCATTAGGTGATAGGAATTCCTCCACTCCACTATAATCTCATGGGCTGTATCAGTGATCTGTCATTATAAAAACATTGTTATGCAGCATGTAATTGTACTTAAAGACAAACTACATCAATTCTTCACAAACGTCAGAAAAATAGGAGCGAGGGGAGCATTTTCCAGTTCATTCTATTAAACTAATATTACCTGGATACCAAAACCAGATAAGACATCACAAGAAAAAAGAAAATTACAAACCAATGTGTGCTATTAATTGGACACAAGATTCCTTTCCAAAATACCTGCAAATCTAATTGAGCAACACATGAAAAGAATTATAAATCGTGACCAAGGGTTGACATGGTATGTTTCTCTCCATCTCTTCATTTTTAAGCTGCCTAAATCTTTATATTTACATTGGTTTTGTAGACAACATATAACAGGTTCTCAGGGTTTTTTTTTTCTTTTTTCTCAACTATTTCAATAATCTGTCTATTAATTGATATGTTCAGACAATTCTCCTTAATCTGATTAATGATGTAGGTAATTTTATCAGCTGGCCCTTAATTCTGATACCCCAGTGCTAAATTAAACATGATTTCTCATTTGGCTCAAAGTCTCTCCAGTCTTCATGAATATAATATTCAACATTTTTATTTACTGCTGATTCCCATTAAAATATTTAGGGATCATTGCTATTCCTTGAAGTATGTGAGCTTGCTGCAAATTGATTTTTATGTTAAGGAATAGAGAGAAAAAGTACTTTTTTTTCTATGTAAAAAGCTTCCATCAAAATGCCCAAATACATATATTTTCCAACTATTTTTTCAAAATTTGTTGTAACCTTTGTGACATATATGTCTATATGAAAGCCACACATGCTGTACCAGTTTTATAAAGCATGTTCTGTGTCTCAATATTTTATTTGATTTAGACAATGCATAATCACATTCACAACTGCATGTATTTTAAAATTGTATCACTCTAACTCACTATGGAAATAGCTCTACCATTGATGAGGAAAGAAATTCCCAGGAAGTACTTCAACAGATTTGCAGAACAGTTAACCAGTTTGAAATTGTTCAATTCCTTATAATTGACACACTTCTAGAATGAAGGTTTAGGGCTTTGCATTTTGCAAAGTTTTCAACTCCTGCTCTTGTCTCTTTAATGTTCAAAATTCTGAAGTATTAAAAGTGCTTATTTGTCAATGTTTGGCTCATTTCCACTGCAAAGAAACCTGTCCTCTGCTTGCTGCATCAACGTTTTATATCCTCAGCTTTTGAATCTCCTGGGCCACAGTAACCACTTACCATACCAAGGGCAGTGTAAATGGTTACATTTACATATATAATGGGTACCACTTATATGTGTCACTTTCTGAAAAACAAAATAAAAACAGTAACAACAAAACAAACGTCTCCACTGCAGAACTGGACATCCTCAGATATAAAATGGTGGTCCCTCAGCTCTGAGGTATAGATTGGGGTGTGGGTATAATTAATACAGACTGTACCCCACACTCTCTTGGTTATAACAGATAATGCATAGATTATATAGAAATTAAACTTTTATATTTTTTGAAATTAGAAACATGAAACTTGTTATTAAATATTTCCGTAGTTTTCTCTGTTAAGTAGAGTGAAGCATTTTCCTTTATCATATGCTTTTCTCCAAAACTTCAGCTAGTTTATCTGAAGCATATTTTAAATTTAGAAAACATTTTATCTAAAAGTCATTTTTTTCTCTATTTATATGGACATATCACTTGCATATACAATACTCCCATGTTTAGCTAAAAATATATTATGTAAGCTTGCTGAGACTTAATAAATTTCATTTAAATATTAATCTAAATTTCAAAATCTTGTTCTGCAGTAGACACTGTATTCCAGCTCTTAGCGCATATTTAATAAAAGGAAAACCTGTCTGGGTGCAGTAGCTCATGCCTGTAATGCCAGCACTTTCAGAGGGCAAAGCAGGAGAATGGCTGGTGGCAAGAAGTTCAAGACCAGCCTGGGCAATATGGTGAGGGCCTCATCTCTACATAAAACTTTAAAAAAGAACAATTAAGCAAGTGTGGCAGAGTGGCATGCACGTATAGTCCCAGCTACTCCAGAGGCTGAGGGGGGAAAGATTGCTTGATTACAGGAGGTTGAGGTTGCAGTGAACTATACCATTGCTGTACTCCAGCCTGAAGGCAGAGCAAGGCCCTGTCTCAAAAAAAAAAAAAAAGGAAGACTTAATTTAAAAATTCATATTTTTATACAAAGAAAAATGTGCCCCTAAGCCTAATGTACTCAGCCTTCAGATCAGTTAGCTTGTATGACTTCCTGAACATCTTCTTTGTCTCCTCAGAGAGTACCTATTTATTAAGGGAAAATGGTCCTGGAACCTGATTTGCTGAATATACTGTATGTTATAAATTTTGAATTTTTTAGAAGTCTTAATGTACCCCAAGTATTTCAATTCTGGAGACCATCAAAAACTGTATTCTCAGGTCCTTGTTAGTGTTTCACAGCTGAGACAATGCTAAAAACAGATTTTCAAGTGCTAATGAGAAGTGGTATAGATAATTAATGTTTCACAGAGCCAGTAGTGTTAACTGCTCACCACTAATATCTCTATTTTTTCAACATCTTAAGGCATGCATTTTTCTCTGCTGGGTTCCAGATAAAGTCAGTCTTCTTCAATTGAGCTATAGAAATACTAGTCCTCTGGTTTTCTGCTTCCTGAGCAGAAACTCTGTGCTACGGTGCCATAGCTGTGGGAAGGTAAGGCCAACTATTAGTCCTGGAGTGATGACAGTAACTAGGGGTAGAGCCATAGACCCCATAATCTCAGCTTTGACTTCGGAGCCTGGAACATCTATCATACATAGAAGAGGGAGCTGTAGGGTTGGTGATTGGAGCCCCAGCATTTTCAGCTCAATACACCTGGGTTAGAGAATCAGGCTTATCAGTGAAAGCTGGGTGAGGGAAGGAAGCCAGTCTTCTAGCTGTGCATTCCAGGAATACAGCTTCCACAATACGAATTCTTGCAGATGGGGTGAAAGATACCGTTGGCCTGCAGTTCCTAGTATGGAATTATAGTCCTATGGCTGAGATTGGGGGAAAGAGATCCCCTGTTTTCATGGTAACATTCACTTGTAGTAGAACTTCTGTAACACAGGAAGCTGGGCAGAGGGAAATGAGAGCTTGTCTGGCTCAAATTTCATAGACTGCAGCTGTTCTTACCAAGATTTAGTAGATTTCCTGGGGGGAAAAATGCTTTTTGACTTGCTGTCTGCACCAGGTCAAATTTCACTCACTTTAAAATGATGTTGCTTATAGTTTTCTTCCACTAAATGATCATATTGAACAGGTAAGCTCCTCACCCAGTCGATCTTGACGTTCTACTATGTTTTCTTTCCTTAATATTGACAATTTGTGTTTCTCTCTCTCTCTCCCTGCTGTCTGTCTCTCTCTCTCCAGTGTTTTTAAGGAATTGCCAATTTTATTATTTTCAGAATACAAGTTAATATTTCCTTGTTGCGTTTTCCTATTATTTTGTATTTCATTTATTTCAAAATTGTAAATTACTACTTGTATTTACAAAGTTAAAATTTACTGGTTCTTTCAAAACTTCATTAGTTTTAATATCTTGGGATATTTTAATTTTTTGCTATTGATTTCTAATTTAATAGCATTTGAGCAAAAAAAAAGTATGTATGTATTCAGTCCATTGGATTTTATTTTGATATGTTTTATAAACTAGGATATAGACTATCTTGGTGAAAGTTCCGTGTTCACATGAAAATAAGGTATATCCTGAATTGTTTTTTAGAGTGTTTGAAAAATGTAACCTAGGTCATGTATTTGTTGATAGCATTGTCAAAATGTTCTACAGTCTTACAATTTGCTTCATCAGTTACTTACAAAGGAATGCTAAAATTTCTTACTGTAATTGTGACCTTTACTTTTTCTTCCTTTGGTTGTGTAAATTGTGTTTCATATAAAATTTGCCTTTGCTATTTGTTTCATAAATACATTTGAAATAGTTTAGTCATCTTAATGAACTTACCATGACTCTCATTACAAAATGCCCTCTTTTATTAATAAAATCTCTTATTTTATTTAGGTCCTTATTTTAAACAACATAGCATATCAACTTTCATGGTGTATCTTTTCAGTTTTTTGAGTCTTTATATTTAAATTGGATTTTAATAAACAGTTTTATAAATATGTGGGTCTTGATTTTAAGAAAATATTTTTAGCTAGTCTGATAACCTCTTCCTTTTACTTAGGGTAGATATGCTATTTATAGCTAACATAATTATTAATATTATTTAGTTTAAGTGTGCCATTTTATGTCTTTTCTGTTTTTTCATAAGTTTTAATTCTTCGTTTTCTTCTTGCCTATTTTGGACAAAGGCAATATCTGTATGGGGTGTGTGAGTGTGTGTGTGTGTGTGTGTGTGTGTGTGTGTGAATATATGTATGTCTTTGGCACCTAGATAGGGATTCTAAATCATTCAATTAAATTAGAGATTAGGTTTGAAGATGCTTAGTTAATTGCAAATTTAATAAACTCAGTTCACTTTTGATTTGTCTTTTGTCCTTGGCCGTGACCCTCTTGATCTTTTGATAAGTTCCTTGGCAATTTACTTCTGTGTGCTGAAAATCTTGAATATAATTTTACTCCTTGGAGATTTCTGTCATAGCTCTTTACCTTTTTTTTTAATCTTAGTTTTCATTCTTACAGCTTCAAAACCTAGAAAATGTATGGCAGTGGAGGCCAGCTGTATCTTTCATAGAGGTCCCTTCTTTCTGCTTATGAAGATATTTTCTTTAAATATTACATATAGAAAAAGTAAACTATTGATATATAAAATATTTTTATACTTGCTCCTAGCAAAATTACATTATTTCATTAGAATTTATCTCCTGAATACTGCTATATTATTATAGATTTCACTTTTATTCTTATTAATTGTCCATTTGGAAGTATATAGGTTTGCTTACTATCCTGAGACCATTGCACAATTTTTAAAACATAAACCAAATTTCAGCAAGGTTCAGAATGTACCTGCTTTTAAACTAGTTGGATTTATCTCATAGAATTGTTATTTTGCTTCCAATTTTAGCTTTTTATAGTCTATTTCATGGCTATTTCAGCAATACAATTTAAAATATCTTTTGACTTTAAAAAATTGATTTACAGAGGAGTTAGTCAAGGTATCAAATTTTCCTGGTAGAATTTGCTGGTGGAAACAGGCACTTTATATGGTTGTTGTTGTTGTTTTTTTAATCAACTTTCCAATACCATCTTTTTCTAGTTTGAATGCTTATAATTGACAAAATTTCAAAAGAATGAACTGATGAAAGACCAACAGCATCTGGCTTATTACCATCTCTACTCCTAAATCAGATTTTGTCTGCTAGATTTTCTTTCTCTAAGTGGTTGTTTCATGTGACTGACAGAACAAAAAATGGCAGTAGAAGTAGGATTCTTTCCACCCATTGGATAGAATATTGGTTACATGGTGAGACAGCTACAGATGAGATAAACTTGAGTAGAGTAAAAAAGAAGAAATATTAGTTAAATTATAGTTATCAAAGCCTCAGCAAGGGAAACAGAACAAAATATCATTAATAAATTCCTAGAAATTCAACCTTTGGGTTTTCACATTATAATATAATAAAAAGAGGGCTAATTTTAAAAATGTCTTCAAGTTTAAAGACAATACTTTATTAGTCATTTTTCTTTATAAATATTTATTTTATGAATTTTGAGGTTATATATAGTGTAGACTTACATCATTTAATTACTTTAATACTATAGTTATATATAACATTTTGTTTTTCATGGGGATTTTTTCAGTTCTTTATTTAATGTATGATGTAAATAAATCTGTAACACATACAGGACTTTTTTCAATATATCTTTTAGCAAAAATAACATTGTTCACATAAAATTTTCCACACAAATCTAAAATATAAAAAAGAAAATTGTATTTTTGATGTTCATGTATTTTATAGCATTTAGTTCTTGACAACGTCATCAGGAGGAGCATTGAGGCTATTCTAAGAGATGTAACGTTTAAAATCCTACTAGACACTTAAAATTTATCACTGTTAATTGATGTTTAAACACCCCTCTATACGTAAAATATTATTATGCTTTTCAGCTATTCAATAGCACATATTGGGTGAATCAATTAAACACATCTCCTTGTTTAGCACATTGTAAAAATTTGAAAAAATTATATATAATAAAGGAAAAAACCAAACTTAAATTGTAATTTTCATCCATTCTCATAGTACTCTAATGTTTTATACTCAATTTAGCTCTTACTTATTATGGCCAGAGAAATATGTTGAATATATGTAAACCATTTAGTAGTTACCACAGTGAAGTATCCATTGTAAATTGTTCCATTAGCATTTGGGAAAGAGTATCACGATACATATCTCTTTATTTTTCACTTATAATTTTTCATTCCTATTTTTGTAATTTTTATTATGTGCACAACATCTAGTGTAGATAAATATATTAAAAAGATTTATTTCTATTTAAAATTATATAATTCTCCAAAATATGTTTATGTGAATATATAAAAACTTTGGCAGGGATGATTAGATTTTTCTTGGCAGTTATATTAGGTTGGTGCAAAAGTAAGTATGTTTTTTGCCATTGCTTTTCATGACAAAGTCTTTAGTATAAAAACGATAATAGTCATAGGGGAATTTGGGCCAAGATGACACATAGCATCCTTATCAATTTTGAAGTTTCATAATCTCTACTTTGTAAATATTCTTATTTAATAGGTATTATTAAATCAGTTTTACCCACATACTCTAAAGCCATAGACAAGTAAAATTATTTTTGCCATAAAAATAAAAGCAATGCAACACAGTGTATTAAAATATATTTTTCTCTATTTGCATTCCATATTATTGTAGATATTATTTTAAGTGGTGTTGCATTTTTATGATTCTCACAAATACCTTAGGAAGAAAAAACATTTCTCCAATTTATAGATGAGAAAATGGCCTGAAAGAGATTAGTTTTTCAGTGTTATCCTAATAGCAAATGCAGGTTTTTAGATTTGAAACCATTTAGGAATTCTCACATAGTCTTGTATTGTGCTACATTACATTTAATTTAAAAAAATCTAAGCACCTTTATTTTTCACTGATGTAGAGGCATTGTGAATAAACCACCAGCTAATGACAGCTTGCGACAGAAACAATCACTTTATCAACAGTATTTTTTAAAGTGGCATAAGAAAAAACAATTTGATCACAGTAGCACTTAATGTTATCTAATGTTAACTGCTTCTTCCACATTTCCGTTTTGAAAATTATGGTATTTATAAGACTTTTTGTCTTGGCTCTTTTATTTCAGGAGATTTGAGGAGAAGCAAACTATTTACTTTCATCCATTTACAGTAGACAATTTATTTTAAGGATCATTTCTGGGAAGATGATTGTAATTCTAATTAAATAGCTTGTCAGGAAAGCATTTGCCTTAACAGATCTGTTGTCATCATAATATCAGCCAGATGTAAAACTGGCATGCTGATATATTTGCCCTGCATTTTTACTACTGCCACATTTCCTTCTTTGTTTAGTCTCCATCAAGTTTGTAATCAAAGAGCACAACTGTATTACAGAAACACTTTTATCTGGAAGAAATAATTACACTATATATGAATGATCAAAAACTCTGAAAAATAAGTAGTAATATTTAAAGACAATTACAATTTAAATCAAGATCTGATTAGAAAGCCAGGTTTTTGTAGGTGATAATCAACAGTTCTGGTGTTTTGTTAATTAAAGGGGTCTAATTGATTCCAGATAACCTCACTATTATTCAGATATGTAGCTAACAGAATGGTTGATTTTTATCTTCTAAAGAGGTTGTTTTATTCACTTAATGTTTCCTTTTTTATACTAAAATTTGAACAAAAAATGAATATATTAAAGTTCCAATATAAGACATTCTTGCGTTCCACCTCAATCCTAAGCCACTTGTAGATAATACTAAAACAGAAAGAGAACATTCAGATGTGCCACACAGATATCAAATTTTAATATTGATAAATTTGACACTACTAGATTTCCTATAGCTATACCCTCGATATGAATATTCAAAATCAAAGTGTCTTAGAATTCTGGGTTACTTCACAAAATAAACCTGCCTCTCATAGGAAGGAGCAAAGCAGAATGAATATTTACTATAAGGAACATTATTTTCAAAGAGAAAGAGGGAAAAGCTGAACTGAGAATACCCCAAATTTATGTCTCCCAAATATACCAAGCAGAATATTCACTCTTTTATTAATAAGCTTCCTCTAAACAGAAGGGAATATCAGGGATGGAGAAACAGCACTACTTTCAACATATATCTAAACACAATTTTTGTAATGCCAAGTTCTGGATGAAACATTGCCTCTCTCTTTTCCATTCTTACCCATCTCCAGTTATAATTGCTATTGAGATTTTGTGTATATTACTCTATTTATTAGACTTGTTTGGAAATTCTCAACTCAATCACTTACGTATGAATTTGCTTTTATCAGTGACCCTTTAAAAAGAGACATTTATAATCATGTGAATAATTTTTTTAAAGCTATTTAGGGAGGGAGGAGCAAGCTCAGAAACCACTGCTACAGTACACTAAACTTGCCAGATAAGTCACCATAGCGTTTGCAGAAAGAAAGTAAAAAGTAAATAAATAAATATGTACATAAACTTGCTTGAGAAGACTAATACGCACTAACATTTATTCAATCTGTCTTTCTTTCACTTAATCTTCATTTAACAAATGCCTACTAAGCTTTATACCCAATAACATATGTCATGTATTGTGGAGGATGTAAAGGAACAGTTTAACTGTCTGACAGTTCATTAAAACGTTTCTGTCTACCACTAAATTCCTAGATAACTGAAAACACATGCTGATCCAAAGACATGTTAAATTACTAGTTTTGACTTTATTTTTAATAGGCAAAAACTACAAAGAGAACATATGTTCAACCACAAGTGCATGGATAAACAAACAATCATATTTCCATAAAATGGAATTGTACTCAGAAATAAAAAATAGAAAGATCGAACTATTGATGCACAATATGGAATGTATCTCAAAATAACTATATTGAGTGACAAGAGGAAGATATAAAATAACACATGCCGTGTGGTTTTATTCATGCAAAATTTTGTAAAATACAAACTAAGTTATAATGACAGAGTGCAGATCAGTGGTTTGTTCAGGTGACAGAGGGGTTTGTTCGGGTGACAGAGGGGTTAGGGTTCGGAAGAGTGAGATTACAAAGAGCTATGAGAAAACTATTGGGGACAATGGATATGTTCACTATCTTTATTGTGTGAATGGTTTCACAGGTGTTTACATATGTCACACTTACCAAATTGTATACTTAAAATATGCAAAATATTTCTGGTAAAATTTCACTTTGTTTTAAATGAAAAGAGGCTAAGATGTACATTTTTACCACCTCGAGTCTCCATTATGTTAGAGAACCTGGGCAGTACAATAAAGAAAGAGGGAGAAAGAAAGAGAGAAGGAAGGAAGGAAAGAAGGAAGGGAGGGAGGGAGGGAGGGGAGAAAGAAACGGAAAGAGAAAGAGAGAGGGAAAGAAATAGAGAAAGATAAAGGAGAAAGAAAGAGAAAGAAAGAGAAGAAAGAAAAAAGGAAGGAAGGAGAAAGAAGGAAAGAAGAAAGAAAGAAAGAGGAAAAGAGAAAGAGGGAGGAAGAAAGGGAGGAAGAAGGAAAGAAGAAAAGGAGAAAATAGGCAGAGAGTACAGAAAGGCAGAAGTAAATCTGCCTTTATTTGCATATGATATGATCATATTTTAAAATGATGCATACAATTGAAGTTTTAAAACTGAAAATGTAGTTAAAAATCTGTTCCAGAAATGAGAAATATTACAGAAAACAAAGCCAAAGAATGTATAAGGATGAAATTAAATATAAAGCCAAATATTAAAACATTAAATAAATATGTGCTAGAGAGGGTCCACAAAACTAAAAGTTTGTTCTTTGAAAAGAGCTCTACTGTTTTCAATAATTCATGGTAGTGATAAAAAAGAAAAAGGTAGCAAATCTCAATGGTAGTCATGAAAAACAGGTAAAAATTACATTGCTATAAATCCCTTAGAAATATTAAGAAGACATTCTGTACATTGTGACAATTAAATGAGTCTTTTAAGTAAAATGACTAATATTAGGATAGGAAATCTCAACAATCCTGAAGCTAAAATACATAAAAATAACATCCTACAACCACTAAGGAAACAAAAAGTTTTCCAATATTAGCAAACAAAACACTCCTACTTCAAATGATTTTACCAAAAGCTTCTACAAAGTGTATTAGGAAACAAAATTCCAATCGTATATGAACTTTCCGGAGATGCAAGATGACTTGAAAACATAGATTCCAACAAGAGTATCTGATGAGCATTTACTGTGTGTGCTACATAATGGAGAAAATCATCTGAAGTTGATAAAAAATGTAAATGTGGAGAAAGCAAAAATTTTAACACTTTTCAGAAGGTACTATCATATGTGAAATAAGATAATAAAAATAATAACATTAACAGATGGCACTTGGGTTCCTAAAGAGCATGTTTGGAGTACAGTATCGAGTTAGTGGGCTAGGATAGAACTGAGTCTTTTTGTTCAGACAAACCTCTGAGAGCAATTTAGTTTCCTCTTTATGTAACACATTTAAGCAGAGAAAGCCTGAGATGTCTACCCTGTGTCTTCATTGTTGTTTTGGTTTTCAACAGATTAAGAATTTCTCATGTCATAGCCAGGCACAGGGAGAGAGACTATTAAAAAAAAAAATGAACATAAGGAGGCATTATGTTAATGACTAATTTTCTTTTTTACGGTTTTCATTATTTTACCTTTTTTTTTTTTCAAGTTCCTGGGTACATGTGCAAGACGTGCAGGTTTGTTACATAGGTAAACGTGTGCTATGATGGTTTGCTTCACCTATCAACCCATTGTCTCTGGAATCGGTGGTTTTTTGGTCTCACTGACTTCAAGAATGAAGCCGCAGACCCTGCCGGTGAGTGTTACAGTTCTTAAAGACGGTGTGTCCAGAGTTTGTTCCTTCTGATGTTCGGATATGTTCGGAGTTTCTTCCTTCTGGTGAGTTCGTGGTCTCACTGGCTCAGGAGTGAAGCTGCAGACCTTCGAGGTGAGTGTTACAGCTCTTAAGGCGGCAGGTCTGGAGTTGTTCGTTCCTCCCAGTGGGTTCGTGGTCTCGCTGCTTCAGGAGTGAAGCTGCAGACCTTCACGGTGAGTATGACAGCTCATAAACGCAGTGTGGACCCAAAGAGTGAGCAGCAACAAGATTTACTGCAAAGAGCGAAAGAACAAAGCTTCCACAGCTAGAAGGGGACTGGAGCAGGTTGCCACTGCTGGCTCTGGCAGCCTGCTTTTATTCTCTTATCTGGCCCCACCCACATCCTGCTGATTGGTCCATTTTACAGAGAGCCGACTGGTCTGTTTTACAGAGAGCTGATTGATCCGTTTTGACAGGGTGCTGATTGGTGCATTTACAATCCCTGAGCTAGACACAAAAGTTCTCCACTTCCCCACTAGATTAGCTAGATACAGAGTGCTGATTGGTGCATTTACAAACTGTGAGCTAGATACAGAGTGCTGACTGGTGTATTCACAATCCCTTAGCTAGACATAAAGGTTCTCCAAGTCCCCACCAGATCAGCTAGACACAGAGTGCAGATTGGTGCATTTACAAACTTTGAGCTAGACACAGAGTGCTGATTGGTGCATTTACAAACCTTTAGCTAGATGCAGAGTGCCAATTGGTGTATTCACAATCCCTTAGCCAGACATAAAGATTCTCCAAGTCCCCACCAGATTAGCTAGATAAAGAGTGACGACTGGTGCATCCACAAACCCTGAGCTAGACACAGGGTGCTGATTGGTGTGTTTACAAACCTTGAGCTAGATACAGAGTGCTGATTGGTGTATTTACAATCCCTTAGCTAGACATAAAAGTTCTCCAAGTCCCCACTAGACTTAGGAGCCCAGCTGGCTTCACCCAGTGGATCCCGCACTGGGGCCGCAGGTAGAGCTGCCTGCCAGTCCCACAGCGCCCGCACTCCTCAGCCCTTGGGCAGTCGATGGGACTGGGCACCTTGGAGCAGGGGGCCACGCTCCTCCGGGGAGGCTCTGCGGCGCAGGAGCCCATGGTGGGGGCGGGGGTGGGGGTGGGGATGGGGGAGGCGCCCGTGGGCTGGCACTGCTAGGGGACCCGGTGCACCCTCCGCAGCTGCTGGCCCGGGTGCTAAGCCCCTCACTGCCCGGGACGGCCGGCCGGCAGCTCCGAGTGCGGGCCCGCCAAGCCCACGCCCACCCGGAACTCTAGCTGGCCCGCAAGCGCGGCGCACAGCCCTGCTTCCCTCCCGTGCCTCTCCCTCCAGGCCTCCCGGCAGGCTAAGGGAGCCAGCTCCAGCCTCGGCCATCCCAGGAAGGGGCTCCCACAGTGCAGCGGCGGGCTGAAGGGCCCCTCAAGCACGGCCAGAGTGGGCGGCGAGGCCGAGGAGGGGCCAAGAGCGAGCGAGGGCTCCAAGGGCTGCCAGCATGCTGTCACCTCTCAGCATCACCTAGGTATTCAGCCCAGCATGCATTAGCTCTTTTCCCTAATGCTTTCCCCCCAGCTGCCCTCCCCTGACAGGCCCCAGTAAGTGTTGTTCCCCTACCTGTGTCTATGTATTCTCATTGTTCAGCTCCCACTTGTAAGAGAGAACATGCGGTGTTTGCTTTTCTGTTCCTGTTTTAGTTTGCTGACGATAATGGCTTCCAGCTTCATCCATGTCCCTGCAAAGGACATGATTTTGTTTCTCTTAATGGCTGCATAGTGTTCCACAGTGTATATGTACTACATGTTCTTTATCCAGTCTATCATTGATGGGCATTTGGGTTGATTCCATGTGTTTGCTATTGTGAATAGTGCTGCAAAGAACATACACATGTGTGTATTTTTTAACAGAATGATTTATAGTCCCTCGAATATATACCCAGTCATGGGATCCGTTCTAAATCTTTGAGGAATCACCACATTGCCTTCCACAATGGTTGAACTAATTTACATTCCCATCAATAGTGTAAAAGCACTCCTGTTTCTCTACAACCTCACCAGCATCTGTTCTTTCTTGACTTTTTTAATAATTGCCATTCTGACTGGTGTGAGATGGTATCTCATTGTGGTTTTGAATTGCATTTCTCTAATGATCAGTGATGTTGAGCTTTGTTTCATGTTTGTTGGCAGCATGTATGTCTTTTTTTGAGAAGTGTGTTCATATCCTTTGCCCACTTTTTAATGGGGTTAATGTTTTTTCTTATAAATTTGCTTAAGTTCCCTGTAGATTCTGGATATTACACCTTTGTCAGATGGATAGATTTTTCTCCCATTATGTAGGTTGTCTGCTTGCTCTGATAACAGTTTCATTGGCTGTGCAGAAGCTCTTTAGTGTAATTAGATCCAATTTGTCAATTTCTGCTTTTGTTGCAATTGCTTTTGACAATTTCATCATAAAATCTTTGCCCATGTGTATGTCCTAAGTGGTATTGCCTAGATATTCTTCTAGGGTTTTTATAGTTTTGGGTTTTACATTTAAGTCTTTAATCCATCTTAAGTTAATTTTGTATAAGGTGTAAGGAAGGGGTCTAGTTTCAATTTTCTGCATATGGCTAGCCAGTTCTTCCAGCACCATTTATTAAATAGGGAATCCTTTCCCCACTGGTTGTTTTTGTCAGGTTTGTCGAAGATCAGATGGTTGTAAACGTATAGTTTATTTCTGAGTTCTCTATTCTGTTCCATTGGTCTATGTGCCTGTTTTTGTACCAGTACCATGCTGAGGTTTTGGTTACTCTAGCCTTGTAGTGTAGTTTGAAGTTGGGTAACATGATGCCTCCAGCTTGCTTTTTGTGTATGAGTGTCTTGGCTATGCAAGCTCTGTTTGGTTCCAAGTAAATTTCTTTTTCTTTCTTTTCTTTTTTTTTTTTTTTTTTTTTTTTGAGATGGATTCTTGCTCTGTCACCTAGGCTGGAGTGCAGTGGTGCAATCATGGCTCACTGCAACCTCCGCCTCCCAGGTTCAAGCAATTCTCCTGCCTCAGCCCCACAAGTAGCTGGGATTACAGGCGTGTGCCACCACATCTGGCTAATTTTTTGTATTTTTAGTAGAGACAGGGTTTCACCATGTTGGCCAGGCTGGTCTTGAACTCCTGACCTCAAGTGATCCACCTGCCTTGGCCTCCCAATGTGTTGGGATTAGAGGTGTGAGCTACCATGCCCGGACCCATGTAAATTTTTAAAATAGTTTTTACCTAATTTTGTGGAGAATGTCAATGGTATTTTAATGGGAATAGCATTGAATCTATAAATTACTTTGGGCAGTATGGCCATTTAAATGAACTAAATGCCCCAATTAAAAGACACAGAATGGCAAGCTGGATACAAAGACAAGACCTGTCAGTGTGCTGTATTCAAGACACACATCTCATGTGCACAGACACACATAGACTCAAAATAAAGGGATGGAGGAAAATGTACTAAGCAAATGGAAAGCAGAAAAAAGCAGGGGTTGCAATTCCAGTTTCTGACAAAATAGACTTTAAACCAACAAAGCTCAAAAAAGACAAAGAAGGGCACTATATAATGTTAAAGGGTTCAATTAAACAAGAAGAGATAACTATTCTAAATATGTATATGCATCAAATACAGGAGGACCCAGATTCATAAAACAAGTTCTTAAAGACCTACAAAGAGACTTAGACCCCAGACAATAACAGTGGGAGACTTCGATACCCCACTGTCAGTATTAGAACGATCATTGAGACAGAAAACTAACAAAGATATTCAGGACTTGAACTCAGCTCTAGACCAAGTGAGCCTGATAAATGTGTACAGAATTGTCCACCCAAAAGCAACATAATATACATCTTTTTTCAGTGTCACATGGCACTTACTCTAAAATTGATCACATAATTGGAAGGAAAACACTCCTCAGCAAATGAAAAAGAACTGAAATCATAACAAACAGTCTCTCAGACCACAACGCAATCAAATTAAAACTCAAGATTAAGAAGCCCGCTAAAACCACACAACTACATGGAAATTGAACAACGTGCTCCTGAATGACTTCTGGGTAAATAATGAAATTAAGGCAAAAATCAGGAAGTTATTTGAAACCAATGAGAACAAAGAGACAATGTACCAGAATCTCTGGGATGCAGCTAAGACAGTGTTTAGAGGAAAATTTATAGCACTAAATGCCCACATCAAAAAGCTAGAAAGATCTCAAATCAACACCCTAACATCACAACTAAAATAACTAGAGAACCAACAGCAAACAAACACAAGAGCTAGCAGAAGACAAGAAATAACCAAGCTCAGAGTGGCACTGAAGGAGATAGAGACATGAAAAAAACTTCAAAATAAATAAATAAATAAATAAACAAATCCAGGAGCTGTGTGTGTTTTTTTTTTTTTTTGACTAATTTTCAGATCAAGAAGTTTCCACACACATAGACCATATCTAGGGCTAGCCTCATCAGCACCACTTACTTCTCCTCCCACTCCACAGAAGAGGAGAGTTCTCTCTTCTGATAACTGTGTGCCATATTGGCGTGGAGAAGGAGGGGTGGGAACACAGTATTATTAGACAATTCAGGAAATTGAATAAACACTTATTTAGAAACAATTGCTTTAAGGTAACATACATGATTATCATCATTTTTAAAATATTACATTGTTCTAACACACAATTATGAGACAGAATAAAACAAGTCCTTACAGAAAAAAAAAATACCTAAAAGTATGTATATATAAATATATGTATTCGTATGTAAATACACATGTAGGCATATACACTATCATATAAATTAATATTATTCGACTTTTTAGTTGATA